>NC_000011.10:76207211-76510241 GCF_000001405.40 Homo sapiens
AATTAGCCGGGCGTGGTGGCGGGCGCCTGTAATCCCAGCTACTCGGGAGGCTGAGGCAGGAGAACCGCTTGAACCCGGGAGGCGGAGGTTGCAGCGAGCGGAGATTGCGCCACTGCACTCTAGCCTGGGCGACAAGAGCGAAACTCCGTCTCAAACAAACAGACAAACAAAAAAAGTTCCCTAACACGATCGCATCTGCTCCTCCCAGCACCCCGTGAGATAGGCACTATCGCTGCCTCATCTCACAGATGAGGAAACTGAGGCACAGAGGTGGGGTTCAGCTAGGGAGCGGCAAGCCGGGTGTCCGGCGAAATCAGGAAATGGGGCTTGCTCGGGGCCCTGCTTTCTCGGTGTGGGAAGGGGAGGATGGGAAACGGGATGGTAGGGCTCTTTGTACAGTGAGGATTCCGAGTCTCCAAGTCCGTCTTTAGCCGCTCCACTTTGGAGGGTGGGAGTGGAAGCATGCGGGCTGGGACTGGGCAGCCCCGCCTTAGCGAAGCGGGGAAGCTCGCGGGGCTGGCGCGGTGTTGCCTCTGGCCTCCAGGCGGCGCCCTCGGGCCGCGGAGGAGAGGCTGCCCCGCCCGCCCGCAGCCCGCGGAGCAGCTATCTCCGCTTTTTTTCTCCTTCACTTCATTCTCACCTCATTAACTCCCTTCCCAGCTTCTCCCAAATTTACCAACACCTGGCGTTCGCCCGGAGTCAGACACAGCCCCAGCCCCTCTCCCCTCGGGAGGAGCAGAGACAAAGGGATTCCTTTCTAAGGGTTTGGGGAGTTGGAAAAGGAGGCGCCCACGGTAGTGGGGGCGCTGGAGCAGAAAAGGGACGTTCTTATCTGGCTCTGTGAGCTTGGGCAAGCCCTCAGCCACCCCAGCCTCGGTGTCCCCTTCCATAAGAACGAGGAATGGGGCTTCGCCGTGCGTCCCCCGAGGACCCCGTCTCCCTGCAGCCTGCGGGGCTCAGCGCCCCTCTGCTATTTGCACCGCGACGCCACCTGCGTGGCGCGTTCCTGCGCGTGGGTAGTCAGCACGCAGAGATGGGAAGCCCCACTGTTTTCTGGAGCCTGTCGGCAAAACCCACAGGAAGGCGAGGAGAAGCCTGGATCGTACAGTTTTTTTCCTCCGCAGAGCCCCGCAGCTAGCGCCCAGCACAGGGGCGCCTGCGACAAACATGCCGTCAAGGCTGGGGGTCTCAGAGGGGTTCTCGGTGTAACCCAGTCCCGTCCTCCCACCCAGCCTGTATCCAAATCCTTTGTCTTCCTGGTCCTGCAAGTTTCTTGCACTTCTCAGAACGAGAAAAATATCCGCTGGATATGGAGGGGGGAATCAAAACTCCAGTCACCGTCTTCCCCTCTCCCAAAGTGCGCCGCCCCCCGAAGGCACCCGGCATTCCTGGGTGGGGAGGGGGCGGGGGCTGCAAGAGGACGGAGGCGCGCGGACTCACAGCGGGGGATCTGTGTCCAGCCTGGTCTCCCAGGGAGAGGAGGAGCCCCCTAGGTCGCACAGCGGACGGGGACCCAGGCCTCCAGCCCCGCCCAGCTCTTTCGGTGCAGCCCCGGCTGTCCCAAGGCTCTCCCTCCGCCGCCCAAGCTCGTCGCGCGGGGAGGCAGCGCCTGGCCCGAGCCTCTGGGTCCTGACGGACTGTTCCTGTCCCTTGTACGAGCGCCCGGGACAGCCGCGCAGGCCACGGGGTCACCTTCCGCCTGAGCTCGCGGGTCAGGGTGCACGCGCCTCCTGAAGCCCCCAGCCCGCCAGGGGGCGCTAAGCCGGGGCTCGAGGAGGGGGGAATCGCGGCTGCCTCCTGCGTCGCGGGCTGGGGTCAAGTCCTCTTCCTGGGCCCCCGCTTCTCCGTCTGGGGATGGGACGACGTGTCGAGGGAGTGCCCCCTGTGTCCTGGTCGTTCTATAGGACACTTGCCGTGGGCCGCCCTGACCTGCCCGGCCCCTTGCTTGGGGCCGGGCGCGTAGTGGGCCGCGCCAGGCGTAGCACCTTTGGAGAGCGAGCGGTCACCTCCTCGAAGTTGGTCCGAGCTACCCTGCCTGCAGCGGGCCCGGGAGGCGGCCGCCTGGGGCTGTGCACAGGGAGAACACCACGAGCGCAGCGCCGCAGCCCAGCGCCGCCAACAGATGGTCATAGGCCCGGTCTGTGGAGGACTCTGGAAAGCCGGCCGCTGGGACCAGGCCACGCCGGCCCGGCGAGGACTTGCGGGGTCCCCCCTACCCCGACGCCCCACGGGCACCGTGCACCGGGGCCGATTGTCCGCGCGGCGCGCAAGGTCGGCACGGGCGGGTCCCGAAGCCTCCCGCCACGCAGCTCACGGAGCTGACCCCGCCAACCAGGGACGCCGAGCGACGGCTTCAAGGTTACCTGCGGGGCGGGGCGAGGCCGGGCCTGCCACCCGGCTTTGACCCCAGCCGTGAGGCTTTCGAGAGACGTCTGCTTGGCTGCGCACGCGGCGCCGGGTCACCCGGGAGACGGGTTGTTTTGGAAGTGGGAAGGGTGGGTGGGAGCACTCGAGATCCCTCCTGCTAACCCCCTGGAGCCGGACCCTGCACGCCCAGGGCCTTGAGGGACACCGAGGCACTTCAGCCCCGGGGGTGGGAGGCGTGGAGCTCGTGCGCGAGCTCAGCCAGATGTT
This sequence comes from Homo sapiens, assembly GCF_000001405.40. NCBI lineage: Eukaryota > Metazoa > Chordata > Mammalia > Primates > Hominidae > Homo > Homo sapiens. The sequence continues at coordinate 76,209,846 of NC_000011.10, forward strand.
CCGGGCGGTTGCAGATGTGCCTCGGGGCCGGGGACAGGACTTTCCTCCTCCCTAGCCCCCAGCCTGGAGCTCAGGTCAGTAAACAAACTCGGTTCTCCCCCTCCCCCCGCCGCCCCTGGGACCCGTTCTCAAAGCCAGGCTTCTGCCCCCATCCCCAATTTACTAGGCGCTGCCGCATTTCTTTGCCTTTTGCCACCCTTTCCCCCCGCCCACCACACACACCCTCTGTCGCGGGATCCAAGTCCCCCACCCCCGGGGGTGGCTCGGGCATGACCTCATCCGCCGAACGACTGGGAAGGAGGGGGTCGCCTGGGGTGCGGGGGCAGAAGAGGGGGGCCGGGCCGGGAAAGTTCGAGGAGGGCCGCAGGAACTGCACAACCCACCACCGTCCCGCGTGCCCCTAAACCCCGCGTCCCCAGGCTCCCGAGGCTTCGCTCCGCAAAGGGGAACTCTTCGGAGTGCTGCGGGGGAAAGGTATGGAGGAGCGCTTGGTTTGCTTACCCGGGAGTGGGTGCCCAAGGGGGTCGTGGCGGGTGCGAGAAGCGTCGTCCCCCTCGGACTCGGGCGCCCCCAGCCCTGGCGGGTCCCCGCTGAGCGGCTGCCCGCTGCCCGCGACCACTGCTCACCTCCCGGGGCGCTCGCCAGGCGCGCCCTGCGTGCCCGGGTGCCCCGGCCTGCCCAGGGAGCGGCGAGTGCGGTTTCCAGCGGGCCCGTGCGCACTCCGGCTGGGCGAGCGGCGAAGGCGCCCTCTTCGTGAAGCGGCGCGAGAAGGACGCCGGGGATCCTGGCAAGCTGCGGCCGGCTCAGGACCCGCGCGGAGTCAGGCGCGGACTCCGGCTGCTCTCTGCTGCGCTCAGCTCCCGTGGCCTGTGCTCGCCGCTCGCCCGAGCTCTCCTCCTCGCCTGGCGCGATCTCCGGCGCGAGCCTCCCAAACTGCTTTATAAGGCGGGCGGCCGCTTTGATCCGCCCACGTCAGCGCGTCGCAACCCCACCGGGTGGCCCCGGCCGCGCGCGGGGGGCGGGGGCGGGGTCCCCGCGGACGCCACTGACCGGCGGCGCCCGCCGCTCCAGAGAACTTAGTACTCTGTCGAGTTACAAAGGGGGACTCGCTCACTACAGCTGGTGTTTACTAAGCGTGCGTGCTGCGTGCCTGCGACACGCGTGGGGCCCGGGTAAGGCCCATCTCGAATCGTCGCAGCAACCAGGCAAGGAGCCTCAACTGGCAGGGGGAAGTCAGACTTGGGTCTCAGTCTGGAGCCGGGGCATCCTTAGGTGTTGGTCGCGCAGCGTGGTTACTGTAGACGTCTGAGGTCCCGAAACCTGCCTTCGTGTCCTAGTCCTGGTCCTTCGGGGGGCCATCTCTTCTGGCCTCTGGTTCCAGTTGTGGAAAAGGAATCAACGATCCTGCAAGAGAAAGAGACACGAGGACTCCGCGCTACAAAGCCCGCTGTAAACCTTAGGTGTGGAGCTGGGCGGCGTCCCAGCCGTTGGGGTGACTGCTGGGGAGTGTTCTGGACACAGGGGAGGGGGAGCAGAGGAGGACTGGGTTTCCTAAGTTAAAGGAGCCTAGAGAGGCACCTCCTGCGTCGAGTAGCCCAGGCGTGTGGTGCTTCTGGACCCCCTCACTTGGCCTCCCCTGAGCAGACCAGCTGCTTACCCCACAACATGACTGCGATTTCTAACTGCCCATCGGGTGCTGTGGGTTCATCCATGTCTCCCCCTCCTTCTAGGGGCCTCAATCCCAGGACGTCCTCAAGGATAACTGGTTCATTAGCAGAAAGGGAAATGGAGACTTAGTGAGGACACGGAGCCTGTCTCAGGTCCCCCAAAATGCCTGACATTCTTTTCCCCATTCTTTGCAGCTGCAGATGAAGTGGCACTCCTAGGCTGCCCCACACCCAGCTACAGGTACCTCCACATACAACACAAACATCTGGGCCCACAGTGCCCATAGCAGCCTCCCAGCCATACCAGTACTCCCACACAGCCAGTCCTCACACACAGGCTGGGGCATATCACCCCGCATATGGTTACAAACACACTCGGGAGATACCAGGACATATCATCTGCCCTCACACACAGTAGCACAGAGGTGTGAAATGGCCGTACACACATCATGAAGGGGAGGCTGCACACAGACCACCTGCGCGCACACAGTTCAGGTGCAAACATGCGTGAGCTTCCATGCACACACAGCTCCCAAGTGTACAATGCCTAACATGTACTTCTGCACACAATCACAGGGATATCCTTTGGAACATACGCTGGGACACCCCCATCTCTCATGCCAGAACACTGGGGCAATCTGATCAAAAAAGCAGTGGAAAGACAGTGGGCTTGGGGCATTGAGGAAGGGAAGGCGGGGGCTATTCCACCTAAGAGGCAGAGAGCAAAGGCCTCCGGGGGCCCAAGAATGTCTTCAGCTCCCCTGCCCCAGGCCCCCCGGCCACTTCAGTCAGAGCCATTCCAGGTGGTCTCTGTCTGATTGGGATGCGCACCCTCTGCCCGTTTAAGAGGCTCAGTCAGTTGCCTCCAAACATTTGCAGCAGTCCTGCCAGAAATCCCCTCTGGCTCCCGGCTAGAGTAGAAATGGAAGAATTTGGAGTCATGTAAACTTGGATTCCAATACAGATTTTGCCCAATTTTATTTTTAGCTGTGTAATCTTGAGCAAGTTGCTTAAATTCCCCAAGACTTAGTTTTCTCACCCACAAAATGGGAATAATACAATCCCATGGAATCCTCTACTTCTCCAAGATCAGGATTAGTATTCCCATTTCACAGATGTGGAAGCTGAGGCTCAAAAGGGAGCTGATATATGAACCCAGATCTCTGGCTCAGACTCCACTATGGCTGGTGGCTCCCAGTGAACACATGGGGGAAGGATAGTGACTTTCCATTGTCTTGTGGGGAGTTGAAGGAAACCAGCAGAACATCCCATACTCCTGAAGCTCAGCCCTGCCCCCTCCTGCCACCTGCCAGCTACTCAGCTGTGTCCTGTGGATCAGGACCCAGGCATCAGCTAGGGCTGGAAACCTGCCTGGGGAGGGGAGTAGGGGGAAGGGCTATGAGAAAGTGTTGCCAAAAGCTTGCATTGAAAATCAAGGGAGACTTGGGGTGAGGGTCTGCCCCTCCCTGCACCCAAGTCTCTCCATTTGCATAATAGGCAGTAATTGAGAAGAATTTTGTTTTCATCTTTAGAACCAACTGACCTACCCCCTTGCCGTCCCTTCTACTTCCCTCTGTCCAGTCCTCCTCAAGGGCCACTGTGTATCTGGCTTGTGCTGGCCACCTGGGCTGCAGGCTCCTCTTCAGAGGGGATGAGGCCCCATGCCCCTGGCTGCTGCTGCTGTGGACGTGGATGTGAATATATCTTTCTTCTCAATCAGCCCAGGCGATTCTGGTGATCTGATCACCCAGACATGCTGGGGGCTTCCTGTCAGCTGGCTTCTCAGCCCCTGCCTGACTGCCATTGGCCAGGGGCACACCCCTTTCCCCCCACCCCCGTCCTGTACCCACCCTGCCCAGGGAGGCACCCAGGCTGAAAGGACATGGAGGTAAGGGCGGACAAAGTTCCGTTCGCCTTGCTGACCTTGAGGGAGCCCTCTGCCCACTTCAGCTTCCTTCCCTTGAGGCCAAAACCTTGGTGGAGATGGTGGGGGGCAGTCACCTGTTTGCAGGGGCACCAGATGGGGGTGCAGGAAAACTGGTTGCAGTCCTGAGCCCCGTCACTAGTTTGCTGTGTGATGGCAGGTAGTTTTTTTGCTTTGTCTGAGCCCCAGTCGCCCATCTATAAGTGAAGGGTTGAACCTCTAAGGGCCTTTTCAGCTCTAGAACCCACACATCTTGGGGCTCCTGACCCAAGAATGCTGTGTGACCACAACCCCAGATGTCCCCCCCAATGCCTTCTCTGTCTTCCCTAAGCCCACTACCCCTACTCAGACCTCAGCACTTTATCCCTCCCACAACAACAAAGGCTTTTCCAGAGAAAGCCAAAAGCAGCCAGTAAGGAGAAGGGTCAAGATCACGCACCCTGGGCCACGACTTTGTGGTGTGTGAAGGGGGGATGTGGTGGGGCACCGCTCAGCTCACCGCTATCGCTTCACCAAGGGACTCAAAAGAGAGTGACAGCTAGGTGTGGTGGCTCACGCCTGTAATCCCAGCACTTTGAGAGGACGAGGTGGGTGGATCACTTGAGGTCAGGAGTTCAAGACCAGCCTGGCCAACATGGCGAAACCCCATCTCTACTAAAAATACAAAAATTAGCCAGGTGTGGTGGCAGGCACCTGTAATCCCAGCTGCTTGGGAGGCTGAAGCAGGAGAATCGCTTGAACCTGGGTAGCAGAGGTTGCAGTGAGCCAAGATGGTACCACTGCACTCTAGTCTGGGTGACAGAGCAAGACTCATCTCAAAAAAAAAAAAAAAAAAAAAGCGACAGTGTTTTGCTCCACTTTTGCTGTGTACAGTCTCTGTGGCATCATCCACAAGCACACGCCTCTCCCTCCCATGTCTGCGGGTTGGCTGGGGGCAGCTGGCATGGGCTGGACTCATGGGTCCCAGGCTCCTGGTTGGGTTTGGACCTGCTCCATAGATGACTCTTTCTAGCCTGGAACCAGCACTCCCTGGGCCATGCTCTTCTCACCACCAAACCAGCCTGTGCCATAGGACGAGCCATGAATGTGAATGAAGGAAGACCACAGGTACTCTCCCTCTCCCGACCCCAGGCCACCTGGCAGATGCTGGCTTCCCAGAACCATTTTTGTTTTGTTTTGTTTTGTTTTGAGACAGAGTTTCGCTCTTGTTGCCCAGGCTGGAGTGCAATGGTGCAGTCTCAGCTCACTGCAACCTCCACCTTTTGGGTTCAAGCGATTCTCATGCTTCAGCCTTCCAAGTAGCTGGGACTACAGGTGCCCACCACCACACCCGGCTAATTTTTGTATTTTTAGTAGAGACAGGGGTTTCACCATGTTGGCCAGGCTGGTCTCAAACTCCTGACCTCAGGTGATCCACCCACCTTGACCTCTCAAAGTGCTGGGATTACAGGCATGAGGCACTGCACCGGCCAGAACCATTTTTTGAGATCCCTCATCCTGGTCCTGGACACATCTCGAGGGAGGGCAGGGCAGGGCAGAGGCCGTCATCACCATTTCCCATTTCTCATTGGTTACAATGAGACTAAAGCGTACTGCTTCCACCACCAGGGTGCTTTTAGAAAGGCCTTTCTGAGAAGACACATGAACAGGGGGTCTGAGCAGAGGAACCCAGCCCAGCTGTTTCTGGCATGCCCTGTGAGGCCAGATCTTCCAGGCAAGGGTGGGGTAAGGGGACAAAATAGCAGCAGGCCTGTCATCAGAGCACCTGGGCCTGGCTGTCAGACTCACCTCCTCCACTTACCCACCGAGGGACTCCGGGGAAGTCACTCAGCCTCTGGGATCCTTAGTTTCATCATCTGCAAAACAGAAAGCCACGAAACCACTCCTTCTCGATGTTATTGAGAAATAATGTTGTAAGAAGTCATATTGGTTGAACAAGCACCTACTGTGTGCTAGGCAGTTTCTGTGCCTATGCCTGAGACAGGCATTGCTCTGCAGATAAGCACACTGGGCCAGGTCTGTCAGGTAATTCATACAAGATCTCTCTGTCAGTGAGTGGGCCTGGCTGCAAACCCCGGGTCTGTGGGTTTCTGGAACCTCTGCCCACTGCCCAGGGTAGGGTATGTCTTCCTCCTCCCCTTCAGTTACCTCAGGGGAGGTATTGTTATTTTACAGGGCTCAGGGAGCAGGCCTGGGGGCACCACGGAGAGATGGGAGGTGTCTTTCCTGGGTGCACATAACAAAATGCCACCCGTCATGTCTACTGAGGGCGTCACATCTGAAAGCCTGCTTTCAACTCTCAGTTGTTTAATCATGGTGGTGGCTGCTCAGGAGACAATGTGTGTGTTTCTCAGGCCTCTTTCAGCTCCAGGAGAGAAGAAACCCAACCCCAACCAGCTTCAACACCAGAGAAACTGGTTCCTGCAGGAGAAACTGGGGTGGCTGGTGGCCCTACTGCACTCAGGAGGGCTCAGGGCTGGTGCTGGTCCCCTGGAGATGCTGTGCTGTCTCAAACTCACTTCTCCTTCTTCCTCCTCTCTTTGAACTCACCCGGGCCTCATTTCTCCCCATTGGGATGCAGCCACCAACAGCCCCAGTTAGAAATTCCAGTCAAATGAGACCTCTGTCTCCTTGGGCCTCTGAATCAGTCCCAGGGAAGGCGGCTGATTGGCCTTGTTTGAGTCACGCACTCTCCCTCTGATGGACATCTGTTATTGCCACGGGAAACTGGCTCTGGGCATGGCTGGGTGCAGTGCCTGTCACCAGAAGAGGAGGCATAGGAAGCAGTGGGCCACAGGGGCATTTGTGTCAGGATGGCAGTTTCTTTTATGGTTGGGCCTCTGCTTCTCTGATATGTGTACAAATCAGCGTCTCTGCACCTGGGAGAAGAGAGGCGGCATTGTCTGAGTTTCACCCCATCACACGCACACACAGGGCCAGAGACCTACCATGCTCAGTGCCCCGACTGTACACATAGAGAAACTGACGCCGAGAGAGGGGTCGCACATCACTCGGTTAGTGGTGCAGGAGACAGATATCAGGTCTCCTGACATCCAGGCATAAGCCATGCAGTTATTTGTCACTGGTTCTGAAGCCTTTCTGAGCAGGCCAGTGAGGCAGCTTTTTAGTAGCACCAATTCCTCCCATCCCAGAACATAAAGACTCTTTGGAATGTGACTCCATGCAAAAGCGAAGGCTCTGTCCCCACCCCTCCATCTGGGCTGACCTCATGGCTTGCTTGACTAGTAGATGTAGCCTGTGTTCTGCTGCCCAGGACTCGGGGCCTTGCAGCTTCTGCCTTCACCCTGTTGGGGCCCAGCCCAGCTGCAAGGTCAGAAGCCCAGGCTGGGGCAGAGAGAGGCCTTGCTGTATCGGCTGGCCCATCAGTCAAATGCAGCCACGCGAGCGAGCCCAACAAGGTCAGCAGAGCTGCTGGGTCAGCCCACAGAAGCACGAGAGTCAATTATGGCTTTAAACTACTAAATCTTGACATGGTTTGTTATGTAGCAATAGAGACAAGAAGCAGCCAGGCTTAAAGAGTGAAAAAGCTAAATATATACACAATTATTTGTCTAATGTCATTTCAGAATCTTAGAATCTTACCGTTGGGCCACCCCCTCTCATAACCCCAAGGTGCTGGCCACCAGAGGCCCTGTAATGTCTCCACTGATCTGGGGCAGCATGTGGCCAGTGATAGCTCTGTCATGTGCTGCTATGTCCCCAGTACTGCACCAGGGCTGGACAAACAGTAATTGCTCCAAAGTTGCCAGGGATTGGAGCTCACTCCCTCCAGGATGGTGTCTTCCATTATGAATGGCTCTGTCTTGGAGAAGATCCTCCTCCGTCTAGAGCAGAGACCTCTGATTCCCCCAGGGGTCCTGGCTGTCTTCCTGGGGTCCCCTCTTATATAGGATAGCCTTAGGCACATCACGATGGTCCCTAGCATTACAAAGCAGCACAACCTCACTTAATAACAAGTATTTTTATGTACATGGTGTCCCCGGACACAGATATAACCCTAAGGGAAGTGCTTCCACCTGGCCCTAAAACAAGCATGGGCTCTGGATCACACAGTTTGGGGTTGCAACTCGAAAGCAACTTCTGTTTGGCCTTGGAAGAGACACTTCATGTCTCTGAGCCTCAGTTTTCTCACCTGAAAAATAGGAGGAGTGAAATTTATTGCCTGGGTTGCTGTGGGGCTTAAAGGAGAGATGATGTATGTAAAATGCTCAGCACGTAATCGGTCCTTGATAAAGGTTAGTTCCTTTTCTGCCAGGTACGTAAACAGTTCCAGATGGAGAGCTCATCTGTACTTAGCATTCATGTCTATATAAATAATGTGCAGGTGGGAGAGGAATTGTCAGGTGGCCGGGGAAGGGGGAGGGCGTTCCCAGCAGGGGAACAGTGTAAGCAAAGACAAGAAGAAGTTTGCTTTCAGAGAAGGGTAAGTGGGTGGTTCGGTGCTGCTGGCATGAAGAGCAACAGGAGGGAGAATAACGGGAGAGGAAGCCAGGCCCATGCCACGGAGGGCCTTCAGTGCTGGGCTAGGGAGCTTGGGCTTTGCCAAGAGAGACATGGAGGAGGTCTGAAGAGGGAAGGGGTAAGGTCAGGTTTGGGATTCAAGTCTGGGGCAGGTCTGGGGTTGGATGGGGAGGTGAGGGGAGATGGAGCTCCTGGAAGCCTATGAGGGGAAAGTGGGGTAGCAGCAGGAATGACTTGGGCTAGTGGAGGGGAGGGACAGCCTGGCCACTAATGCAGCAGCTGAGCCACCTGCATGGACACATCTGTTGTGGGAAGCAGGGCCCTTAGTCCTCTGGTCTAGCACCTCTGCTCTGCATCTTCAGTGCCAAGCCCTGTTGGGAAGAGCACTTTTTCTGTCCTTTTCAATCCAGGAACAGACTGTGAGAGGGAGAAGACCTGGGCTAGATCTGTAGCCAGAAGGATGCGGGGTAGACCAGAGGGGAACTGACTTACCTGTCTGTTTGGTGGGGATTCAGAGAAGTCCCTCTCAAGGTCCGTTTGCTCATTTTATTAACCATCCCAGACCTCAAGTTGAGCTTTCCAGTTTTCTAAGCCCTGCCACAGTTATGGGCAGGCTCCTTTGAGACTTGCCACTGGCTTGAGAGGGAGGCTGGGCAGAGGTGATTAGCTCTGTTGTTAAGATGGGGAGACCTAGGCCCAGAGAGGGCAAGTGACTTACCCAAGACCACACAGCAAGTGCATAGCAGAGCTACCCTGGAACCCAGTTCTCCTGCCTCCCACTAACATCCTAGTTCCTTTCCATGGCACTGAGGGACAGGCAGGACGTTCTCACTTACCTGCTCTGGGTGAAGAGTGAGGAGAGCCAGAGAGAGGTTGACAGCCATCAGCAGACAACACTTAACCCAAACTGACAATTTAATTGTGAAAATGTGGACGAGGTATAGTTATGTGCAAGGAAATCCAGACGGTCTGGGCCCCTGGGGAGCCTCGGCCAGCACCCCAGTTGCCAGGGAAACAGGAGAGGGTTGTGGATGATGTCACTAGACTCTGAGCCGAGGCTGAGGTATGGGGGTGGGCTCTCCATCCACCTCTTTGGGGCTGTAGGCTCTCATCCTCACGTTTAACCCCTTCTCTTACAGATGGGAAAACGAGAGCTCCAGGGAGAGGTGGTGACTTGCCCAAGGTCACACAGGGAATCAGTGCCTGAGCTATCCTTGTTCAGGGCGCCATGTTGATTCACCTAGCCAGGCTGCAGGCCCTTGAGGGCAGGCTGGGTCAGAGTCACCTGAGTCCTCAAGCCCAGCACAGGGCCTTGAGAAGGGCAGATGTTCAACTCTGTGTTAAGGGCTGCTCGATCCCTTTAAAAAACAGGGAGTGTGGGAGGTGACACTGTTGACTTCCTAGCAGCCTTAGATGAGCAGGAATCCTGAGCAGTCATGCGGAGCTGTCACTGGTTCAGGGATCATTGAGCTCAGAGAGGGCAGGTCACCAGGCCAGAGTCAACCAGCAGGTTGGGGCAGTGCTGGGCTGACCCTGAGTTCAGGACTCCTAGAGGTCAACTCCCCTCTCATGCCCCACAGATATGACATCTTCTATAATCCTTACCCGGGAGGAGTCATCTCTCTCACTGCCTTTCCCCATAACCCTGGTGCAGGGGTCTGGGCCTTGAGAAGCTCCCACTGTCTGAAGCATTTTCTCAGAATCCTCAGCTTCTGACTTGAAGCTAAACATCGACCCACCCAAAGCATCAATAACAATGACAATGACCACCCTTACCACAACCCCCTACTATGCACTAGGCTCTGGGCTATCACTCTATTGCCCTTATCTCAAATATTTACAACTCTATGGGCTGGGATTTTTGTTTTCACTTTGCAGTCAGGAAAAATGAGGCTCTGGGAGGTCCCTTGCCCACCTGCACACAGCCAGAAAGTGAAAAAGCTGGGTCTTGAACCCTAGGCCACTCTGCATCCAAACACCATGACTGCCTTTTCCCCTGGCTAGCGGATCATTCCCACAATGGCCTGAATGCTTATGGGAGGGGGCAGCTGAGTTTTTGCCTGCCCAACCTCTCTTTCCCTTCTAATGGTAACAACACCCCTCCCTGCCATCTCCCCACTTTATGAGGTTCTGATGGGGCTCTCAGACACAGAGCCCAGTCCCCTGATAGAAGGCCTGGCCTTGTGGAGAATTCCATCTTCCTAGCCACATAATTGGCCCAGGAAGAGTATATGACCCAACTGAACCAAATAGAGCCATTTCCCTGGGATGCATAAATGGGTTCTGGGAGAAAGGAGTCAGCCCACCTTGGAATGCAAATTCCAAAGGCGTGATTCCCAGGGCTTCCTACCCTGTATTCTCTGCCATGTGAGGAAGACAAGGAGAATGAAGAAGAAAGAGAAGAAACAGGTAGTGGGGTGGAGGTGGGGTGCCATTTGAGTCCCTGAGCACACCCTGTCCTTCCCAATTATGGTGCCAGTGAATCCATGTTTCCGTAGGATCATCAGAATAGGGTCTCTATCTACTCTCTTGCAATTAGAGCAATCCTATCTCCACCACAATGTGCTGAGTCCTGAGCTGTTGTTACAGGGGGTACAAAATTAATAAAAGTTCCTGTCCTCCAAGACTTAACAGTCTAGGCAGGGAAGAGCGGGGTGGCAATAGCTGTGGTTCCAGTCCCTGGTCTGTCTCAGACATGCTGTGTGAACCTTCCCCTCTCTGGGCTATAGTTTCCCCATCTTTAACATGGAGGCATGTTGAAGCAGGAGCAGGAGAACACTGGGCTCAGTGTTCTGCAAGATTCTCTCCAGATCCACACAAATACCTTTAAAAAAAACTTGGTATTTGCAAACTATGCATCTGACAAAGGTCTAATATCCAGAATCTATAAGAAACTCAAACTGATCAACAAGCAAAAAACAACCCCATTTAAAAATGAGCAAAAGGCTGGTCATGGTGGCTTATGCCTGTAATCCCAGCACTTTGAGAAGCCAAGGTAGGAGGTATCACTTGAGCTGAGGAGTTTGAGGCCAGCCTGGGCAACAAACTAAGGTGGTGAGACCTCATCTCAATTTTTTAAAATTAATAATTAAAAAAATTTTAATTATTAAAGTAATATTAAGTTAAAATTATTAAATAAAAATTAAAGTTAAAAAATGAGCAAAAGACATGAACAGACACTTCTTAAAAGAATATATACATGTGGCCAAAAAGCAGTGAAAAATGTTCAACATCACTAATCATTAGAGAAATGCAAAACAAAACCACAATAAGATACCATCCCATACCAGTCAGAATCGCTATTATTGAAAATCAAAAACAACAGATGCTGGTGAGATTGTGGAGAAAAGGGTATGTGTATACACTGCTGGTGAGAATGTAAACTAGTTCAGCCACTGTGGAAAGCAGTCTAGAGATGTCTCAAAAAACTTAAATAGAACTACCATTTGACCCAGCAATCCCATTACTGGTTACATACCCAGAGGAATATAAATTATTCTGCCATAAAGACACAGGCACATGTATGTTCATTGCAGCCCTATTCACAATAGCAAAGATATGGAATCAATCTAGATGCCCATCAACAGTGGACTGGATAAAGAAAATGTGGTACATATACATCATGGAATACTATGCAGCTATAAAAAATGAGATCATGGCCTTTCCAGCAACATGGATGGAACTGGAGGCCATAATCTTAAGTGAATTAATGCAAGAACAGGAAACTAAATACTGCACGTTCTCACTTTTAGGTGGCAGCTAGACATTGAGTACGTGTGGACACAAGGAAGAGAACAATAGACACGGGGGCCTGTCTGAAGGTGGATTGGGGGAGGAGGGTAAGGACTGAAAAACTACGTATCGGATATTATGCTGATTACCCGGATGACAAAATTATCTATATGCCAAACTCCCACAACATGCAATTTATCCATGTAACAAACCTGTACATGTACCCCCTTGAACCTATAAGTTGGAAAGGAAAAAAATATGAGATATAGCTTTTATACCACACATTCACCATGTTACAGTGTACTGTTCAGTGGTTTTTAGTATATTCACAAAGTTGCACAACCATCACTACTTTCTAATTTCAGGACATTTTCATCCATCACCCCAAGAATCAATCCAATACCCACTAGTAGTCACTCTTCATTCCACCCACCACTCCAGCCCCTAGAAACTGCTGATTCTTTTTGTCTCTATGGATTTTCCTATTCTGGACAGTTCAAGTTCATTTTCATGTTTATCTATGTTGTAGCATGTATCGTACTCCTTCATTTATTTGTATGGTTGGTTAATATTTTATTGTATGGATATATACATTTTGTTGACTCGTTCATCAGTTGAGGGACATTTGGGTTGTTTCTACTTTTTGGCGATTACAAATAATGCTTCTATGAACATTCACGTGCCAAGTGTTGGTATGAAATACATGCTTTCAGTTCTCTTGTGTATGTACCTAGGGATGGAATTGCTGGATCATATGGTAATTATATAACTTTAAGGGAACTGTCAAACTGTTCTCCATAGTGGCTGTACCTTTTTTTTTTTTTTTTTTTTTGAGATGGAGTTTCACTCTTGTTGCCCAGGCTGAAGTGCAATGGCGCAATCTTGGCTCACTGCAACTTCTGCCTCTTGGGTTAAAGTGATTCTCCTGCCTCAGCCTCCTGAGTAACTGGGATTATAGGCGCCTGCCACAATGCCCGGCTAAATTTTTTTGGGTTTGTTTTTGTTTTTGTTTTGAGACAGAGTCTCACTCTGTCTCCCAGGCTGGAGTGAGTGCAATGGCGCGATCTCGGCTCACTGCAACATCCAGCTCCTGGATTTGAGCGATTCTCCTACCTCAGCCTCCCGAGTAGCTGGGATTACAGGCGGCTGTCACCACGCTGGGCTAATTTTTTTTGTATTTTTAGTAGAGACTGGGTTTCACCATGTTGGCCAAGCTCATCTCAAACCCCTGACCTCACGTGATCTGCCGCCTCGGCCTCCCGAAGTGCTGGGATTACAGGCGTGAGCCACTGCACCTGGCCCAATTTTTTGTATTTTTAGTAGAGACGGGGTTTGCCATGTTGGCCAGGCTGGTCTCGAACTCCCGACCTCACATGATCCACCCGCCTCAGCCTCCCAAAGTGCTGGGATTACAGGCATGAGCCACTGCGCCCAGCTGTGGCTGTCCTATTTTACATTATGAGAGTTCCAGTTTTTCCGCATTCTTGACAACACTTGTTAATTTGGTATTTTTTATTATAACCATCCTGGTAAGTGTGAATAGCATATCGTATGGTGGTTTTGATTTGCATTTCCCCAGTGACTAATGATGTGGAGTATCTTTTTATGTGCTTATTGGCTATTTGTATATCTTCTTTGGAGAAATACCTGTTCAAATATTTTGCCCACTTAAAAAATTAAATTATTTGTCCTTTTCTTGCTGAGTTGCAAAGAGTTCTTTATGTATTCCGGTTACTAGAATACTAGACCCATACCAGACACTTCATGTGCAAGTATTTCCTCCCATTCTGTGGGTTGTTCTTTCACTTTCTTGATAATATCCTTTGAAACACAACGTTTTTAATTTTGATGAAGTTCGGTTTCTCTATTTTTTCATTTGGTTGCTTGTGCTTTTGGCACCATATAGAAAAAACTATTGTCTACTTCAAGGTCACAAGGATTTACATCTATGTTTTCTCGTAAGGATTTTCTAGTTTTAGCTGGAACAGCATCATTTGTTAAAAAAAAAAAAAACAAAACTATCATTTCTCCATTGAATGTCTGGGCACTCTTGTCAAAAATCAATTGACCAGGCTAGGCCTGGTGGCTCATGTCTATAATCCCAGCAATTTGGGAGGCCAAGATGAGAAGATCGCTTGAGATTAGGGGGTCTGAAACCAGCCTGGGCAACATAGTGAGACCCCTGTCTCTACAAAATTAAAAAAAAGAAAATTAGCTGAACTTGGTGGTGTGCACCTGTGGTTCCAGCTACTAGGGAGGCTGAGGCGGGAGGATCACTTGAGCCCAGGAGATTGAGGCTGCAGTGAGCAGTGATCATGCTACTGCATCCAGCCTGGGCAACAGAACAAGACCCTGCTTCTTTAAAGAAAAACAAAAGTCAATTGGCCATAGATGTATGGGTTTATTGACACAATTACTTGTTAAGTGATATTTAGGAAGTAAGCTACAGTAGGGTCCATGTAGTCACACCATGTAAGGGGTGTGGCAGAGGGAAGAGGATGAATGAGACATTTGGAGTCCTGCAGACCTTTGTTTCCATTCCAGATCCACTGTAACCCAGGCAACCTGTTTCATTTTGCCTTTTAAGAAGTGACACAATATATCACACAGAACACATTCTCATAAAAAAACACCAACATCAGAATGTCCCTGAGGCTCAGTTTCCTCCTCTGTCATGTCTAAGCCCCAGAGCTGATGTGAGGCCTAGGGTTGGGGGTGGGGGACAGCGGGGAGAAGAAGGGTATTCCAGATGGGGTCAAGGGCACTGGTAAGAGCTGGAGGCTGGAAAGTGCAGGGATGTGACATGGGGACAAAGTGAGGAGCCTGCAGGCCAGGGGTGGTGTTGACAGGTTGCCTCTCCTGTCCTGCATTTGGTGAAAAAACAAGACTCTGGAACCTGAGTCACAGCTCAGAAGACACCTCCCACGTCCCCCTGGAGAGCCTCATAGTACAGAGGCCAGCCAGATCCTCCAGGTACGAGCCTCCCTCACCCCTGCGGCGGGGTGGCCGGGAGCATGCTGCAGGGACGCTGTTGGCTGCGTCAAGTCTGGGGCCGGGAGGTAGTTGGGGGCTAGCTGGGGGCTTTTGTTTCTTGTTTTGTGTGTGAGTAAGTGAGATGAGCAGGTCAAGGAGAAGACAGTGCCTGAGGAAGGTAAGAGGAAGCCCATTTATTGGGCACCTCCTGTTTGCCAAAAGGCACTTTGTGGACTTCATCTCAGCTTCCAATCACCCAGAGAAACAGGAGTTATGAGGTTCATCCCCATTCCACAGGACAGGAGACTGAGTCAGAAGGGAGGACACATTTGCCCAAGCTCACACAGCCAGCAGGTGACAGGGCTGGGATTTGAACCCAGTTCCATCCGTCCTGAAGCACATGCTCTTCTATAATGACTAGTTACCCTAGAGAAGAGCGAGAAAGAGGAGTGGGGTGAGATACAGGGAGGCCCAGCAGAGGGACAGTCACACAGAGGACAATCAAGAGAGGCAGAAATGAAAAACAAGAGTTGAAAGAGCGTGAGGCCCTGGCCCGGCTGAGGCCTGGAGCAGGTCCTCAGGGAGCAGCTGAGGGCGGGGACGGCCGGAAACCGGCTCACCAAACCTGGAGCCAAGAACCATGCTTGGCCTGAGACATGGTGGAAAAGCTCTCACCTCAAGATACTGGTGGGGGAAACTGGCATGGGGGGAGCAGGGTCTGCCTGGGAACAGGACCGCGGGGTCGGATGGCCAGGAACTGCCAAGCAGGCCCATCATCTGGCTCAAGTAACTGCTGCGGCCGCCGGGCTGGCAGGCCCTCGCTGCTGGCCGTGCAGAGAGGCAAGTCCAGAGGCCAGGACGCAGGCAGCGATGACCAGGCCTTCCTGGAATGAGGGTTGTTCTTAGGACAAACCCTGTCACATGGCCTGCAAGTAGGGTGGCTGTATAGTTTACTGTTTCATCTGGGACACGTAAAAGTGTGAGGGGACAACAGGCGTACACGGGTATTTATGGGCCTAACTTCTGCAGCCCTGCTTGGCCAGGCCTGGCTTGTTTCTGGGGCAGCCTCCCAGGCTCTCTGCCCTCCACCTTCACTGCCAGGCCTCAGCCAACCCTTGGGGCCTCCCATTATCTGGAATACCTGTCTGTGTCATCTCCACACCTCTCCATACCCCTTCATCATTCCTATAACACCCTCAAAGCTCCTCCGGCAGGGCCAGTGTTCTCTCAAGCTATTCAAGACACTGTGAGCTTTCCCTTCGTGGCACTGATCACGATAATGAAATAAATTCTTAATTGTGTGCTTGATTGTTTCAAAGTCGGCCTCCCTCCTTAAGGGCAGACTGGGTCTGGCTTGTCCACTGCTGCATCCTGCACACCCAGCCCAAAGGCCCCGAAGCACACATGAATAAACCAACCCCCAGGCCCCATGCACGGCCACAGAGGTGTGTGCCCACCCTGGGAATTGTTTTTTTTTTTTTTTTTTTTTTTGAGATGGAGTCTTACTCTGTTGCCCAGGCTGGAGTGCAGTGGCATGATCTCGGCTCACTGCCACCTCTGCCGCCCCAGTTCAAGCGATTCTCCTGCCTCAGCCTCCCAAGTAGCTGGGATTACAGGTGCCTACCACCACGCCCGACTAATTTTTGTATTTTTAGTAGAGACAGCGTTTCGCCATGTTGGCCAGGCTGGTCTCAAACTCCTGACCTCAGGTGATCTGCCCGCCTTGGCCTCCCAAAGTGCTGGGATTATAAGTGTGAGCCACCGTGCCCTGCCCGCTCTGGTATTTTTGTTTTGTTTTCCTATACAAGGAAAGGAAAGGAAGGAGCTAGTCCTAAAAAAACAAAAAAACCTCTTGGGCACAATTCATACTTCTGATTTCTTCTACAGACACTGAGCCCCTTCAGGGAGGGACTGTACCCCCTTCTCTTCCCCAGTCTAGCTGTGGACCTGAATCAAGCTTAGGCTGAGCTCGATGAGTGACTACAATGTTGAATATCACCATGGTGGTCACAGAAAGTCAGAACAGGAAGGAATCCTAGAGATCATGAGATATGCAAGTGCTGAATCCAGACCCTGGGGTGTTGTAGGCACACAAAAAATTCATGTTCCTCCCTTTAGAGGTCATCTTGTTCAACCACCATCTTTTTCTTTAAAAATTTTTAAGTGTACAAGTTCACTTTAGCGTATTCATGAAGTTGTGCAATCATCTTACTACCCAATCCCAGAACACTGTCATCATCGCATAAGAAACCACATTACCTAGTAGCAGTCATGTCCCCCTGTCCCCTTCCCTCAGCCCCTGGCAACCACCAATTATCCTATTTTAAAAACAGAGAAACTGAGGCCCAGGGAGGGGCAGTGCCTTATTAATGTCACATCGCCAATGGCAGAGCCAGGCTAGAGACCAGGCCTCCTGATGTCCCACCTGCTACAGTCAGGCCACAGGTCTGAGTTCTCTCTGGCACCCTCAGCATACTCTGGGGCCTGACATGTAAGAGGGGGCGGTCAAAGGCCTCTCCCGGGGAAGAAGTGACCGTACCATCTGTAACTGTGCCCTTAAAGTCCAGAGCGTGCCGTTCCCAGAATGGAGCCGAGGGTTGTGAGAAGCAGGAGACACATGGAGGGAACACTTACACTCTGTGCCCTGCTTCTACGAAGCCAGAGTCCTTCCAGGGCTGGGAACACCCTTCCCCCAGATGACCCCGGGCTTCCTCCTCACCTCTCCAGTGTCCTCTCAAGGGCCCCCTTCTCAGTGAGGCCTGCCCTGACCACCCTATTTAAAACTGCCAACAGACTGGGCGCAGAGGCTCATGCCTGTAATTCCAGCACTTTGGGAGGCCTAGATAGGAGGATTGCTTGAGCCCAGAAGGTTGAGGCTGCCGTGAGCCATGATTGCAGCACTGCACCCTAGCTCGGGTGACAGACAGAGATCCTGTCTCCAAAAACAAAACAAAACAAAAACCCCCAAATCCCAAAAAACAAAAATCATTGCAAATAGACCCTGTGCCTCCCCACTGGCACTCTCTATCCCCCTGCCCCCACCCATGGTGTTTTCCTCCATAGTGCATCCTGCATCCTTTCCTTCTTTACCTGGTGATTGTCTGTCTTCCCCACCATGGCAGCTCCATGCAGGCAGGGGTTTTGACTGCTTTGCTTTCTGCTCTACCCCAGCTCCTAGAATACTGCCTGCTATATAGAAGGTGTTTTGTAAACACTGGATGAATGAATGAATGAATGGATCGATGGGATGGCTATCATTGCATTTGATTCTTACCAGCAATGATCAGGGGAATGGCTATTATGCCTGTTTTTTAGATGGCAAGATGAGGTCCATCTGGGAACTAGAGGCAGGCTATGGTCTTCCTTGACCTTGGTCCTGTCAGGGGAGCCTGGAGCGAGAGCAATGTGGGCATGAGGAAGCAGGGGCTAGGCTTCCAGTTTCTGCCATTGATTTTAGGGCCCAGAAACCAGAGCTAGTTTCAGAATCCAGCCTTTACTTCTTCCTGAAGTAATTCAGCAGCTTTCACTTTCCATGCCTTAGCCAAAATGGAAAAAGAAAGAAAGAAAAAAGGCAGTGCTATTTTTTCAAATGGACTTAGCTCTTTGAGCTCCAACGTGGAAAGTGCTGTCCATGATGTCACGGGCCCCGAGGCCTCTGGGCAGCGTTACTGACACTTTATAAGGCAGGCTGGGCACAGGGTCCACACTCCTGTTTCTAGAGCTCTGTAAGCACCAGGGGCAGATGGTGCCTCCATCGACAAGCCTGGGCCCAGATCTCCAGAGCCAGGATGGAGCCAGGCACTGGGCAGGCAGGGGGCAGACTGATAGCCCAGTGGAGCACCTTGCTCTGTTGTCCAAAGGTCTTCGACGTCCACCACTCGCAGGGTCTGAGGAAGACCACAGGGCGAGTAGACACAGGTCTGTGTCTTTCCGTGGGGAGCAGAGGGTCAGAGTAGTGCGGTGCCCTGCCCATGGTCACATACACGGTCCGGGAGTGATGGACTTTGCCTTGAACGCTGTCCTCTGATTCTAAATTCTATGATCTGCTAAAGAGGAGAAGGCATGGCTCTTGCCCAAGAGAAGCTGTCAGTCTGAGAATGGCTGTGAGGAAGCCACTTGATCAAGTCTAAGTCTTCGTTTTACAGTTGAAAACACCCAGGCTCAGAGAGGGGCAGGGACTGGTCCAAGGTCACACAGCCAATCCACAGCCCAGACAGGGCTGGATGCAGTCTCTAGATTCCTGGCTGGGAGTATTTTCTACAATAGCCTGCACTTAAACGGTTCCATTTGGCGGAAGCTCTGCTGTTCTGGAAGAGACGCCAGGCCTTTCCAGAATCCGGTCTAAGGCTGTCTTAAAGGATCTGCTGTCAAGGCGTACTCCTTAGGGAGCAGGTGTTGGCAAAGGGAGGAGAGATATTGATCATGTCTGGGATTGCAGGGGGTGTGGTTTGGGGAGGTGGGGGAGATGGGGAAGAGCAGTGGAAGTTTCTCTGAAAAACCAAAAGCACACTTATTTTGACTTTGACTTTTGCTTATCTGTATAATTATTCTATGGTTATATAATTAATATTTCATATTTGAAAGGGATAAACTGTTTAATGAGGCAGGGTCTGGGCATCCAGGATTGTCTCAGCTCTGACAGACTGAGTGAATTTGATGAGATACCCCCGTCTCTCCGGGCCTTTCTTAGAAATGCCGGTAATAATGTTGCCCTGTGAGAGGTAAATGAATCACAGGCCTCCCTGGCTCAGGAAACAGCCGCCCAGCATTTTCATGATGTTAACCTGTCTAATGAAAGAACGCAGCAACCAAGCCATGAGGTCCCGAGAAAAGCCAAGGTTCAGAGAAGCCCACTGTGGCTGTGTGTAGGTCCAGTGCTATCTGGAAGGTCAGGGAGATTGACTGAGAGCCATGCCTGTCCCAGTCCCCACAGAGAGCCCCCTGCATGGGTGGAGATCATTCTTCAGGCTTCACCAAGGTCTGCATGAAGCAACTCTCGACTAGCATTCCTCGCCCCTTTGCTCAGATCCCAGAGCCCTGGCTCCCAGGAGGGAAGGAGACTGAGGAGGGGACAAGAGCATTCCTGTCAGTAGAAAGGCAGAGTGCCCAGTGTCAGTGATAAGTGTTGTGAGGAGGCATCATCTTGAGTGACATGGTTAGGGCCAGCCTGTCAGACCTTTCTAGGTGTCTGGAGAAAGGTCAATGTCAGGAGCTGCCAGGTGAGGGCCGGACTCCAGGCTGAGACCTGCCGCCCAGTGAAAGGGCTAAATTATTTCAATAGATGTGCAGTGCTTGGCACAGCGCCTGGCATAAAAGCAGTGGACAATAAAAACTGCTCAGTGAAAGTTAGCTGTGCCCTAAATGGACAGCAGGGTGGAGGTGTGAGTGCAGATAGGGAGAAGGACTCCATCCTGGCCCATCCGCCCGGCGGGCCCCTGTCTTTGGAAGGCAGGCTCGGCTTGCACCCACTCTTACCTCGGACCCACACCACCATCTCTGTCACTCATGGGCACTGAGGGAGCACCTAGCTTCCTGTTCTGAGCTGTGGTGTCACTTTCTGATCTTCCTCTGATCTCCAGGCCTGAGGAAGGGGTCATGGCTTCCCACCCCTGAATTATCCCCTGCTCCCGCCACCCATCCCTCACTTCCCACCAGCACTGGGCTGGACCTCAAAGGCCAGGAATTAGAGGTCGGGCTGGAACCCCTGAATGTCAGGGCTGGAAGGCCTCCAGTGAGTGCCTTGCTTGCCCCTCCTCCAGGGATGTACATGTCGGGGAACTGAGGCCCAAAAAGGAAGCTGCCCCTTTGCACAGCCAGTGAGTCTGTGGCTGTTTCTCCAGCCTCCCCTGCTCTCTGGGGGTCCCCAGAGCCTCTGGGAGACCATACGTCCCCCCAGCCCCTCATGGCCACACCTCACCTGGTCTTCGTTTGCTCTGTGACTCTGTCTGGGGTAATTCTCGCCAAGCAGGGTCAGCCCCTGGGGAGCAGGCCGCTAATGAGCTTCAGATGCCGGGGCCAGACTCGGTCTTGCAGCAGGCAGAAGCTCAGATGCTTTGGCTGATTTAGGATGCCTGGCCAGTGGGGATGGCTCGGAGAGGACACCTCCCCTCCCTTCACAGGTTACCCCACTCCTGACTTGCACTGGGCACAGCAGGTGCCAGTGTTTAACCCCCAAACCCCAGCCAGGGCAGTTGTTTCAAGATCCGGAAAAGGACAGACAAGCTGGAGGACAGATGCATTTCCATCACTTGGGAACTTAGTTCTTCTTCTCCCAGGACTTTTCTGGGTCCTGAGCTGGTGTTTCTACCAAGGTAGCAGCAGGAAGGGGGAAGAGAGAGGGACAAGCTGCTTTCTGATAGCCAATCACGCACACTCTGGGCTGGGTACAAATGTCATCTTCTCCAACCCTCACAGGAACCCCACAAAGTTCCTGAGGTGAGGACTGTCACCAAGCACTTCACAGGAGGAAACAGAGGCTCAGAGAGGGGAGATGATTTGCTCAAGGTTACACAGCCCCTGAGTGGCCAAACTAGGGTTCCAGCCCACCTCTGTCAGAGCCCACACTCCACCTGCAACATGCTGGGATGTTTCTAGAAGACCAGAATGGTATATATTGTGATCTCCAAGCTTTGTGAATGGTGAGGGCCTGTGGCCACATGGGTTTCAGACACTCAGGCTGCCTCTGCAGCTGACTTACTCCCTGATCTTGACAAGGCAGCAGATTTCACATCTACAAAATGGGGATCATCATCACAAGTTCAGGTGAGGTAATGCTAACTGTCATCATCACATTCTCAGCCATGCCCAGAACACATTCTGGGAGCCAGACTCACTGCCAGAGGCTTTTTGTCGGGGAGCTTTAAAAAGCGTGGATGCCAAAGCTCTGCTACCTACTAGCTGTGTGACCCTGGCCAAGTTACTGTGCCTCTCTGTGCCTGCATTTCCTCATCTGAGGAAATAAATGAGGATAATATTAGTTCCTATCTCAGAGTTGGTGTAGAGTTAGGTGCGTTATAAAGGGATTAGAAGGATGCCTGGCACAGGGGGTGCATCTAGCACGTGTGTTAGCTAACACTGGGCTCGACCTTGTGAGACACGTGTTGTTTTTCCCAAAGTAGCAATGTGGAAACTGAGGTCATGCAGCACAGTGATTCTCCAACTGAGTGTGCAGAGTCACATGGAGAGTTTGTTAAAATCCTAAGGGCTGGGCCCACTGGAGCATTAAGTCTGGGTTGGGGCCTGAGAATGTGCATTTCTAGCATGTTCCAGGTCACGCTGAAGCTGCTGGTGTGGGGCCCACACTCGGAGACCCACTGCTGTGGTGGGCCTGGGTATGGCTCCTGGTATGCGGGGGCCAGCTAGTTCCATACATGATCCGGTGAGTGAGCAGGTGAGTGAATGCACGGAGCAGAAAGGATGTTGGACTCTAGTGATCCTTCATGGCTCTCTCTCTCCTCTCTCAGCCCCGAGGGTTGTGGCTCATCCCCTTCACATCTTCTCTGAACCTGAATTGGGAAGATCCCCACCACACTGTCCCCCACACCCCATGGCAGAGGGCAGCGTGCTTGCTGTGGCCACAGGCTGCATAAAGGGGCCTGTGTGCTGGCTGCTCACCTCCCACTGTGCGCCCAGTGGTTTTCTATTTCAGTTGCTGTAAAAATATCACCTTTGATCTCAGCCTGTGGCTCTTAAGAAAAAAAGAAGAAACCACCAACAGGCTGGGTTTTCATTCTCCCCTGGCCCCGCCCTGCTCTCACCTCAGCTCCCAGCTCTCTCCCCTCCTTCCATTCCACCCCATTCACCCTCTCCTCTCTGCATCACAGCCCCCTGGACCCGGGGCACCTTGGGAACCCGTGGGCCCTTCTCTCTCTATGTGTCACCCCTTGCCCCCGCGCGGGGCTGCCTGCAGGAAGAACAGTATAAATAAGGGTGTGTGTAGAGGAAGACCACCCTCTCCCCTCCTCCCTGTCTCCCTGCCCCTTCCCCTCTGCTCCAAGTTCCCCTGCTTGGCCAGGTCCAGGCCTCTTCTCCAGCACTGTCAAGCACGTGGTATCCATCATAACCCTGCATCTGTGGAGGCTTGGGTCCTCCCAGAGTGGAAAGAGAAGAGCGAGGGGCCTAAATATTTAGATCACACCATCTACTCAGGGACCCCTCAGCCGCTCAGAGATGCCTGGAGGAGTGGTCTTCAGGCCTGATGGTTCCAATATCCCACCTCCTGGCTCAGCAGGCAGACAGACAACCCCCTCTCCTTGACCCCAAGCCCCCCACACGCCCCCCAACACACACACCCCTTTCCTTTCAGCAAACTCTGGGGAGAGGCACATGCAGCCCTCCTGCCCCCCTAGGGTGGTCCTGCATACTCTGGCCTCTGTGCCCTGACATTCTTTTTTTTTTTTTTTTGAGGCAGGGTCTCACTCTGTCACCCAGGCTGGCTGGAGTGCAGTGGCGCGATCTCCGCCTCCCAGGTTCAAACGATTCTCATGCCTCAGCCTCCCAAGTAGCTGGGATTAAAGGCATGCCATCACACCTGGCTAATTTTGTAGTTTTAGTAGAGATGGGGTTTCGCCATGTTGGCCAGGCTGGTCTCAAACTCCTGACCTCAAGTGATCTGCCCGCCTTGGCGTGAGCCACCCCGTGCCCTGCCTCCCTGACATTCTTGAGCCTACTTGCTCCACGCAGGCCTCTTAGCCAGAACTTTTCTGGTTGGAAAGTCACCTTCTCACCTACTGGAGCCCTTCCTGCCCTGCTACCCCACTGGCTAGTGAGGTCATCTCCAAGGGTCCCAGCTCTGGCAGAGGGACCAAAGAATCCCACCACCTCCCTAAGAAGTTTCTTGGCTGACAGGCATTTTGTGCCAATGGAGGGGGCAAGCAAGCCTTGAACCTCTGACTCACGCCAGGCTTTGAGCTGTTACGGTGTCTTTTTTTGGCTTTGGGTTTTACAGAAAGACAAAGTACCACTCATTCAACAAACGCTTTACAGGTCATCTGCATTGGGCCCTGTGCTGACATGGCCACTCCTCAGGGAACCCTCCCTCACACTCTTGTGGGTAGAGACACAGATGTGTGCAGGGGTCAGGCATCCAGGCAACAGGGAGTGCAGGGGCTGGGGGCACTTGGAGAGGTGTCTGCCTGGAGGTGGAGGTGGTGGTGCAGAAACCGCAAGGCCTGGAATGTGCAGGAAGCTGGGGGCAGCCCCAGCTGGAATGAGCAGCTTCCACTGGAGCCATGGCTGGAGTGTTCACGGAGTGAGGAGGGCCTGAAGAGAGGTGAGTGGGGAGGGGTCAGGCCTCAGAAAGCCCAGGTGGCAGGTAAAGAGCTCAGCCATTGCTCCCAGGGTGGAGCCACCGCAGGGTTTGAAGAGACTGTGGGTGTGGGACTGTCCATGGGGAAGGCCTGTCTGGAGGCACAGAAGGCCCGGGCAGAGGATGTAAGGTCCTGGGTGTGTGTCCAGGCCATAGCCTCATTTAGCAGTAACCACAGTCCGCCAGGGCCCAGACTGAGCTCCTTGCAGACCAGTCCACAGCCTTGGGCTAGGCAGAGGGTGCAGCCAGTGTGGCAACCACTGGGCAGGGGGTTCAGGAGGCAGGGTTGACTCATCAGTGTCCCCAGGGCCCAGCCCGGGGGTGGGGCAGAGCAGGCGCCAGTGGAAGTGTGTTGTGGAGTGAAAGAAGCTTTACAAAGGCTTCCAGCGACTGACTGAAGGTATTTCTTCCTGCCCGCACATCCTCAGACCTGGGAATAAGGAAACGTGAGGCTCCAGCCAGCTCCTGAAGGCGCAGGACATAGCTGAAAGGAGTTTGGAAAAGGGCCACTGGGCAAAAGTCCTTCCAGGGCGTCACAGTCTCAGTTTCCTCATCTTGAAGTCAGGGTGTGTGGGGGGTGGAAAGGGGTGGGGAGGGAGAGAGAGCGCAACGGAAATTGGCTGGACTGATCTGCACCGCTGGCTCTGCACTGCTAGTAGCCTTGTGATGGAGGCCAGCACAGCCACTACCTTCCGCTCTCCTACGGGGGACAGGGCGCGGTGGTGGGGAGCTCCCAATTCTCTCTGGCAGGCAAGAAGGCAGACCTTGTGACCCCGTTTTCACCAGGGGGGCATGCTGAACACATTGGCTACGTGTCCCAAGGACACTGAGTCACGAGGTGGAAGAGCTCCATGGAACCCGTTTCTCGGAGTGGGTCTGGCACCCCTGTTCCCCACAGAGGCTTCTCGGGGAGCCTAGAACCCATGGACCGTGGACGCAGAGGCGAAGCACGGGAAACCGTGCCAGGCGCCCCACGTGCTGGGAGGCCCATTCGGTGAACCAGAGTCGGTGGGTTCCGCCCAGGATTCGGTAGCTAAACCGAGAAACTGCACATCTGACCCAGCCCTGACCGAAATGTCAGGCCAAAGCCTCACAATGTCAGTTACCCTCCCACAAAGCTAGACATCCAGGAACCCCAAGACCCAGGCTGCGCAGTCATGATGACGATGATGATGATGTGATGTTTGGAACGCGGGCGCGTTAGGGAGCTCCACACATGGTTCAGAGAGAATTCTCCTGCCCAGGATCCCAGCCCGCCGCCCCCAGCCCCTGGTCTGCAGTTCTGCGCGTCCCGCCCCAGCTCCCAGGTCCAGTGTAAACTCGTGGTCCCTGCATCTGCAGAAAGGCACATTTCCCCTCTGCAGCGCGGACTGATTGCGTTCTCGCTGCGTCCAGATCCAGGGCTCGCCGGCGACAGAGCCAGTCTCGGGGTCCCACTGTGCGGATACCGGATTGGTAATCCGAGGCGAGCCCTAAGCGCACACGCCATTGGTGGGTCCTGTGCGGCCGGGACGGGAAGGCGCAGGCTCTAGGGTGCCTCCTATTCTACTTACAAAGCGAAACGAAAACTCTTACGAGCGACGGCTCGTTGGTCTAGGGGTATGATTCTCGCTTAGGGTGCGAGAGGTCCCGGGTTCAAATCCCGGACGAGCCCTCATTTTCTTTCCCTTCCTTTTTCCGCATCTCCTTCCTTTTCCTGCATCTCCGTTCTCTAAATACAGAACTTATCGAGCTGGAAGAATTCTTTAGATAGCAGCCAGGGTGCAAAAACCGCTTGCTCGTTTTCAATCGACGATCCGACCTCTTCGAATGTGCCAGGTCCCATTTCGTGTTCATTACGACTGTAGAACGCCAAGTTACGCGTGCTAAACAGTTAAAAAAATTAAGAAAAGAGGGGCTCGTCCGGGATTTGAACCCGGGACCTCTCGGACCCAAACCGAGAATCATACCCCTAGACCAACGAGCCATCTGCTGAGCAAGGTCTCCTCGAATTTACTAGAGGCGATGACAGCGGCAAGCGTGTGGGCCAGCGCTTGCGGGAAAGAGTTGGGTGGGGGCGTGGCTTCTGTGCATAGAAATCCACGCGTTCTCCCTGGACACGCAGGGATTCAGGCCTGCTAATGTCTCCCGACTTTGCTCCTAAGAACGTACGGCGCCCCCATGCTACCCAGAAACCCTTTCCTCCCTGCCCCTCAACTCCTGTCCCCGCGAACCCTCAACCACCGGCGGGACCCGCCCCCGCCTTGGAATCCCTGATCCATGCTTCCCCCCTCCAGCGCCCGGACAGTGGCTGCCTCAGGCTCGGCATACAGCAAGTGCTTAATCAATTCAGGCCGAATGTTGGACACAGTGCATCGACCCCAAAAGCGATGTGTCAGTCCAGGGCCGGAGGGGAGGGTGCGCAGGCCGCGGACGAGGGCTACACAGAAGGATTAGTGGGAGCGAGGCGAGGGACGCCTCAACGCTACAGGGGCGGGGCAGCGACTAAGAAGCGAGCCTTCCGCAGCTACCCCAAAATGGAGACCTCTTGGCCGCGCGGCGGAGGGAGCACCGGGCCTGGAGCAGTGGATGCAAAAGTGGAGCGCGAGTGCGCTCGAGGGTCTGGCGCGGAGGGCAAGCACTTGTGCCTGGCTGTGCGGGTTTTTCTTATTTTTTGCATTAACGAACATTACCCCCAAACACTCACCTACCGATTACCTTTCGTCCTTCCTCTCCGCTCAGGGTCAACCCCAACCTCCTGGAGTCCTCTGTTCTTTCCCAGTTCCAGCGACTCAGACTGGAAGCTCTGCGGGGGCAGGAGCTAAGTTGGCCCTTTCCCCATGCTCAGAGTATGGAGCAGCGCTTGGCTTTGAAGAATTAACACTAATAATCAGCAATGATTTCACAAGCCATCTCTTACTGAACTCTCTCAATAACCTACCTTTGCAAGGTAAGCAAAGGGGTCAGAGAGGTTAAGTGTGTTACTCAAGGTCACACAGCTTCAGATGGCAAAACTGGGATTGAAATTCAGGTGTCAGTGATCTCCCATTGCCTGCCTTGCTTTCCTCCTTATACATTTTCATTTACCCATTTACATTATATTTATAGTCACACTGGTTTTCCAGAAAATATCTGAAATTGTGTGGAAACAATTTATAAAGAAAAGGGCAGTTACCGACATTCGTGTGTTCCTGAGTCACTAACCCCCAAATAACTTCTGGCTCTGCTGCTTTTCACTGCTTCTGAAAATGACATTACTTCAGCCTGTCCCAGCAAGGCCTCCATTTTATGTACATTCCTGTCTGAATATTTGAGAAGGACTCAGAGTGGGCCAACAGCTTTGCGGTTTCTGAAGTGTTTTAAGTTGCACGTGAGGAGGAATGAACGAAGGGAGGTAAAAATATCTTTAGATATTAAGCGTCTTACCATGTGCCAAGCACGATATAAGGCATTTTACATATTTTCTTAGAGTCTTTCAACATCAACATCCAGGTCAAGGGTGTTTTATAGTTATCCCCATTTCACAGATCAGGAAGCTTGAGGCCATAGAAGTGGAGTGACTTGCCCAAGGGCACGTATTCAGTAATTGCTGGAATTGGGGTTATTCATTTATTCAGCTGACTCTGGTGCCAGAGCCCATACTAGAGGCTGAAGAATCCAGGTGAGGAGGACCCAGCCTCTACAACTGGATCTGTCTGATCTCAGGTGGAGCTCTCTCCACCACACCACAGCCTTTGAAAAACTGCTTTCCTGGCTGAGCGCGGTGGCTCACACCTGTAATCCCAGGAGGCTGAGGAGGGTGGATCACCTGAGGTCAGGGGTTTGAGACCAGCCTGGCCAACATGGTGAAACCCCATCTCTACTAAAAATACAAAAATTAGCTGGGCATAGTTGCAGGCGCCTGTAATCCCTACTACTCGGGAGGCTGAGGCAGGAGAATCACTTGAACCTGGGAGGTGGAGGTTGCAATGAGCCGAGATTGCGCCCCTGCACTCCAGCCTGGACAACATGAGCAAAACTCCATCTCAAAAAAGAAAGAGAGGGAGGGAGGGAGGAAGGAAGGAAGGAAGAAGGAAGGAAGGAAGGAACTGCTTTCCCCTCCTGACTAGGAGGCACCTGTGCTGTCACTCTAGTTCATTCCCTGCCTTCTTTCAGCCATGCCTTATGGACTTCCTGTCTCATTCAAACAATTCTGGAAATGCTGCCTCCTGCAGGAAGTCTTCCTTGACTGCTACAGCCCACAGTTCCCCACTTCCCCTCCCTCTTAGGTATTGCTCTCCTTCACATGCACTTGTTCCTTGGACACTCCAGACAGGGAGCCCCTTGAACCAATTCTTCTCTGGGTCCTCTATGCCAAGCTAAGTGTTTGGGGAAAGTTTGCTGATTGGTCAGTAATTAGAGACAGAGAGAGAGAGAGAAACTAACAAACAAACAGAAAAACCAGGAACTGGGAAAGGTACAGCCTGTCACTGTGTGTGTCTTTGGGCAAATCACTGCATCTTTGAACCTCTGTTCCCTCCTGGTAAAATGGGACTCATGATCCCTGCCTCCCTCACAGCCTTGCTGGGAAGAAGAATATGAAAGGGCCGTCCTTTACAGAGTGGTCCACTGCATGTCTTCAAATTCACTATGTGTCTCTGGGCAAGATATGGCCATCTTTGGGACCTCTTTACCTCTGATGACCAGATGACACTGAGGTTCCTCCTGGCTCTGCCCCACCTCCAGATGCTGCCCTGACTCCAGCACATGAAAGTCTGGTGTGTTGAGGGCCTGGATCTTCCCCGTGTCTCAGCCCACAGAGGCCCCAGCAGGCCCAGGCCGGGGCCCTTCCTGGGAGTCTCGGGGCTCCAGACTTCCTGGAGCCAGGGAGGGAGGGGCTGGGGCTGGGTCGGACCTGGAGCCCCACAGAAGCTGCTGCTGCTGCTGTCCTACCAACCCACACAGGAGCGGGGAGGCCACAGGGCATCCCATGAAGTAGGGCAAACCTCAGGCAGGGATTCTCAAACACACAGGCTCCAGTGGAGGGGCTGAGGACAGCGCTCTAGGCTTGCCTCAGGACCCGGCTACACCCCAGATGTGCTGCTGGGTGAACCAGGCTTTCTCCTCTGTACACTAGGGGCTGTCGGAAGATCAGGACAATTGTCAGTCACTCCCCCTGACCACTGACCACCATCTTTTGCCCAGATTATGCTGGCATCCCGACTTTTTTTTTTTTTTTTTTTTTTTAGATGGAGTCTTACTCTCTCTCCCAGGCTGGAGTGCAGTGGCACGATCTTGGCTCACTGCAGCCTTCGCCTCCTGGGTTCAAGCGATTCCCCTACCTCAGCCTCCCAAGTAGCTGGGATTACAGGTGCATGCCACAACACCCAGCTAATTTTTGTATTTTTACTAGAGACAGAGTTTCACCATATTGGCCAGGCTGGTCTCGAACTCCTGACCTCAGGTGATTGGCCCGCTTTGGCCTCCCAAAGTGCTGGGATTACAAGCATGAGCCACCTTGCCTGGCCCGCATCCCGACTTTCAAATGATGTATTTGGGTATGTATGGCCAAGTTGCCCACTGTCTTCCACCTGAGATGAAGCAGCCTGAGGCCTGCCCTGAAGACTCCCAGGGCGAGGAGCAGGCTGGGATAACACCATCGCTGTCAGGAAGGGATTCATTCGTCCCCAGACCCACTGTGCCCAGGGCCTTGGCACCAAGAGGGTCGTGTTCCTCCACCACCCCTTCCTGACCCTCCCCGCTGCCCCCCACCTTCTTCTCTATCTCCCAGCTGGGTGGTGGGGGGCAGGTACTACCACCCCCAGTGACCGAGGCCAGCTCCCATGGCCATGGCCTTATGGAGCCACCACCCTGGCCCAGGCTGGCTTCCTCCCCCAACCTCCACTCTAAGAGTCCCCTCAGGGCAGAGTGTCAGGGATCAAGCCCCCCAATCTGGGCACTTGCCAGGCTGTGCACAGAACTGCAAGTCAATCATTAACTTCAGGACCCAGCCGGGGAAATGGAAAGCCACTCAAACTCCATCCCAGTGGTAGGTTTCTCCTGCCCTGTGTCTCCCTGGAGCTACGGGGCACCCCCACCCCAGCCACAAACACATAAGGTCATTCGTTCCTGTGTTTGGGTGACCTCAGGCAGGGCTTTGACACTGTCCAACTTGGAGCTGGGCTGGAAGACTGGGGTTGGCTTCCCAGCCCCTCCGTCATTCTGGGTGACCTTGAACAAGTCACGCAAGCTCTTGGGACCAGTTTCCTCATCGGTAAAATGAGTATAAAGGTAGCTGTCCAGAGGGAGGTTGTGAGCGGGGAAGGGAAGAAATGGAGGTGAAAGTATCTGTGAGCCTTCTGCTAACCCCTGAGCACCTTCATCCATGCGGTCCGGGCACAGGCTTGTCTGTCTGGTCTCAGGGAGGCCATCCTTCCCTCTTCTCCACTCCTGAGGGGCAGATGTCACGGGAGGAGCGAGTGCACCAGCAGGGTCCTCACTCCACCACCTGCTGGCCTGCAGCTGCCCTCCAGAGCTCTTGGGTTGTTGCTCATTGGGAAATGGTGAACTCATGCTTGGAAGCTGACAACAGCGTCCTCTGTTAAAATGAAAATCTGATCTAGACTTCTCATGAGACCTCAGTTGAGCTGGTGTCTTCATCTCTCAAGGGTTGGGATGGACAAATTGAATGGTCTCAAACTTTTTTTAAAAAAAGCTATTGAATCTTTTAACGAATTTATTGAATGCAGCTGCTCCGGTAGAAAAGGGAGAAAGGCATTTGCAGAACTGCCTGGCATCAGTAGTGGGCCTAGCAAGGCTTCAAGGAGTGGTGGCATCTGAGCAGCCCTTAACGATGGCTGGGATTTGGCCAGGGGAGACGTAGAAGGGGCATTCCGGGTGGAGGGACATACTTGGCCAAAAGCATGGAGGCGAGAGGGCAGGTCTGTGGGGAGGGGTCTCTGAGAGCCTGTGCGGAGGGAGATGTGGCTGGGGTGGGGGCTGGGCTGGAGCCAGGTTTAGTGGAGAGGGCAGGGGTCGGGTGAGTCCTGGAGACATGGGGGTCTCCACCATCCAGGCATGTCCAGTCTAATGAAGGAGACAGATCTGCATCCACACAGGATGCTCAGGGGTCTAAACGGTCTGAGGCAAAGCACAGGGGGCTGAGTCCCATTTGGCTGGGGAGATCTGGACCAACTGGTAGTCAGGGAAGGCTTTCTGGGGAATCTGTGTGTGCCTGTGTTGCCTCCTAAAGTGGGTGTCTGAACCAGAGGCTGTGTACACTCCTCAAAGGGAGATTCTAAGCAGAGAAATGCGGTGCCCTGCCCTGTCCTCCCCATCCCAGCTGGGCCCCCATGTGCAACCAGGCTCCCTCTACTCACTGCCTCCAGCCTCGCCCCTCCCAGTTCATTCTTGAAGCCCCTAGAATTGCCCCTCTTAACCCCAGATGAGACCAGGCCCCCCCTACTCCACCCTCCAGGCTCCCCACTGCCCCCAGGGTCAAGTCCAGGCCCTCCAGGCTCCTCACTCCTCCCAGGGTCAAGTCCAGGCTTCCCATGGGAGGAGGGGAGACCGAGGCCTGCAGGATCTGAGACCTGTGAGCCTGGCTTCCAAAAGGCAAAGAAAGGTGAGGCCAGGGGCATGGGGTCCTAGCTGCCTCTTCCGGATGGGGCAGGCGGAACTTCCCGAGATAAGGGCAGCCCACAATGGGGGGCTGTGTGGTGTGGCCCGTCTCCCGGCCACAGGAAATGAGTGGCCTCCGCACCATTAATCTGCCACCGCCCGCGGCATCCTCTGGAAGGGCGACTCAGGTTGGGGGGAGATGTTCCTGTGCACCCCACCCACCGTCCCAGCCGGAGGAACTGGCCCTGCCACTCCAGGCCTTCCTTCCAGGACCATACATACAAGAGGAGGCTGCCCGAAGGGGCAGGGGGTGGGGGCAGGCAACCTGGGCATGGGTACTGGTTCTGGGGTCTGCTGCCTGACTAAGCCCCAACCCGCTGTGGAACCCGGGCAAATGCCTCACCCTTTCTGGCCCCCTGGCCCCTCATGGCTCCCCAGGCTCCTTCCTTCTTGGCTGTTCTGGGAGCCTGAGGACAGCACATGCCTGTAATTCTTGCCTTTCTGCCCCTCTCGTCACAAGGGCCCCTGGATACATGCTTTACCCAAATGTGGGGGCTCTGATGGGATTTTAGGCGTCAAGCGAGGCTGCCGGGGAGAGGTTTGGGGCTTTGTCAGCTATCTCTGCAGCTGCAGCTGAGGTCAATGGGGAGAATGCACAGCTCTGCACCATTCTGGGTCTCAGTTTCCCCTTTGCATCAGGAGGGGTGGGACCCAATGACCCTGTGGGGGGTGGGCCGCTGCGGTGAATGACAAGGGACATGACACCATGGAATTCTCACAGTCTCTGAGTTCCACCTTAGCTACAGACTAGCCGTGTGAATCTAGGCAGACCCCTTCTTGCCTTGGGCCTTGGTCTTCCTGTCTGTAAAATAGGGTCCCTGCCCAGCCAGCTCAGAGGAATTCTGTGACGGTGGGTGAAGATGGGGCCCTGTCTGCTACACAGGGAGCGGTTGCTGCCTCTGAAGTGACTGGGCTGGGGATCCACTCTGAGGGGCCAGACTACAGGCCAGGGAGTGCAGCTCTCCTGCCCCTGCCCTCACCATTTCCCACCTGTTGCACCCCCAGCTCTCGGATGACCAGCGTGAGGTGGGCTTTAGTTGGGAAAGAGGTCAAGCTTCCCCAACCCAGGTGACATTCAAAACAGAGGACAGGACCCAGGGAGCCCCTTAGATCACTAGGGCCAGCTCACTCATTGTTCAGATGGGGAAACTGAGGAAACAGGTGGAGAGTCTCCCAAAACCACACAGGCTGCGGGTGGCAGAGAAAAGCCTGGAACACAGACCTCCTGCTTTCCAAACCCTCCCTGCAGCTGTGGAATATTAGGGCTGGAGGGGCCTGTGTGGCTCAGGAAACTGAGTTCAGAAAGTAGAAGGAACTTGCCCATGGCCACCTGACTTGGAAGAGTTGAAGCAGCACTTCCCACTCTGCCCATCCCAGAGGTGGCTCTGCCTCCTGGTCTCTGATAGGCTGAGTGGCAGTGCCAGGGGAGAGCTTTCTCCTAAGCAGAGATAGGGATTCTCCTGGCAGGAGGGAATGAGCCCCCATGCCACGAGAGCTTCAAAATGGGAATGGCAGCGTTCCATGAAGGCCTGTGGAGACCTGCGTGTGCATCTGAGTCTGTCTCCAGCTTCAAACCCTCTCCACCCTAGAGCAGTGTGCCAGGGGCAGCTGATGCAGGTGGCAGAGCCCAGGAAAGTGGGCCTGGTGGGAGAGAGGGCTAAGGGGCATCAGCACTTGGCTGCTGGCCACATGAGGGCGAATGACACGGAGCAGGCAGAGTGAGAACAGCCAGGAGTCGAGGGAGAAGTAGGGACCCTACCACTGCTGAGCAGAAGAGGGAGATCCAGTGACCCGAGAGGCGGGAGGGAGCCTGGAGAGGAGCGGCAGTCGGGCATCAGGATGCATGAGGGAGGGAGGGCTGGTGAGCCAGGCCTGAGGCTAGGACAGAGGTGAGGCCAGGGGGAAAGGGGAAAGGGATGGAGGGGGAGCACAGTGAATGTGTTTCCATGGAAATGGGAGGGAGTGCGGAGGGGAGGTGTCGGGGTTGCGGGGGGGCGGGGATTGCCGGGTGGAGAGGGGCCTGAGAGAGGGAAGAGGTGCCCAGGGACGGGGTGTTGGAAGTCTCTTCTGTGGGACAGGGCAAAAGGAGGACGGAGCTAGAATGAGAACAGCTAGCTGCAGGCGTGTGTAGGGGAGTGACACAGGACGTTAGCGCCTGCTCCCTGTTTAGCAAAGAGGGTACTGTCTGATGAGTGTGGTGCGCCGTGAGGGGCAAAGGTTTGCTGCTGGGGGGAGAGGGGGCCGACCGTGGTACTTGCAAAAAGTTACCCCTGCGGACCAAACACAAGTGGGCTCACAGCGCCCATCACTGCTAACACTTAGCAGTTGTAGGAGCTCTGGTAGCCAAACTCAAGTCCTAGCTGTTGCCCATCACACTCTCCTCCTGTGCGATGGCTGCTCTTACTTACAGAGCTCTTACCACGTGCCAGCAGCACCCAGCCTTTCATGAACGTGAACTTGTTCAAGCCTCCTGTAGCAACCCTATGAGGCAGGTACGATTACACACGCATGCGAGCTGGTGGGCACACACACGCAGATACACAGACATGGGGGGCTCCCATCCAGCCTGGGAAAGGAACAGGGCAGGGGAAGGTGGGAGCAGCCCCTGACTGAGAGATCCCTCCAGTTCTCCAGCTTCCACCATTCCTCTCCTCCCCACCCCCATTCTCCCATCTGTGTCTCTCTCAGGTGGAGATTCTTTGATGGTTTTCAGACTCTCCTCCCTTGCTCCCCAAAGCCCCGACTTATCCACTGTGGGAGTTGGGAGGACTGAGAAACCAAAGTCCCAGGCCCATATGATGGAAAGTTCCAGGCCCTCACCCCACCCCACTGCAAGCTATCTTGGCTCACCCCCTCCCCCACATGTCACCTGCAGCCCGAGCCCTCCTGGGTGGG
This sequence comes from Homo sapiens, assembly GCF_000001405.40. Taxonomy (NCBI): domain Eukaryota; kingdom Metazoa; phylum Chordata; class Mammalia; order Primates; family Hominidae; genus Homo; species Homo sapiens. The sequence continues at coordinate 76,244,464 of NC_000011.10, forward strand.
TGTGGCCAGCTGAAGCAGAGTGAGACCTTCCAGTATTTGACTTGGTGGCTTGAGAGCCCTGGCAGATGCCACGTTCATCCCTGGGCAGTGCCTGACTAACCAGGAGAAAGGAGGCTTCTGCAGCACTGCTTTCTCCTATGGGGCCCTGGCCCATCATGGAGGCCCTTCCTCCCCTTCTTGGACCCCAGAGATCACTGGCTGCCTCTCTCCCTACTCTGGGGCCACCCAATCGTGCAGACCAGAACCCCCTTCAGTGCCACCCCGACCCCTACCAGGCTGCACTGATTCTATCACATTTTCAAACTTTTCCTGGCCTCCCTCCAGATCCAGTCCCTGCCCACCCATCCAGCCATTCACCATCTACTCAGCTGCTGTGGTCTTAATGTGTCCCATAAATTCACATGTTGAAACCTAATCCCAGTGCGATGGTATTTCTAGGGGCCTCTAGAAAGTGATCGGGTCATAAGGGTGGAGCCCTCATGACGGGATTAGGACCCTCGTAAAAGAGATCTCAGGGAGACCCCGCATCCCTTATGCCATGTGAGAACACAGCAAAAAGGTGGCAGTCCCTGAAGCAGATAGTGGGTCCTCACCAGACACTGACTCTGTCTGCACCTTGATCTTGGACTTCTCAGCTTCCAGAACCACGAGCAATACATTTCAGTTGTTTATAGGCTACCAAGTCTATGGTATTCTGCTATAGCAGCCCAAAGGGACGAAGACATCATCATATTGTCCTTTATAAGACCCAGCATCCGTAAGAGGGGACCTTACCAGATGCCAAAATAGGTGGCATAGATGGAAAACTTCTGCCCTGTTCCCCTCCCAGAGCTGTGGTGAGGTTCAAATGAGCTAATGGTCATGAGCATTCTGTGTAAACTGCTGGGATCTGTAATATCACTCATTTCTAGAGCAGGAGAGCACTGTGAGGTGAGTAGCATGAAGGCTTGACACCACCTGGTGCCTTTTGGGAACAGAAGAATTTCCTCTGGCTGAAGCCCAGAGGGTAGGAGGGGAGGGACTTGGGGCGAGGCTGGAAGTGAAGACAGGGCCAGGTGTGAGGGCCTTGAGGGGCTGGGTTAATGACCCTCAACTGTGTTCTAAGGGTGATGGGGAGCAAAGAGAGGATCTCTAGTGGGGAGTTCAGCTGGTGTGCACAGCCCATGGCATCTCCATCAGGAATACAGAGACCTTCAAAGAAGAAGAGACCACTGGAAGTGAGGATGGCTGAGCCCCAACAGCAGGAGGAGAGGGAGCTCTGGTGCTCCTCGGAGTTGGAGCCTGGAGCCACAGACAGGAGCTAAGCTGGAGAATTCTGGAAGGCACATAAACCTAGGCATGGGCCTTCTGCCTGCCCAGGCCCCACAGGCCCTCCTGACACAAGAGAGGACTCTGGGTTGGTCCTGAGAAGGAAAAAAGGTGTGCTGGGGAGAAGGTGCCTCCTGCCCAGCATGTCTAGGGAAGCCTCACATTAGAATGGGACTCAGCTGGGAGGGGAGAGCAGAGAAGGCTGGGCAGGGCCCAGTTGTGCAGGGTGTTCACTGCACAAGGGCACTGGCTGAGGGGGTGAGAGGGGGTGAAATCCTGGCACGGGGCTGTGACTGCCCAGATGGGGCACCTTTTTCTAACTTTCACAAAGGCACCACAGAAGCTTGATGGGCCCTGTAGCCATGGGAGAGCAAAAGGGGCCCCAAAACAGATTCAGGCGCTGAGAAGGCAGGAGCCTAGTAGGCCCAGCACAATCTCTCTGTCTGTTGCTCCCTCAAAACACAACCTGATTTTCCTCTGGGTGAGGAGAGGAGCTGAGCCTTCACCGAGCTCCCTGAGGACCCAGCCTGCGAAGATGGTGCAGTGCTAGAGGCCCCGACTGATTCGGGCACTGGGAGGCTCTGTAGCAGAGCCGTGTGGCTTGGCCAAGAGAGGGGAGGTCTGGCATGGCTGGCCCCCAAGCTCTGCTGCTGCTCTGCCAGGCGCTGTCGGGCAGTCCCCCAGGTGACCTGTCTGAAACAAGATGGCGGCCACACTGACAGGTGACCACAGGAGACAGCAAGGAGTGGGGAAGGGGCCAGGCCTTGTCCGGCTCCCTGTGTGGCAGGTGGTGGCACATCACTGTCCTCCTCTGCAGCTCAGTGTCCTCCTCCACATAGGGATCTGCTCCCAGAGTCTGGGGATATCTCCCGCCCCCCTGGTGCCTGGTGGCTGCTGTCAGTAGGGGCAGACATCTTCATGCCCTACATGGGAAAGCCAGTGGGGGGTGGGAAGCCCAGGTGGGACCTGAAGCTGGAGCAGAAAGGGGTTCAGGAAGCAAGGACCCCTCACCCCAGTGGGGATGCTTTTCCCTCCTTCTCCCATGACTTACTGGGGTTCCTACCTCTCCCACATTTCTTTCCAGCCCCCCTCTCACTCCCGGCCACTGTCCTCTGCACACCCCAGATTCCAGAGGGCCCAGTCTGTGTTGCTAGAGCCATGGCTGCCATCTGGAGAGCACTGGCCACCCCAGGCTCACTGTCAGCGCCACACACACACCATCTCATCTAAGCCTCATGACAGCTCCACAAGGGACAGAGATTGCTATTCCCAGCTTATAGATGCAGAAACAGAGACCCAAAGAGGTTAAGTCACTGCCTCATATCACAGTAAACAGATGCTGCCACAGGAACATAGCCATTCCTAACAACTCTATCATCTATGCTGGCCATCTATAGCCAACAGGCTGCACTGGGCAGGCCTGGTGTCTAACTCCCAGGGCAGATGGGCCAGCTCTGGGCCTGCAAGGACTCCCAGCACAGAGCCATCCTTGGCGCTGTCTTCTGGAGCCACTTGGGATGCTGGCCCTCAGGCTGGAGGCACAGGAAGCTCACCCAACCGGCTTTCAGTCTGGGATGTTTTCTGCACTTCTGTAGACCAAAAAGAAGCCCCTGATACCTGGGCATGGTGGCTGACGCCTGTAATCCCAGAACTTTGGAAGGCCGAGGCGGGTGGATCACTTGAGGTCAGGAGTTCGAGTCCAGCATGGCCAACATGGTGAAACCCAGTCTCTACTAAATAATACAAAAATTAGCTGGGCATGGTGGCATGTGCCTGTAGTCCCAGCTACTCAGGAGGCTGAGGCAGGAGAATCGCTTGAACCCAGGAGGCAGAGGTTGCAGGGAGCCAAGATGGCGCCGTTGCACTCCAGACTGGGCGACAGAGTGAGACTCTGTTAAAAGAAAAAAAAAAAGCCCCTGATGGATGTGGCATAGAGCCTCAGCCTGGAGGGGCTGCAGACCCCAGACAGTCCCTGCAGACCCTGGGGTTTCCAGCCCCCTGTTCTGTCCTGCCTGGGGAAGACTCCATCTGCACACCTGGAGCTGCGTCCTCCTGCTCTCTGGGAACCAGCCTTTGCATGCATGGACAAGAACAGCTCCAATTACTGAGAGTGTCTAGTTAGGACCTCCCCCAGTCCTCCCTACCTCAGTCCTGGTCTCAAAGCCCTGTGATTTTCGGGGACAATCAGTGCTTGAGGGGCCTTGGGAACCCCTGAGTCCAACTCTACTGTCAGAAAGAGAAGACTGGAGCTCTGTCCAGAGCTGAGAGGCCCAGCCTGGCCCAAAGTCACATGGCCTGGGGACCCCTGTTCATTCCCTCACCCTGTGCCACACCCTCCTCCCTTAGCTCAGCCCTGAGAGGCTCCATGATGGGGCCCAGCATGGTTTTAATGCCCAAGAATGATGGGGTTCCCACTCCCCTCAGGATTTAAGTCCAAGTTCCTTGGCCTGGCATGTCAGGATCTGGGCCTGCCACCTGTTCCAAATGAGTCCCCCATGACTGCCATCCCTCACCCCAGCTGGGCTTAAGCTACATGTGCATCTTCCACATCTCAGCTCCCCACTCCAGCACCACTGACCACCCATCAGCAGGCCAGTGTCCCAGGTCCAAATGTACTTGAGTCACACGTCCTCTCAGGTCCAGTCACCTATGGCCATGTCACATGATCACCATGGTTGCCAGGACCACTAGGGGGCAGTTCTCAGAGGAGGAGGTTAACATCTCAGTGAAGGCAGATGACTTCTGATGGGGCAGACCAGTGAGCACTGGATGGCAGAGCTCCTAGGCCCTCAGGGTCATCTAATCCAAATTCAGCCTTGTTAAAGCCAGGGGCTGGGGCCAGAGAGGGCCAGGGACTCGCCTGAGGCCACACAGCACATGGGTGATAATGCTACACAGCAGTGGCATATGGGGAGCCCTCATACTGGGTTCCACAATCGATGAGGCCCTGTCACCCCCCGGTGCCTCATGTAATCCTCAGAATGACTATATGAAGTAGCCCCTAGAATCCTTATTTCCAGATGGGTAAGTAGGGGTTTGGAGGGCATGCTGCACAGCTATGGAGTGAAAGAACCAGGACTAAACCCAGGTCTCCATCTGAAGCCAAAATCTGGGGCTCTTGTGGTTGTACAACATTGTGAATGTTATTAATGGCATTGAATTATACACTTAAAATGGCTAAAATAGCAAACTTTATGTTATATATATTTTACCACAATTTAAAAAAATTAATAATGCAACATAACAAAAGCCATTAGTTGTACACTTTAAATGGGAGAATTATATGACATGTGAATTATATCTCAATAAAGCTGGTTTAAAAAACAAAAAATGTCTTGGGCTCTTAACCAGGATGTTCTGCAGACTCTTGTGTCAAGTTGCTCAGAGAACGGGGGGGATGGACATTCTCCAAATAGGGGGAAGGAGCTCCGATGGGGAGCACAGGTGGCTGGATCTCAAAGGGGTTCTCAGGGCAGGCTGCAAGCCATACCCACCTGTGGAGCTTTGTAGCTGCCCAAAGGTCCAGCCTCCACCCCCTGGAGATTCTGTCACTGACTACACTAGGGTTGAGATCACTGCCCTTCCCATGCAGAGGTGACACTAAGAGGGTTTTGAAGGATGAATAGGAGCAACAGGCTGGAGAGGTTTGAGGGAGACAAAGGAGTCCAGATAGAGCACACAGTGTCTGCAAAGGCCAAGAGGTGTGAGCAGGAGGGGCTGTGTGTGTGTAATCAAACCCTGCCTACCAGCCAAGGAGAACCGTGTCAACTTCTGCTCAGGGGCCAAAACCAACAGAGGTGTGGCTTGCGTCCTGGGCACCCTCCCTGCCACCTTCCTCCCTAACCCCCACCATCACCTGAGGCCTTTTCAGTCCATCAGTCAATAGCCTAGATTTACAGGGTAACCAACCAAGACTACCTATGAACTGACAGCACACTCCTTTCCTTCACACATACCAAGGAAAGAAATCCAGAGCCACTGGAGGGAGGCATCTGCCTCAGCCTTGAAGGTGCCAGTGATGGTGGCAGCAGCCCATCTGGAGCAGCCACTGTGGGGACTCCAGCTGTAGCAGGGGAGGTACAGCCAGGGCTGCAGGTTCCATGGAGCCAGTGGGGCCAGGAACAGGTGGTGGCCCCGCACTCTACTGAGTTGGCAGGATGGGAGCCCCATGCTCCTGGGCACAGCTACAGCCACCCAGTCATGGCTCCCAGCCTAGGCATCCCCATGCTATCTGGCCTGCAGGCTTGGAAGTGCCTGCTCCCAATGCCTGCTCTGAGTTCGGAGCTTTTGCAGCAGGCAGCAGTGTCTGGATAAGGGAAACATGAGGGCACCTGAAAGGTCAGAGATGCCAGGAACCACAGAGCCCCAAAGAGGGTGTTACAACATGTCACAGCCCTGGCTCCGGGAGCCCCAAGGTCTGGGCTCCCACAAGGGCCACAGCTTTTCTCTCCTTCTCATCACCTGCAATGTGGCAAGCAGGGGGCGTGTAGCCAAGCCCAGGCACTGTTGTGACCCAGCTGGGTGTGCACATGCTTGGGGTGGCACTGACACGCCAGCACCCTGCCACCTCAAGCCCCCTCTGAACATTGGGTGAGGAGTGCTACAGGAAGGCTGGGGGCCAAAGGTGGCTCAGCATGAGCCTGCAGATGTCCCTTGGTGTGAACAGCATGGGCATTGTGAATGACATGTTGATGGCATCAGGAGGCAGACAGGTTCCTAGGCAGGAAGGGATGGGTCCCTGTGAGGCCCCACCTTCAAGCCAGGGACAACCTGAAGCATGGGGGCTGGGCTGTCAGTGCTCGGAGAAGTCAACATGGGGAGTGAGAACTTCATTGATGACTGTTTGGCCAATAGGGTGGTGCTTTTTCCAGACCCACCCATGGTCACCCATGGACCAATCAGCACGCACTTCCTCTATTCTGAGCACATAAAAGCCCCAGACTCAGCCAGACTCATACACCTGCTTGGATGACCTGCCTGTGGAAAGGAGCTACCCACTACAGGTCTCCTCTCCACTGAGAGCTGGACACTCACTGGGATGACCAGCCTGCAGAAAGGAGCTGCCTACTTCAGGTCTCCTGAGAGCTGTTCTGTTGCTCAATAATGCTCCTCTCTGCTTTGCTCACCCTCCAGTTGTCCAAGTACCTCATTCTTCCTGGGTGCGGGACAAGAACTTGGGACCTGCCAAATGGCAGGACTGAAAGAGCTGTAACACAGACAGGACTGAAACACAACCCCCCCCTCCCCCCGGCTTACCATATTGTGGGCAATTAGGAGAGAAAAGCTGCAGCCCTTCTGGAAGCCCAGACTTTGGGCTCCCTGAGCAAGGGCTGTTACATGTTGTAATACCCTCTTTGGGGATCTGTGGTTCCTGGTGTCTCTGACATTTCGGGTGCCATTGTGTTTCCCTTTTCCAGATGCTGGTGCCTGTGGTGGAAGCCGCTTGGTACATCTAGTCCAGCTGCAGCCTTGCACAGAGCCAACACCTGGAGCTGACCACCCCACCACAGCTGGCCTGGCTATGTGTGGTGGCCGGACTCTGCGCTCACTTGCTCATACACCCCTCACCGCTCCATGCCTGACTTGACTTTGGCAGGATCCAGGCCAGTAGCAGGAACCAAGCACAGCCTGTCAGACTGAGTGGGTGGAACAAACCCAGCAGGCACAAGCAAAACCCAAGCAGAGGTGCCACCAACCACAGAGGTTTCCAGCTGGTGAAGCAACACCCTAAAGATCCTGTAACACCAGGAAGGGGCTTGGAGGGAGACCCAGGACACACTGCTCTGAAGGTGCTGCTCTGTGGAGAGTGAGTGGGGCCCAGCTGAAGCCAGCTGTGTATGTGTTGATGCATTCATGTGAGCATGTATGCACAGCCCTGTTTCTGCATCCATGAATTGGGGATAATGCATCTACCTCTTTTGTGTTAGAATAATCACTGCCAAGCTGTGAGGAGACCAGTAGCTGCCAGGAACTGGGGGAATGGGGAAATGAGGGTTCCTTTTAGGATGATGAAATTGTTCTGGAACTAGACAGTGGTGATGGTTGCCCATTGTGAAATACTGAATGTTACTGATGGCACGTTTTTTGTTTTTATTGTGTGTTTAACACACAATAATGAGTGGATGAATGGAAAAAAAAAGCCATGAGGTCTACTGGGATGGAAAATGGGAGGCAGTAAGAGCTGTCATTCACGGAAAACCCACTGAGTGCCAAATGCAGGATCTAGACATGTGAAATGGTGGGTAGTGGAACCACTGGCCTAGTCAGCAAACCCTAAGCCCTTAGGAGAAAGGGGTCTTCCTAGAACTGGCTGAAGGGCAGTGAGGCCCAAATATTAATAGATGGAATCCTGCTCACAGGCACAGGCCACACAGTATTTCAGGAGGACATCGGGACATATGTTGTTTCACTGCCCATCTAGCCCCATTCCTGTTTGGGAGGCTTCTTGGCAGGAGGCAGGACTTCGGGTCTGCTACAGAAGCTGAAGTGTCTACCCGGCCCCTCTCCTCTCAGCCCCACACCTCCCTGTACCGAGGGCATGATGTGAGAGATCCAGCTCAGCCAATCCGGCACCCTGGCCGGGGCATTGCATCTTGAAGTGACCTCAGTGATACAGACACAGTGGAGAAATTCTTATGGGAGGTAGATGGGAAAAAAGGTGGAAGGAGAGGGGTGGTGAGCAAATTTATCCATTCAGGACATTTTTACTGAGTGCTTATTATACATGAAGTACAGAGTGAATCAATGAATGAGGGAGAGAATCAGTGGGTGGGTGTCTATGTGAGAGCCCGCCCTTGATAAACCTCAGGGGGCTTCTAGGTAGGGCTGAGGGGCTGGCAGGGGACCCGGGATTGGCATATTAGTGAGTGGGGCTGGCTTGGGTCACAAGGATGTTCACTGGTATTCTCTTTCAGAGGCCAGGCAGGGGGTAGGGTCCCTGACAGGCCACCCACCCCATAAAAGCCCTGATTTATGCTCCAGCCGCCTGCTGGCCATGATGTCGTCTGTGCCTTGTTTATTTATTTGTGAGAGCCAGGTTGGGTTCTGGCTCCTTGGTTCTTCTGTCTCCATGTGTTCTAACCCCACATGATGAAAAAGACGGATGCCTTGGAATTATTTTGCATGAAATTGCTGCGGAAAACTATTTGGCCCGCATTTGATTTCACCTCTTGTTACAGGATAATTTGTTATCCTGAAACGTGCAGCAGCTGGAGGCCTGGAGGAGCAGATGCTCCTGGGGAGACGCGGGCTCCCCAGGCAGGGGTGGTGGCTTCGTGGAGCAGAAGCAGAGCACTGCTTCTGCCAGGCAGACCTGGTCCTGACCCCACCAGTGCCCCTTCAGACTGTGGGAAGCTCATGGAGCCCTAGCTGAGCCTTGGTTTTCCTGTCTATAAAATGGGGATAAGGCCACCTACCCACCAGAGGTAAGGACTGAATGGGGTGATTCACAGAAAGCACTTAGCACACAGTGATTGGCCCATGGGAAGCCTCCACAAAGGTTTGTTATTATTCCTGGAAGAAAGGATTGTCCAAGAGAAGTGTTAAAGAATGAGCAAGACGTGAACTGGGTAAAGATGTGTTTTCTGGCACAGCATAAGCAAAGACATGGAGGAGAGAACCACAGCTATCATTTGGGGTACCCAGAACTGAAAGAAGGCAGACAGCAGTGCGAGAGGATGCCAGAGAAGGTGGCTGGATCAGCTATGAAGTGGCGCGTGGAAGCCAGTGAAACAGGGAGCCAGAGAAGAGTGGTGAGCTGGGGAGGGACGAGCTCTGATTCCCCCACTACAAAGAGCACTCAGGCCGGGAGGGCAGCTGGGTGAAGCCTGCAGCCAGCTGTACGGTCTCGTATTACTTTCCAAGGGCTGCCATACACAGTGCCACACACTGGATGGCTTACAACAACAGAACGTATTCTGACAGTTCTGGAGGCTAGAAGTCCAACATCAAGGCGTTGGCTGCACCATACTCTCACTGAAGGTTCTAGGGAAGAGCTCTCCTTGTATCTTTCTAGCTTCTGGTGGTAGTTAGCAATCTTTGGCACTCCTTTGCTTGCAGCTGGATGGCTCCAGTCTCTGCTTGTTGTCCCATGGCATTCTACCCTGTGTCTCTCTGTCTTCTCTTCTTAGGGCCCACCCTACAGCAGTATGACCTCAACTTAACTAGTTATAGCTGCAAAGACCCCATTTCCATGTATGGCCAAATTCACAGGTATTTGGTGTTAGGACTTCAACGTATTTTTTGTGGGAGGTGAGGAGTAACACAATTCTACCTCTATACTCCCTCTGTCCTCTGCCCCTCAGTCACTGAGGAACCCAAGAGCTCTAGGATCCCAGGACCCGTTCACTGAGGAATGTTTCCTGCTTTGGGTTGGAAGCAGGGTGGGGAATCGCCATCCTTGGGGGGCATAACAAGCCCTAGGGGATAAGGGGAAGGTGAAGCCAAGACCAGGAAAGGAGGAATGGAAGGGCTGAGGCCATGGCTTACAGCGGAAATGCAAGGCCAGAGCTGGGGCAGGCTCTGGAGGTGAAGTGAAAGGTGGCTCTGAAGCCCTTGGAGAGGGAGGGTCTCACAGCCAGCCCCTCTGGGTATAGCAAAGCAGAGGTGGGGAGTGAAGGCTGGATGCTGGGGAGCTCAGGCAGGATAGAAGCCGAGTGAGCCGAAAAAGCTAGGAATGGAGGGGCTCTTGGGAAGGCCCTCAGCCTCCTCTCTGCAGCTTTAAAGGCAGAGTCCTTTAGAACTGACTTCCATCTGTGCCACAGTAGAGGCCCAGAGAGGACAGAGACTTTCCCAAGGTCACACAGTGGGTCCACAGCAGGAAATGCCTGGGGCCCACGCCTCCTGCTCCAACCACAGCTCCCACCACCCAGCTCGCAGGTGGGCCCTGCCCTGAATGTCTTCAGAGGCTGCCCCATCCATGGCATAGGACGTGGAAGTGGTGACATCAGTGGGAGGGACGGTGGGAGGCTGGCCAGTGTGGGACCCCCATGCCCCAGAGGTGAGGGCATAAAAATGCCTGTGGAATGAAAAGAAATGTCCATTCTTCCAACCCTGGGCAAGGTAGGAATCCTGCAAAACCGAGCATTTCAAGGGACGCTAGGAGCTGGGGGAGGGGAGTGGGAGGTGGTATTGGAGCTTGCGGCTCTCTGGAAGGGTGGGTGGCTCCAGATGGGGTTAGGAAGAGGGTACATCTGGGGGAAGGGCAAAGTGGTAGGCTTAGGGCATGGGAACAGGTGTGTGTGCAGGGGTGGGGGTGGGACAGGGCCCTGAAGGAACGGGGCACCTAGAAGAGAAAGTGGTTTTTACTTGTGGGGAAGACTACTGTGCCTCTCCAGAGAGGGGAGGCCTCAGGACGACAAAGCTGAGGGCTGACTGATGCAGTAAATTCAGAGGGGAGGCAGTGGGATTCAGTGGTCCTCCCAGTGTGAAGTTGCAATGAATCAGCTGTTCTGTTAGACCCTCAGGTATGCTTAGGCCTAAAGAGCCCTATTCCCCTTCGGGACACAGTATGTCCCCTGGTACTCTGGATAGGGTAAGGGCCAGCCTCAATCTCTTGGGGGCTAGAAAAGCAGCCAGGAGCTGAAGTGGGCAGGGTCGGGGCCACACAGCTGGCCTCCTAGATTCATGGTGGAGGGCAGATGCCCCAAAGCCCTCCCTATCCGTTCCTCAATATCAGGCCCACCTGGAGACTGACTGTGGCTGGGGCTGACTCTGAACCCCAAACCCCAAATTCAGCAAGAGAATTCAGCTGGACCAGCAAGACCCGGTCCAGCCCGGATCACGTGTCCACGTGTCAGTGGATCCTCAGGAGTCAGGCTCTCAGTAAAGCTGCAGGGCCTCACCCCTGGTGGGGTTGCAAGGAGAGGTTCTGGGGACTAAGCTGGTCCCGAAAGGCATCTATGTACCAGTCAACATCAAAGATCGAGCAGACTAAAAGGGAAAAACAAGGCTGAGTGTGGTGGCACACACCTGTAGTCTCAGCTACTTAGGAGGCTCAGCGGGGAGGATCCCCTGAACCTGGGAGGTCCAGGCTGCAATGAGCTGAGATCGCGCCACTGCACTTCAGCCTGGGTGACAGATCAAGACCCTGTCTCAAAAAAAAAAAAAAAAAAGTTCACAATGACACAAAAGGAGTACACACATGATGTTAGAAAACCAGGCCAGGTGTGAGGTTCACGCTTGTAATCCCAACACTTTGGGAGGCTGAGGCAGGAGGATCACCTAGCCTCCTAAGGTCAGGAGTTCAAGACCAGCCTTGCCAACATGATGAAGCCCCGTCTTTACTACAAATACAAAAATTAGCTGGGCGTGGTGGTGGGTGCCTGTAATCCCAGCTACTCGGGGGACTGAGGCAGGAGAATCTCTTGAACCTGGGAGGCAGAGGACTGCAACCTCTACATACCAGTCAACATCAAGGATCAAGCAGATTAAAAGGGGAAAACAAGGCCGGGGGTGGTGGCACATGCCTATAGTCCCAGCTACTCCAGAGGCTGAGGCGGGAGGATCCCCTGAACCCGGGAAGTCCAGGCTGTAATGAGCTGAGATCACACCACTGCACTCCAGCCTGGACGACAAGAGCCAAACTCCGTCTCAAAAAAAAAAAAAAAAGAAAAGAAAAGAAGAAAAAGAAAGAAAGAAAGGAGGGAGGGAGGGAGGAAGGAAGGAAGGAAGGAAGGAAGGAAGGATGCCTTAAGCACCGAGGGAATACCAACTAGCATAAAGAAAAAGTGGCAGGCACATTCTAAAGCTCCACCGCAAGCAGCCACAGAGGCCCGCAGCGAGGCCTCCCAAACACTAGCCTTCCGCTCTGGTGGCCAAGGGGAAAGGAGCGGAGAGCAGAAGCCTGGGCTGCCTGGCCTAATGGGGGCGCCCACACGCATGGCCCCCTGGGCTCAACCCCCGCCTGCAGTCTGAGCATCTGTCGGAGCTGACACTCCTCATCTGCCAACTGGGAGCCCTAGTCCACCTTGCCTCTGGGGCGGCGGGAAGGGCTCAATGAGGGGCTGGCCCAAGGTCCGAGGAACAGCAGGGACACAGCGTCTGCCAGAACTCTGTGCTTTCCTGCTACACCAGGGTCCCACAGGCCCCACAGGCATGAAGGAACTGCCCCTTTGGCAAAGATCAACCCTAAGGTGCTTCTTGGCACCCTCATCAATGTCACACAGCCTGGCTCACCCTCAACTGCTATTTCCTTTGGAAGCCAGAAACACATCCAACTGTGAGCACAGACGCCAGCCTAGAGTGCCCAGCTGAGCGTTATTTTTGCTGAAACAAGTGCCCTAGGAGGTGCTGGGGCCCTGCTACCGTGGGTTCAATGTGTCCACACCATTCCTGTCGCTAATGTGGAAGCAGTGGTGCTGGCCTGACCTCCTCCCCGCCGGGGCTCGTGGGAGACAGCAACCCTCTGTGGATGTTTGTCTGACACATGTAAACACAGGCCCAGAGCTGCTCTCCCCCGATGGCTGGTGCTGGCTCACGGGACAGAAATGCCATCAGCCTGGGTCTCCTAGGGAGAGCCGTTCAGCACCTGCCTGGGAACCACATGCCCCAGGGGATCCTGGAGCCCCGAGCTCACTGTCTGACCCCTCCCTCTCCCAGCCTAGCCTGGGGCTGCTTAAGACACCCAGTTCCTCCTGGAATCCCTGTTTGGGTTTGGTTTGGAGTTGGAGTTTGTTTCCATTCAGGGCAACTTGATCCCGGCCCAGCCTCCAACCCCTCACTGCCCCCGGTATCCCTGCCCCTCAGGAGGGGTCTTGACTTTGCCCACATGCTGACAGGGCAGGCTCCTCTAGACCTCCCACACGGGCACTGAGAGCTCTGGCTGTCTTTGATGTCCCGAAAGGAGATCCCCCAGCTTCCACAGCCTCAGCCCCCTCTCCCTCAGTGCTAAATAAGTCAGAGACTGCGAAAACCAAATGCTACCCTGTGGAGCGGAACAAAAAAGAACAGGTTTGGGGGACAGAAGGGCTGGGGTCTAGATATCTGTTGATCAATTCCTTACTAGTGGCCTAGAAGAAGACATCCAACCTGTAGGGGAGGCGGCTGAAATGGCAGCATTAATAGCTCACCCAGATGAGCATGGTGGCTCATGCCAGTAATCCTAGCGCTTTCGGAGACTGAGGAGGGAGGATTGCTTGAGGCCAGGAGTTTGAGACCAGCCTGGGCAAAACCATGAGACCCTATTTCTAAAAGAAAAAATTTAGCCAGGTGTCGTGATGTGTGCCTGTAGTCCTAGCTACTCTGGAGGCTGAGGCAGGAGGATTGCTTGAGCCCAGGAGACCAAGGCTGCAGTGAACTATGATCCCTCCACTGCACTCTACTAGGTGACAGAGCAAGACCCTGTCTCTAAAAACCAACCAACCAACCAAACAAACAAACAAAAAACCAAAACCAAAGACTTGATCTGTGAGCTGTGAGAAGGCTCACATGACAGATGGACTAGGTGACTGCTCCAGTCCCTTCCAACACACAGTCGATTTGGAGTTTTTTGGTCGTTGGTTTTTGGTTTTGGGAGACATGGGGTCTCACTTTGCTGCCTAGGCTGGTCTCAAACTCTTAAGCTCAAGTGATCCTCCTGCTTCAGCCTCCCATGCAGGAATTACAGGTGTGAGCCACCACGCACAGCCAACATTCTTTGTTTTTAACATGCATTGTGTGCCTCTAGCCCATTTTGTGCTGTAGATGAAAAAGTGAATAAATTTCAGCCCTGCTCTCAGGAACCTATAGGCCTGGAGACTAAGCCTTAGATGAGTCAACTGAGCCTCAGAGAAAAAGACATGACATGCTCAGGGGCTGATGGGGCTGGACACTGAACCAAGAATGTTGCTCTCTGTACTTTACAGATGAGGAAACTGAGGCTCAAGCAATGACATGAACACCCCATTGTCTGGGAGGGTTTGCAGGGTAGAGACAGATGCCCAAGAAAGGCTTATCTGGAAGTCTCATTTGTGTCCTTCCCTGGCGGGCCTGAGAATCAGCATCCTCAGGCCCAGCTTTGTCCCAGACACCTGCTTTTCCTGCACCTCCGAGTCCTGTCAGGTCACCAGAGCTTTTCAGAAAGCCCAGCCCTGTTCAAGACCCTGCACGCCTCCTGTCAGGAGAAAGCTTAGAACACTGACAAGATACAAGCTAACAGTTTCTTGATCTCCTAAAATTATGATGCCCTTGCTGCGATGGAACTGGAGGTCAGAGAGGTGGGTGGTTGTCCAGGATCGCACATGGAGGGACCGGCAGAGTTGGGACCAGGCTCGGGTCTGTCCACCCCTAGAGCCTCCCTCCCACCAAGGGGGAAGTTAAGCTCTGATGTAGGGCAGGAGCTCGGCTCTCACTCGAGTGTGACCCTGGACAGGGTTTTCACAGACAACATGGGGCAGGGGGGCGGGCCTAGGGTGCAATCTGGCATTTTCAGCACCAACATGCTGGGGATTCTAGGATTCCATATGCAGAGATTCCATGCTGCAAATGGAACCTCTGGTTTTTACATAATACTAAGATATCATTATTGTGGCTCTCTATGATTCAATAATTGTAGGATTCTAGGATGACATCAGTCTAAAGTTCCATTATCCTGTGATTCCATGATCCTAGAATTCTAAGTTTCCCTGACAGCTTGGGCTCCAAAGAATAGGAAAATCTGGCTTGGAGGGTAGAAAGACAGCTTTTCCATCCTGTGGACTTTTCTAACAATGACAGGGCAATGTGTGATGTTTGATTTTCATTGTGTTTAAAGGAAAGCATGGGGCTTGGCCAAACCACATCAGAGTGAGTTCACCTGCCCCTGGCAGAACAGCCCATGGAGCTGGAAGAGGAGGAGGAGGAGCAGGAAGAGGAGCAGAAGAAGGAAGAAATGAAGAATAGGAGGAGAGGAGGAGGAGGAGAGAAGGAGGAGGAAGAGCAGAGGAAGAGGAAGGAAGAAGGAAGGAGAGGAGGAAGAGAGGGAGGAAGAGAGGGAGAAGAAATGAGTAGGAGGAGAGGAGGAAGAGGAAGAAGGAATCTGGAGAAGGGGGAGAGGAGGAGGGACAGACAAGGCAGACAAGACCAGGAGTAGGCAGCACAAAGTAACTGCTGGAATATGAGGACAGGGAGGGCTTCCAGGAGGATGTCATATCTGCATAAGGAGTTGAGGGCAGCAGGTCAGCAAGGGAAGGGTGACCCAGGAGCTGGTTCCACGTTGGTGGAGCCTAAGGAAGGTGGTGGGAAGTGATATGAGATTGCAAACTCAACAGGGACCAGTTCATGGAGGGCCTTGAATACCATGCTGAAGAGCTTGAACTTCACTCTGAGGGCAATGAGCAATGAGGGAAGGTTTTTGTTGGTGCAGGGAGGTCCCTGGGCACCCTGAGAATGTCAATGATGAGGAGGCCTGAGGTCATGTGTCCAAACCCTTACTGTACAGTTGAGGCCCAGAGAGGAGGATTGCTCACAATCCCCCTGCATCAGCCCGAGCTGGGGAGACCTCCCAGCCCACCCCTGCCAGAAGATTCTGGCACAGACAGCCCTGGCAAAGCAGTAAGGTGCCCCTGAAATCCACCACTCGTTGGTGCACTGGCCCAGAATCCGTGCACAGGCCTTTCCCTCGATCACAGGCTGCCCTGCAAATGGCCCTATCTGTGCCTCCTTGCCTCACCCCCAGCAAGACGAGGCCAGGCCAACTCAGGTGGCCCAGGCTCTCCAGTAAGACTCACACCCCTCACCACTGAGCCCCCAGGCCGTGCCAGGCCAGGATGGCAGATGGACACCATCAGAAGAGTCTTTGGTAAAGAGGAGAGAAGAACAGAAATTCAGTAAAACCTCAACACAGAAGTTGAGGCACAGGAAGGAGGCAACAGCAGCCCCAGGACGGCCTGTGTGGCGTGTGTATGTTTCACTCTGAGGCTGAATGAGAGAGATGCGGTTAACTCATCCCTGCCAGCTACTGCAGGGCCTGGAGGACAGGAATCCCCTCCCCTGGGTTCATTGGCACTCACAGCTCCAATGAGGGGGAAACAGATGGGAGTAACTGGCTCTGAGACAAGGAAAAGAAGGAAAGATCTGAGAAAAGGAAGCTGGTTAAAATACAGAAAGGTCCATGGAATACTACTCAGTAATAAAAAGGAATGAACTATCGATACATGCAGCCACTTGGACGGATCTCAAGGGCATTATCCTGAGTGGGAAAAAGCCGGTCTCAAAAGGTTGCATATGGTAGAGTTCTATCAGACATTCTGAATGATGCAATTACAGAGATGCAGAGTAGATCAGTGGTGGATAGGGGTTGAGGATGGTCAGGCCGGACAGCAGAAATCTGGCAGCAGGTGTGGAACCACGAGGGGCAGCCAGGCCTCCAGAGGCAGGGGAGCCGTGATGGGGAGGAGGGGACAAGACAGGGCCAGTGTGTGGACAGGGTGCCTGTGACTGTAAGGGGTAGCTTGGGAGAGACATCTGTGGTGATGGAGTGGTTCTGTATCTTGATTGTGGTGGGGGTTGCATGAATCTGCTAAAGATGCATTTATGATAAAATGACAGAACTATACATGCACATTATACCAATGTCAATATCCTGGTTTCAATATTGCACTATAATAATTTAAGATGTCACTGTTGGTGGAAATTGGGTGACGGGTACACAGGACTTTTCTATACTACCTTCACAACTTCCCGTGAATCTATCATTGTTTCAAAATAAAGAGTTGTCTTAAAAGAATCAAATAGCCATAACTTGCGACAGTCTATTTGCAGCCTCTCTCTGTGGTTTCATTGACCTCTGTCTATGGTTCCTTCAGTAACACACAGTTTTGATGACCAAAGTCTTTCAATCAAACAGGTGATTCCTCCCACTTTATTGTTCTTTTTCTAGATAGTTTTAGCCTAGTTTCCTTACCTTTCTGTATAAATTTTAGAATAATCTAATCTATAGAAAAAAACCTTCGTGAGATTTTGATTGGAATTGAGTTGAACTTATAAGCAAACTTCTATGAATCTGTAATTATTTAAAAATAAAAAAATTAAAAAAAAATTTAAAAGACACAGAGAGGACCTGGAGGTAGAGGGAGGAAGGAGAGAGAGCAGAGAGGAGGAAGGAGCTGATGTCCACTCCGAGGACCGTGCAGTCAGGGGAGCAGGCACAGGGAGAAGAGTTTTCTACTGTTTTCAGGGTCTGCAGTGTGTGGGGGCTCAGTCCTCTAACACTCCACATGTTTCCTGGTGATGTGGCAATGGATGTGCAACTGCACCCTCCCATGCATTTGGGGCAACATTAAAATGTCCTGCCTTTGTGCAGAGATTACTGTGCTGCTGGTGCAAATGGGTCAGAGACACTTCAACGTGTGCCCACCCTGTCCCACAGAGCCCAGTCTGCCTTGCCTTCCCAGGGGCTGCCCAGAAACCAGTTCCTGGAACAAAGATGAGGCAGCAACTTTGGCAGCCCAGCTCTCTGCTCCCCACTGGGCTGCCTTGGAAGTAGAGACTCTCACAGACCCTGAGCCTGTGACCCTCCCTATCCAGTTGCCCATCGTACTTTGAGTCATGGAAACATCACCCCACAAGCTCAGCTTGGCTACCAAGGCCTCCCTAAGACAGGATGGAGCCAACCCTGGGCCCTCTGGGATATTCCACCTGTAGGAGGGGGTGGCCTTCTCATTCTCTCAGTCCCTTGCCAGATGCCAGGGTGCTGGAGGAGGTCATCCCTCCCCAGACCCCTTGGCTACGTGGGAAGCCCTTTGGTGTTAACTGAGTGAACACGATTGGGAGTTCATGGACTGTGGGAACGGCAACGTTAGCCATTGCATATGATGCCGCTTAGTGGAGAGCTGTTGCTTTCCATCCTTTAGCCAAGATGTCCCTGATGAAGGACAGGACCCAAGATAAAACACACTTGGCCAAACTTTAGGCATTTGTCCTAGCACTGGCTGTCCTGGCCAACAAAGGGTTTCATCTTCACATTCATTATACACCTTTGGGCTATTACCTAAAAATGGTCCCCTTCAAGATAAGATATGACAGGAATCTCTTGCCTCACAGAGACCCAAAATATAAATCAAAATTACCTGCATCTCTCCGTATACATAGGCCACAATACAAGGTCTTGCTAGAACACTCCTTATTCCCTTCAGAGTTCCAGACACCACTGGTAGTAAGCAAGACACCCATTTCCACTTCTCAAGATATACCATGCTGGGCTTTTGGGAAAGGCATTCATTAGAGCTTTCACATCCCTGATAGGTCCCAGATAACCAGTTTACTTGAGAGACATAATAGTCTCCTCAAACAACTCCTTTTAAAATTCCAATCCAGCAAATAAATCCCTAAAACGAGTCTCTTTCTTGCCCCAGGTCTTGGCTTATTTTTACACATTTTCCATCTTGTCCCCATCCTGTAAGGGCAGGAGGCTGGATGGAGGGTGCATACTCTCCTAGGACCCATTAACCAGAGATTGTCCTGCTGGCCAGGCAGCTGCCCATGGGATATGGGACCCTTTTGAACCTAAACTTCCACTAAAAACAAAAACACAAACCTGTCAAGTGCAGCTGCCCACCACTCTGGTGACTACGGTCTTATGATACTGGCTTGGGTGCTTTCCATAGATTTACAATCCAGAAAGACAAACCCTTACAGTGAGCCATTGTTTCAACCAAACATTGCAGAAGCTGAAGACTACATCAACCCCAGTGGGCTCCCTTGGAAAGGATGCTCCAGGCCCTCATCCCAGATGACACTGTCCTGGCTTAGAAGCTTACCCCAGGAGATGACATTGCCTCAGATGACATCCCCCAAACCTGAGACCTCACTGTTGGAAATGACCTCGGCCCCTGCACTGGAGACAAATTCACTCCAGACACTCAGTCACCTCTATACATTTAAAATCCTTTGGATGATAACTGAGACATCCTGCCACTATATCCTCCTTCTAAATCCTCTCTGCCTGTCCCTTCTGAGTTGAGACACATTGGTTTCTGATCTCTGTCCTGGCCACACCCACTCGGGACAGCATCTGGCCACTCAATGGGACTCTGTCTTCCCTGAATGCCTCCTGTCTGTCTAGAGTCCACACAGCTGGGCCTCGCAGAGCCCCCCTCTCTGATTCCTGGACCTGAGTCACCAGACTTATTGGGGTCCAAAGCGGTTGTGGCCACAGAATCTCTTGGCCACTTCCATTCCCCGGGGGAAGTGGTGTGTTTTCCTACAAGATAGGGCTGAGCTTATCTGATAGGACTTCACCCAGGTCTAGAGAAACTGCTCATCTCTTCCAGACCATCTGCCTCCTGGATATGACTTGATCCAACCATATAATGATGCTGTAAAGGCACTAGTTTCTGGGGATGATAGATAATCTAGCCCTAATGGCCATTCTTCTAGGGGACTTACTGGGGATAAAGTCTGACCTGGAGAAGCAGCCCTAATGGTGATAGATAGATAGGTAGATAGATAGATAGATAGATAGATAGACAGATAGATAGATAGATAGATCGATCTGTATCTACCTATCTATCTATCTGGCCCTAATGGTTATATATCTATATATATACATAGAGAGAGAGAGAGAGATCTATTATCTCTATGTAGAGATATGTATAGAGAGATATCTATATATATATACAGATATATATAGATATATGTAAAGAGATATCTCTATATATATTTACATAAATATATATATTTAAATAGATATATATAGAGAGATATAAAGATATATATCTCTATATATATCTATATATCTATAAATATATATTTTTGTGTATATATATTTATATATAGAGAGAGAGAGAATATATATTTTTGCGTATATAATATATATATATATAGAGAGAGAGAGAAAGAGAGAGAGAGAGAGAAAGAGGTGGGGGAGGCAGACACTTTGGCAGCAAAGACCTTGTCTCTACAAAAGATATATATATATATTTTTAAATATATTTTATATATAAATCTATATATGTAAAAATATATATATTTATGTAAATAAATATTTATATAAAGAGATATATCTCTTTATATATATAGAGAGAGAGAGAGAAGGAGAGAGAAAGAGAGTGACAGGAGACGCAATCATGACACAATCATGGCTCATTGCAGCTTTGACCTCCGGGGCTCCAGTGATCCTGTCACCTTAGCCTCCTGTGTACCTGTATGGGCTCAAGTGATCCTCTCACCTCAGCCTCCTGTGTAGCTGTATAGTTGGGACCACAAGTGCACACCACCACACTTGGCTAAGTTTTAAAATTTTTTGTAGAGACAGGGTCTCACTTTGTTGCCAAGGCTGGTCCCAACTCCTGGGCTCAAACAATCCTCCTGCCTCAGCATCCCAAAGTGCTGGGATTACAGGCATAAGCCACTGTGCCTGGCCCCTAATGATGACATTTCAGGTACTGGGGCAGGCCAGAGAAGAAGATACTTTTGAGCCTAAGGAGCCAGCTTCCCTCACAGCATCTGCACTGGCTGCTTAGACAGTGGGCCAGAGGGTCTGGGACTGGGAAAGCCCTGTGCCTTCCAGCTCTGCTGATGGGACCCCCTAGCAGCCAGGTGACCAGTGATGTCATGATGGACGTGACCAGGTGCCCTCCTCTCAGACTCAGAGGGGCTGGGCTCCAGGACTCAGTTCTGTGCCCAGGGTGAGCATTCTTCTCTAAGGGTTGCCTCCATCTCTCCATGGTTGGACCTCAGATTCCTGCTCCAGCTGAAAATATCTTCAGAATGTGGCCCATCAGCCCCTGGGTATGGACTCTGGATCTGTTATGGGATCCCTGGATATGTTGTTTTAACTCTCTGAGCCTCAATTCTCCTACCATTTGAATAGGAAATACAAAACCTAGCTTTAAGGTTGTTGTGGGATTTAAATGAGAGAATGCATGGAAGGCGACTTAGCTCAGTACCTGGAATACGGTAAGCACTGAAGTGTTTGATGACTGGGCACTCAGCAAAGTCTTGCTGAATGGGTGAACATCCCTATACCATTTTATAGAACAGGAAAACTGAGGCCCAGGCCTGGGAAATGACTGGCTCACACCAGTGGCTAGGATCTTAAGAATGCTCAGAAATCAGAGCTCTGGCCACATCTCTCCCAGTCTTTGTTTCTTCCAAGCAGGCCCTTTCTGATTGGATTTTGGGGAAAGCTTTGGCCTCTTTGCCCACTTGACAAATTCCAGAGAGTGTCTGGATCCACCCACACAGCTGTGAATGGACAGGCGTAGGGTAGGGGAGAAGAGACACAAATCTTGGCTCTCTCCAGCCCGTCCCTATTTCTGGACATTCTGGAAGCCACACCCTGTCCCCAAGCCTCTCTGGAAACCCTGGCAGCCTTATCTGCAGAGAGGAGGAGAAGAGGGTCTGGGGTCAGCCAAGGAATGTCAGAGGGGGGAGGAAAGCAGGTCAGAGAGGGATGGAGAATATACCACAGGGCCTCAGCCACAGCTCTTGAGCACTCGCTGTCCTCCCAGATTGCAGACAGCCAGCAGAAACTGGCTTCCAGCCCTGACCCTGTCCTGAAGATGCCGGGTGACCTTGGGCAAACCATTTCTCCTTTCTAGGCCTCAGTTTCCCTATCTGTGGAATGAGAAGCTGAACTAGAGCAGGGGTCCTCAGTCCATCAGTAGGAAGCAGGGTTTCCAGAACAAGGCCCATGACCCCTGTGCCCCATGGGCCCCACTCCCACCTGCAAGTGTCGGAGAATTTGGCTGTGGTATTTCATGTATCATCCCTGCAAATCACAGGTACCATGGCCGGCAGGCGGATTACTCAACAGGCTTATGACACTCCTCGGTGACTAATAGATTCTTTTTCTGTTTGTGTTTTAAAGCCATAGCAATAACATTGGCGCCCAATAACCCCACTGAAATCACCATTATTCAGCCTGCTGTACCTACACCATAAACAGACCAGCAAAAAATATCTCTCCTTAGAAAAGGAGGGCCTCTGCTTCTCTCGCAGGGGGACCAGTTTCTTTCATGATGAGGCTGGTGTGTGTTGGGAGTGGGGTGGATTTATGAACTGGTTAGAATCATAGGATTAGGTCACTCCTCTGGTCTCTTCCAGGTCTGACCTACACATTGTACCTCATCAGAGGAATGGGCTAAGCAGATACCATCTTCCCTGTGAAAGTGGAAGTGTGGAGTTAAGAGCCCCGTGGGCAGGCAGACAGCCTGGCTTTTGGTGCCAGCTCCACCACTGGGTGGCTAGGTGACCTTGGGCAAGTCCTATCCTCTCTCTGAGCTCGTCTTATCTGAAAAAAAATGGGGAAACTGAGATGACCTTCCACTGGAGGTGGGGGGTAGATGGAAGTAATTCAGAGAAGCATGTGGCACAAGTCAGAGCTCAAAAACTGGGAGCTGTTGATATTAGATAGATGTCAAACCCCTGGGCAGTGGGCAGCAGTCCAACAGGGTGGGGAGGGTTGGGACTGACAGGAAGGGGGACTTGATGGAGGGTCAAAACACCCAGGACGACAAGTCAAGGGGTGGTCAGTGTCAAAGCCATCTGGTCTCTCCTTTTCTGAGCAGTTTTATCTGTCAGAACCACAAAGAACAAAATAGCCTAGCACAACCCAGTCTCCCCAGCATCTGCCATGCCGAATTGCTCACTGCTAAATTCTTCAGAGAAAGAGAGCAGGGATTATCTCCAGCTCCTCTTCCTTGTGGTGGAGGGGGCAGAGCAGGATCTTCCATGGTTGACCCCCCACCCCCAGGTCTCCTCTCCAGGATTCAAAGGTCTCTGGCATCCTTAGAAGCCCACTTCTTACCTGCCATGGGCAGGAGGTGCTTGCCTCCATAACCATCCGCAGGCTCATTTCCCTCCATCCGTGGTTTTCCACCCTGTGGGCCCCAACACCCCCTTTACTATACTGAAATGATCTTCGTAGATAATATAGCCTGCCTCCACACACAATGAAAAAAGCCCAGTGGTGAGTTGGCAAACATTTAACAATCTCTGAAGGATTTTTTTAAAAACCTTAATTTATATCATTCGCCAACTTCTGTTGTGTAAATACTTCCATCATGACTGATTTCAAACCAACACGCTGACACAGAATGCGGAGTGGAGAGAAATGAACACAGTCTGCTCTCATGGGACTTGGCTCCAGCGCAACACTGAATAAAACTGAAATGAAATACATGGAAAGGAACTTATAGTAAAAATACATATTTCTCTGTTTTCGTGCTCAGGGCTGACTACCCTAGAAGACTTAATAGAAGGGTCTGTATGGAGGCCCATCATGGTGGCAACTGCTGTGTGTGCACATGGGGCCAGGTGTGCCACTTTAGTCCTCAAACATCATGGGAAGCATTGCAATTAGTGATGTAATTTTTGTGAAATGGTGAACCAGTCTCTATAATGTTCTGAATAAAGGACTATCTTCCTTCAATTTGCAAGGTGGTTGTATTCTTGGAAAACTCAGGGTGTACTAGAATCATGCTAAAAATAATTTATGCTTATACATAAAACAGAGTTAAGCTAAAGACACAGGACTTTCATTCACCAAAATGTCCCACAAGATTTTTAAATGTCCCTACTTGCAAAATGCCAGTGGAGACCCTCAATCATCATAACATTAAAACCCACTCCCGCAAATTGCCAGAACAGTCCTTTGGTGCGGTACTTGACACCTGTTGAGATCACTGCTACAAAGGCACACACCTCTTCACTATAGGAAGACCACTCTCTAAGACCCCCACCATGCTGTGAGCTTTGCTAATTTGCTTATGAAGATGCTTCTACTTGGAATTCTGTCTTCCAAATTCTGACCTAGAGTTTAGCCACCCATCACCCATCCAACCATCCATCTATCCATCCATCCATCCCTCCACCATCCATCCATCCATCCATCACCCATCCATCCACCATCCACCCATCCATCCATCCATCACCCATCCATCCACCATCCACCCATCCATCCTCTATCCAACCATCATCCATCCATCCATCCTCCATCCATCCATCCATCCATCCTCTATCCATCCATCCATCCATCATCCATCCATCCACCCATCCATCCATCACCCATCCATCCACCCATCCATCCATCCATCCTCCATCCATCCATTCATCTATCCATCTACCCATCACCCATCCATCCACCCATCTATCCATCATCCACCCATCTCCTCTGTGCCAGGCCCTGTACTGTACAGGGACTTAAGGACCAAGGATGAAGCCAACCTGACTCCTATTCTCAGGGAGCTGTCAGGTAAGTGGGGAGTCAAACGTATAGGTAGACATCATAGACAATGACAATGCAATGGGCCAAGTGAGATGACAGAGTGGGGTGTGTTCGGCCATGTACCTTACAGGTAAGACTACCAGCTTTGGTCTTGAGCACCTGAGTTTGATCCTTACCTGGGCAGGTACTCATGGTGTGACCTCAGCTGTGTGGCTTTAATCTCTGGGCTTTGGTTTTCTCAGCTATAAAATCAGAGATTAAAAAACTCTAATATCCCAAGGCTGTTGTGCCAGTAGGTTGGGACAAAGATTCATGGTGGGTCCACATGTCCTGGTAGGGGTCTCAGAGAATCAGAATTGGCCAGTCACTGGCTCCTTCCTGGCAGACCTATGTAGCCAGCTGCTCTCACCTGATGGTATACAGGCTGTTCTGCGGCAACCAGGTTGGGCAAATTTCTGCTGACAGGACGATTCGTAGATTGATTCAGAGTTCACTGAACTTCCAGGGCTGGCCCAGTGTCCTCACTGTGTCCTGGTCTGGCTAGAATGACCCTGCTCTGGGCGGGATGCTTGGCTGGGGGAAGGTGAATGAGTCAGTAGCTGCTCAGAGGCCCTTCTGGGGCCCGCCACTCACCAAGCCGAGCCCCTGCCCTGGGCCAGCCCCAAGTATCCAGTGACACTGGAGGACATCAAGATGATCAGACATTCCCTGACCCCAGGGAGCTCCCAGTCTGGTGGACAAACCATGGGCCCATCTCATCCTTTTAGCATGTCCATATTACCCCCAGTGACTTCCACATTGCTAGATGGCTAGTGGCTACACTTTTGTCCCCATCGCCTGTAACCTCTCAGCTGCCTCTGGCCCGCTGACCTCTCTCCTTTGGGGCCCCTGTGGCGAACGCCATGCTCCCGCTCAGAGGAAGACTCCCGACCGTGGTTCCAGCACTCCTCGGCTGCCCTACACCGCCTCAGGGAGGAGGAAATCACCCCACTTCCCCATCTTCCCCCAGCCCCAGTGTGCTCCCCAGCCCCATGGCCTACAAAATAGCAAACAGCTGCTGTGACCAGGGCTGCCCAGACCCCAGGGGCCAGGGGGGAAGCGGGCCAAGGGGAACTTGGAGAAAGAGCTCTTAATAACATACCTTCCCCAAGCTGCTTCCAAAGAAACTTCTCCTCACAAATCATTCCATAAACACTTAGCAGGCTCTCAGGAAAGCGTGCACAGCTCTCACCCGGCTATTAGGAGGCTCCTCACAACTAAATTGAGACCAGGCAGCAGAGGCCTGTGCCAAATCCCCCTTTCCTGCCCTCTTCCCACATGGCGTCCTCCCCCCACCCTGGGCCCTTCAGTTCCAAGGGCCAAGGTCTCCTCCCCTGCTGCTCCGGCCTCTCCTCCGGCTCTGGCCCTCTCTCCCTGCTGAGCTCAGGGTGCCCTGCTTCCCTGGAAACCAGGCCCCCTCCCCAGCATGGCTGCTGGGTTTCCAGAGAGCTCTCCTGGGCCACTATGTAGAGCTAAATCCTAATGAGACTTCTGAGGGCCACACCACCAGGCCAGGCATGGACAGACTGGGCCAGCCCACACCCCCACTCTGTCCCAGCCACCCCTCAGCAGAGGCTGCTGGTGCCTCTCAGGCTGGGGCTGCTCAATAGGGAAATAACTCCAGGTTCATCCAAGTCACAAGCTAGAAAATCCCTCCCATCCAACAATACCCCTCCAGGGAGAGTGTTGTGCAACCCACTCAGCTGGATAATATCCAGCACTTGGCTAATAGCCAATGGGGATCAGGGAATTGCCTGATTGTACGTAGGTTGACACATTTGCTTATAGGTTAGCAGCTCACTTGTGTAATGACTTTCATTAAGGTCTTGGAGAACAATAGTAGGAGCTGGCACCCCAGTCTAGCTCTTCATCATCATAGGCTTTGGAAAACACTTCAAGAATGATCGCCCCTTTTTCTAGGTTTATCCAATATCATTTTGAAGAACAAAAGCCTCTATTGTAAACAGAAATCATGGTTGAAATAAATAAAACATTCAGATGAAAATAAACATGAAGATTTGTGGGCACTGAAATTAGCAGTGGATGGGCTTTGAGAGAGGCAGGGCCTGGGCACAGATCTTGGATCAAGTCCCAGCCACCAGTGATTGGAAGGCTGATGATGGGCAGGCCCCTGTGAACGTCAGTTCTTCAACTCTAAAATGAGGATAAATCTTACCTATCTCGAAGAGCTGCCGGGACCAGCTCCTCCTGCTCCACCACCTCTTCACAGGAGGTCAGTGGAGGGCCTCCCAGGGAACCCAGAGGCTGGAGGCCTTGCCACGGCACCAGGCCTTCTGCTTCACTCCAGGAGTTCAATCACAGGTCACTCATTCAGCCTTTCTTCCAGCAAACATTGAGGAAGCCTCTTCTACACACCAGGCACTGAGCGAGGCACCGATCAAGACAGACACAGGCTTGCCCCATGAGGAGCAAGCAGAAAAGGAGGACAAGCACGAAAGGACAAGTGCTGACCTGCAGTCACGGTAAGAGTTACAGTGGCCCGAGTCAAAGGACTGAATGTCTCCTTCCACAGGGCAGGGAATCGGACTCCCGGCTCCAAGCTGCCCAGAAACAGAACTCCAGGCCCAAAGGCGCCCGTGAGAAGAATCAGGCTTCTTGTGTGTTGGCTGTAGTGGGAGAAAGAATGGAAGGAGAGGGTCTAGACCACTATGATGATGATGACGATGAAGGTGAAGGTGGTGGTGATAGCCGCAGTTCGCAGAGCACCCACCTAGTGCCAAGCACCATGCTTTACTTTCATTGCGGATGATCCTCACCACGGATGGGGCACCCCATCTTTACTAAAAATACAAAAATTAGCTGGGTGTGGTGGCGCCCACCTGTACTCCCAGCTACTCGGGAGGTTGAGGCGGGAGAATCGCTTGGAGGTGGGAGAATCGCTTGAACCTGGGAGGTAGAGGTTGCAGTGAACCGAGATCGCACCACTGCACTCCAGCCTGGGCAACAGAGTGAGACCCTGTCTCAAAAAAAAAATAAAATAGGGCTAATCATTCTTACTTTATGAGCTTAAGATGTAATTACAGATGGGGCACTGCAGTTCAGAAAGGTGATGTGAGTCATCCAATGTCACACATCTTGGAGGCAGAAGGGGCAAAATGGAAACCCAGGACTGTCTGACATCAAGAAAACATGGCAGTGGGCCCCTTCTCCAGACCTGAAACAAAAGAGTCACCTCTGGAAACAGTGAAGTGGGCACCACTCCGCGTTGTGTGATCTGTGGAACTCAGGACAGACCCTGCAGCCTCTTCCAAAGCCAGTGCTCCCAGATGTTGGGACCTGAATATCCAGCCCTGGTTCCCTGCCCCTTTGCACCCACCGTTATCCTCCTTAGACATCTCCGTCTCATATACATCCCCAGGGAGGCTTTTTTTGGGTGGAGGTCAGGGGATGGGGTCTTGTTCTGGCACCCAGGCCGGAGTGCAGGGGTGTGATCACAGCTCACTCAACTTCCTGGGCTCAAGTAATCCACCTCAGCCTCCCCAGTAGCTGGGACCATGGCCACGAGCCACCATGCCCAGTTAATGTTTTTATTTTTCGTAGAGACAAGGTCTCACTATGTTGCCCAGGCTGGTCTTAAATTCCTGGCCTCAAGGGATCCTCCCACCTCAGCCTCCCAAAGTGCTGGGGGTTACAGGTGTGAGCCACCGTGCCCAGCCCCTGGGGACTTTTAAGTAGCAATCCCTCCATTCAGCAGTGAGGTGGTGCTGCCTGTCCACCTGCGTGCCTGTCCTCACATCGCCTGGCTCAATGGGCCCTAGACTGCCCACCTCTCTCCATCACACCTGCCCTTTCCCTCCCCAAAGCTTTGGCCTGTCTTCTTCTAATGGACTCCTACCTATTCCTCAAGGTTCAGCTCAAACTCCACTTCTTACCAGAACTTCTGATTCCTCACCTTCCACGAAGGTGACACAAGAGAGGAGAAAAAACACTAGTTATCACCTTAGAAAACCTAGCCCTAGCCCTTACCTAATGTGCCACAACTGTGAACAAATCACATTTCCTCTCTCTGGATCAGTTATCTTAACTATAAAATAGGGCTAATAGGCCAGGCTTGGTGGCTCAGGCCTATAATCTCAGCACATTGGGAGGCCGAGGCTGGTGGATCACTTGAGGCCAGGAGTTCAAGACTAGCCTTGCCAATATGGAGAAACCCCATCTTTACTAAAAATACAAAAATTAGCCGGGTGTGGTGGCACGCACCTGTACTCCCAGCTACTTGGGAGGTTGAGGCGGGAGAATTGCTTGGAGGCGGGAGAATCGCTTGAACCCAGGAGGTGGAGGCTGCGGTGAGCTGAGATCACACCACTGCACTCCAGCCTGGGCAATAGAGTGAGACCCTGTCTCAAAAAAAAAAAAAAAATAGGGCTAATAATTCTTACTTTGTGAGCTTAAGGTGGTGATTAAATGAGGTATGAATATAAATGCTCTTTATAAACAACAGAGTGCACCGGGCATGGTGGCTCACGCCTGTAATCGCAGCACTTTGGGAGGCTGAGGCAGGCAGATCACTTGAGGTCAGGAGTTTGAAACCAGCCTGGCCAACATGATGAAACCCCATCTCTACTAAAAATACAAAAAAAAAAAAAAAAAAAAAAAGAAGCTGGGCATGGTGGCACCCACCTATAATCCTAGCTACTTGGGAGTCTGAGGCAGGAGAACTGCTTGAACCCAGGAGGCGGAGGTTTCAGTGAGCTGAGATTGTGCTACTGCACTCCAGCCTGGGTGACAGAGCAAGACTCTGTCTCAAAAAATAAAATAAACAAAAAATAAACGACAGAGTGCTAAAGCATATGATTTATAATCAACAATCTCATTGCCACATAAAGTGACAAAAATTGGCTTAGTCAAAAAAACAAAGAAGGAAAAGAAAAATATTAAGTCATCTAACTGCAAAGTCCAAGGGCATGAGAGTTTCAGGCATGGCTTTATCTAGGGGCTCAAATTCTGCCCCCAGGACCTGCTCGCTCCATCTCTCGGTTCTCCTGGTTCCCATGTTGGCTTCATTTTTAGGCTCCAAGTGGTGAAAAGATAACTATAAAATTAACTTCCAGGTTCAGGTCCAGCCAAAAAAAATTTTGTTAAGAGTCCTCCTTTGTCAGTAGACCCAGCAAGCATTCAAATATGTAACCCATTGCTTCTAACGGGTCGTGAGTCCATCTGTGAACAAGTCCTTGTGGCCAGGAATATGTGAAGCTCTGACTGACGGGGCCTATGTCTCACGGCCAGCTCTGGAGCTCTGGAGTTGGGGGTGGGGACAACACTATCTGAAATATAGGAGCCAATGAGTAGGGAAGAGTGGATGAGAGGAATAATTACCTTAGAGCAAAAGCAGAGTCCTGCCACCAGAATAAAAGGGGAAAGGATGTTGAGGACAAGATAATAACTGCCCACACAGTCCACCCCTTTGAGGGCTGACATTTATGCATGCCTTTACTTGCACACAAAATAATACCTTCCCACTTCCTCCCCTCTCTCAAATAGAAGACAAATCAGAGACTCATAATACTGAGTTCAGAATCTCTGGGTGACTTATATTATTTTCCTTCAGAGTTAGATGTATTCTTGAGGTCTTGCAATCTGTGGCTGAAAGATTATCCCTCCAACAGACCATGACTCCATAATGGCAGAGAGAATTGGGTAACTGCAATAACAATTCCTACTGAAAAGGGAGAAGAAAGGAAAGCAGCACACGGCGCTACCAGTCCACAGCATTCACCAGTTCCTGATGAACAGGGACAGCAAAGTCTTCCTGTCCTGGGTGGAGAAATGAGTTACTTGAATGGAGTGGTAGGCAGAATATGCTCCCCACCCGAAAGATGTCCACAGCCTGATCCCTGGAGCCTGTGCCTATGTTATGTTAAATGGCAAAGGGGAATTAAGATCACAGACGGAAATCGGGTGCTAGTCTGCTGACCTTAAAATCAGGAGATAATGCTGGATTACCTGGTGTGCCACTGTAAGCACAGCGTCCTTGAAAGTGAAAGAGGAGGCAGCAGAAGAGTCTGTGTCTGAGTGATGGGAGGCAGGAAAGACTCAATCAGCCATCGCTGACTTTGAGGAGGGAAGGGGGCCACTAGCCAAGGAGTGCGGGCAGCCTCTAGAAGCTGGGAAAGGCAAGAGAACAGGATCTCCCCAGAGCCTCTGTAAAGGAGCGCAGTTCTGACACTCTGATGCTAGCCCAATAAAGTACATTTTGGACTTCTGTCCTATGGAATTGTAGGGTAATACATTTGTGTTAAGTCCTTGAGTTTGTGGGAATTTGTTACAGTGACCATAGTGAGACAGCGACACAGCAAATCCCACTACCACGATACTCCTTTTGTTCCCACTGTTATGCCTCCGGCTGGGAATGGAACAGACACTGCCACTTTTGGTCCCCCTAACAATCTTGGGAGAAGGTGTAATCATCCTTAGGTTACGGATGAGAAAACAGAGGCTCAGGTAACAGACAACTGCTAAAGGCAACCAGTTAGTGGAAGAGGGAGCCAACAGGCAAACCCTCGCCTGTCTGACTTGGAGCCGGGCTGGGGTCCTCATATAACTTCCTCGCCCAGTGGTCCTCTTATCTCTGCTGAAACCCTCCAGCCACAGAGGCTCACACCTTGCAAAGCCCCAGGCCTCCCTGCTCCCTCCTGGCCTCATGCCTTGCATGACCTGATGGATGGTGGCTAGAATAGCCAGTGGAGGGCGGCCAGAATGTCAGACTCTGGCCAGTCAGCGGGCAATGAATCCAGGACACAGTTGCCTTGTTGGTGGGCCCAGGCTGAGCATCCCTACTCACGGGGAGCAGGTTCTGTTTATCAAAATCTAGACTTCTGCCCTCCTCTCCTGCCTCCAGCCTCCACGCTCCCCTTGGCTGAACTGGGTTTTGGAATGCATTGCTTTGTACTAAATGGAGAAAATGTGGAACCTTGTCTTTCAAGATTTATTCTTCTCTGTGCTGTCACCTCCACTCCTGTCTAATCCTGGAATGTCCCCGGGGTGGGTGAGGTGAGGGAGGGCAGCTATGGCTCCTCCGATTTCTTCCTGACAAATGTAAAATGGGCCAGGGGGGCCACAGGGGAGGTAAATCGATCCCAAAAAGTGCCTTGTGTGCAATTTGGGGATGAGAGAAAGTTCATGTAGAGATAGGGCTCCGAGGATGCACCCCCAGGGGCTGGCCTGGCCAGCTGATGACCAAAAACAACTGCCTCCCTCCTCCCCAACACACGCAACCCACACACAGGCCCAGGCTTACACCCCCCAACTGAGTGGGAACAGTCAAGATCCCAGAGGCCAGACCACAAAACCTAAACACAGACTCCAGAGGGCAGATGAGACCCAGGGGAACGTCTCCTCTGACCTCTTCATTGGCCTAGAGAAGGGAGGTGCCTTGCCTAAGGTCACATGGCAAAGCCGGGACTACCGCCTCATCAAGCCTCAGTTTCCCAGGGGTAAAATGCAGGCCTGATGAGAAGCTCAAGTGAGGCAGAAATTGCTAAGTGAATGTGACAGGGAAGTAATTACAGCCCAGCAAGGATTGGGAGCAGTTTTCTTTCTTAATGCTGTGAAACTGAGGCTCGGAGAGGAACTTTTTCAAGATCACACAGCTGGCAAGTGGCAAAGCTGAACTTCGGACTGGCTCTGTCTGACTTCAGAGCCCACGGGTGCTACCTTTCACCACATTGTCATGTCACATGTCAGCATCACAGTGACCCTTTCTATACCTGAAATCTCTTCCAATTTCCTGAACCCAAGACCCAAGGGAGTGACTGGGAGGCCTGGGAGGCTCTGGGGAGATGTGTGAGTCTGAACAAAGGTCAGACCCCGGCTTGACTGCAGTCCCCAACCCCCCAGTTGGTCCTGTGTGCCAGGTATACCCTGAAGGCCTGCAGACAGCCCTGGCAGGGGGTCTCTGGGTAGGCAGGGGGGACATCACACACTGTGGGCTTGGACCTGTGGGGATGTCCTTCTTGGCCCACCTGGGCATTTCATGTCCCTGCATCTGTCCGGGGCTTGAGGGGCTCCTTCGGGTGCAGGCCCTGAACAGGGTCCTCAGGTGCTGGGCACACACAAGGGGTCACTCAAGCACTCAGCAAATGCCTGGCAGGCCCTGTCCTGGGTTCCGGGTAGAGACCATCAGACCCAGTCCTTTCCCTAGAGCAGTCCCTGAGCAAGTGCAGGAGAGGCGGGAAGAGATAAATGACAGAAGGGGAGCTGGCACCTTCGCACATCCACCAAAGCCACCCCTTCCTGCAAGCACAACGTTGTCTTAAAAAATACACAAATTCCTGTTGACAGTCTCGGGCCAGGTGGCCCCCAGAGTGGTGCAGGGTCAACCAGCACGGCAGCACGGCCCCGTGCACCCCAGGTCTTCAGGCCAAAACCTGAATGAAGGGCTCTTTGACTCCAAAGCTGTGCCTTCCTCACAGCTCCACAGGAGGCCTGGCTGCCTCCACTGCAGCCCACACCCTCTCCTGTGCTCGCTGCTCCCACACCCAGGCGGCTTCCTGTCCAGGCCTTCTTGCCTCTTCTGCATAGGCAGGGGCTAGATGGGAGACCCCGCGGCCCCCGCCTGCCTGGGACGGTCTGGCGTGAGTGTATGCAGAGCTGGCCCTCGAGCCAGGGCAATGGTCCTTGAAGCGCACGTCAATGTGACGTGACCACAGGGGTCACTTGGAAAGGGCAGGACAAATGGGTCATGGGAGAGAACAGGAGCATAGCAGGAGCCCCTCCCATCCGCACAGTGGTTTGCCCCTTACAAATCCTGTTTCCACACTGTGGCTCCCTGAAAGAGCCACTACAAAAGAATGGGTGAAGCGAGGCAGGCTCAGAGAGCTCAAGTCACTTGTCCAAGGTCACACAGCCACACCACAGCCCTGCTGACCCTGCCTGTCAGCCTGCCCCTCCATCCCAGGCCTCCTTCACCACCCGCAGCCCCTCTCTGGCTCGCATGGGTGGGCTCAGGGAGGCAGGGGCTGGGCTCTGTGGCTGGGCCCCGCCATGTGCATTGAGGCATTGGAGTTGGCAATGACGATGGAGCTGCCAGAGCTGCTGTCTGCCGGGAGGAGGTCACGGTCTGCAGACGCCACGGTCTGTTGGCTTTGCGAGCAGGATGAACTGGGGAGGCCCACCTGGCCCTGGGTAGGTTGGGGTGCTCTCAGCAGAGCCAGGGGAGACGGCAGCTCCGCCAGGGCCCTCTTGTTTCCCTGCTTCCTGCTGGAGTGCGGGGGCAAATAGCCCATCCAAGCCTCCTTTGCAGGGCAAGTGAGTGGGTGATGCACTAGGTGAGGGGTGCACTGCAAGAGACCGGGGGACCTCAGGCCAAGGGCAGCATTACCCAGCCCCCTTGGAAGCCCAGCAATTACCTAAGCATGGGCACTCTGGAGCCACGCTTCTGGGTTCAAATCCCAGACACCTGTGTGTGACTGTGGGCAAGGTCACCTTCACCTCTCTGTCCCAGCTGCCCCATCTGTGTGATTACACTAATACCAATGTTTACCTTATAGGGTTGTTATGATAATACTGACCCTCATAACCAGCAAGTCAGGCAAGGGCCGGGACACAAACGTAGGATCCCTTTCAACAAAGGCACAGCGTATGCATGAGAAAGACTACCCTAGAATTGCTTCAAAAGCCTCTTCCCCTCTCCAGGCCTCAGTCTTTCTGTCTGAAGAGTGGGTGGGTCAGCCTACTAGGTCTCCAAGTCCCTGAGAGGTTAGCCACCCGATGCCCTGTGCCCCCTTGAGCACTGATGGAGGATGGAGAGGCAGCGGGATTAGGCAAGTGACCAGCAGGTCTAGGGCTGAGGACAGTGTGTCCTCTCCACTCTAAGGACACTGGGAGTGGTGGCAGAGGAGGGGATGCCCTTTTGGGGGTGTGGAAGACCATGTCCCCCATCTCACTCGCCCAGCTGACTAAGGCCAGGCCCTTCAGGCAATAGGGACAGGAACAGGATTGGGGCACCCCAAACTGCTCCCCAAATCAACTTCCTTTTGTTAAAAAAATGGCAAAATCTTTCTGGTGTGGATTGACAAAAATTACAGAGCCATTTAGGACCAGACAGAG
This sequence comes from Homo sapiens, assembly GCF_000001405.40. Taxonomy (NCBI): domain Eukaryota; kingdom Metazoa; phylum Chordata; class Mammalia; order Primates; family Hominidae; genus Homo; species Homo sapiens. The sequence continues at coordinate 76,279,004 of NC_000011.10, forward strand.
GTAGATTCCCAACCCGCCTCTTCCACATAATGCTGTGTAACTTGGGTGAGACACTCAACCTCTCTCTGTCTCCAATTCCTCAACTGTAAAATGGGGCTTATAGTCCCTCCTTCACAAGGGGGTGACAGGTGGGAGAGCTCCCTAACCAGAGCGGGTGCTCAGAAGATGCTGGGCCGCTGGGTCCTTCCCACCTTCTTTTGTTGATTCAATCCAACTACCTTGATGCCACCTAAAGTGGACTAGGCCCTGTCGTGGGCTGAGGACCCACATAGACCAGCGTCACTCCTGCTTTCAACCAGCTCAAGGGTCCCAGGAGAAGTCAATGCTGTGACCAAAATGTTGAGATGAGTGAAGACTTCACGCTGGAGGTGGAGGCAACTGGATGTTTTACCATGATTGTTGAAGTCAGATGATTCAGACACGGGGTTTATGACACTATTCTATATGATGTTGTAAGTTTTTCATGAATCACCTAAAATCATCTCAAATTCTATCTTCCATATGTAATAGTCTCAACAACCAGACGTCAGGAAGCATTGGAGGATCTGTCTAACTTTGCCTCCTCTGGACAAGGTCCAGTTTGTCCATGGAGCCCAGAGCAGGCCGTTCTCCAAAGTAGAACATTCCTTCCATGTCCAGCTTTGGAGAAATGTAGGGTCCTGGCCCCCACATTTCTGGTGATGCAGCCAGAGATGATAATGGTGTCCTTTGCAGCCTGCCGCTGTTGGCTCATGGCCACTCTCCCCTCTGCTCCTATCCTGGGTGGCCTGCAGGTGGGCTGAACCACAGGCGGCAAATATTTGCTGACCGAGGGAACGTATTGTCATTGAATACCACTCAGCAGGTGTCTGCATGTGAGGGGGTGAAACAGGGGGCAGTGGCTGGGGAAGGAATTGCCTGAAGCTTCACACCTGTGGGGAGGCCCAGACGGTGGGTGACCCAGCCCCAACCCTGGTCAAGTTCAAAGGCTGAGGGAGAAGACAGGGGCCAGATCGGATGCTTGAACAACAGGGCGCAAGAAGTAAAGATGTCATCAAAGGCTGAGGTGACAGCTCTGCAGTTGCGCTGAGCCAGAAAGAGCTGGGCACGAGAAGACAGGTCAGGTCCCCACAGCAGAGTGAGGGCAGGGCACCAGCAGCTCCTGGGGTAGCCCACATATTCAGAGACACCCCCTCGCAAGGAGAGGGCAGGGTTAAACATGAGTGGCCAGGTGGAGTGTGGCATATGAGCATCAGGACCCCATAGAGACCCAGATCTACCCTCGAATGTGTGCAGCCTCACAGGGCACTCCTGCAGGTGGAGATAGCAGTAACACCCCCTTGAGATGTTCAGGGCGGAGTTGATGATGGGCTGACACTGTGGGTGGGCGCTCGGTGGAGAGGGACTCGCCTGCCTCTAAATCAGGTCCAGCCCTCAGCTCCAGGGCTGCTCCTAGTGAAGCTGGCCCTGCCCACCACTTGTTAAAAAATATTCCGAATAATACTCAGCTGCATCTTGTCAAGCATCTGCTAGGTGTCCGACAGTTGCTAAGTGCTTCATAGGCCCTAACACGGGATCCTCACGAAACTGCATGGAATAAGTGCTACCACTTCCTCCCTTTCCAGGCAAGGACACTAAGGCTGGGGAGCTGAGGAGACTGCCTGAGTTGCGAAGCCAACATTCGACAGACGACTTCGGGGACCACCAGCCAGGCTGCAGGGCCCTGCTAGTCCTGCGGCCATTCCTTCCTGCAGCTTGCCACCTAGGCCACTCGGCTGGCCCAGAACCACCTGCTGCCTTCTGTTGTCCTTAGAACAGGGAACAGTGGGGTTCCTTAGAACAGACTCCTGGGGTGCCCACTGGTCCTGTGGGCAGAGAGAGACTCTGACCACTACCTTAGGTCTCCCATTCCCAGTAGGGAGAGACTTGGTGGCCTCATGCCCTGTGGAGAGATGAGGGCCTGGGTGGGGGGAGTGAGAATTCGGCCATTGTTGGGCAGGGGTCCTCAGAGCAGCCACGAGTCCAGAGCTCAGAGGGGAACTCACCCAGCTTGCCATGCCAGGGGCTGCCGAGGACCCCGGCCTCCTGCTCCCAGCCAGGTTCTGGCCACGTCGTGGAAGAAGGGGAGGCAGGGAGCAGGAACAGCCAGGTCTCCCCCGATGGGGCCAAGGCATTGGAACCTCCCTGCTCACTGTCTGGGGTGGGGGTTGAAGAAACAGCACAAGGGCCTGGAAACTTGGGACCTGTGGAGTGGTCTTGGGCAAGCCCCTTACCCTTTCAGAACCTCCGTTTCTGCCCAGTTGACCCACTGGCTGAAGTGTCCAGCGAGACAATGTGTGCGAGTGTCCTCGGTGGTCCCCTGCCTAAGCTTTCTACCACTGCTCTTGCTACATGACCTCAGGGCACCTGTGTGGCTGTCCTGGCTGGGCTCCAGGCGGGAGCGGAGCTGTGGTCTGCTCAGATAAGGAGCCCCCCGGCTCCCAAACAGGATGGTAGCAGCCCCACTGTGTGATTTTAGGAACCATCATAGCAGTCAGGCAAACCAGGAAAATAATACTAACCCGGCCAGCTCCTTCCTGCTGCCAGAAATCACAGACGGGAAAGTGCAGGGGCCATGGTGGGCGAGGGTGCTGGGGAAGCCAGGTGCCCTTGAGCCCGCCTGCCATGGGACTCTGTGGGATGTTTCTGGGCAAGGCTGGGCAGGGGGGCTGGTCTCAGCTACTTATGCCCACACCTCCCCTAGGTGGGGCCCTGGGGTGGGGGTAGGGGCACCAGTGCACCAGAGGAGGTTTCACCGGGCTGGACTGGGAAGGCCCTGTCCCTGCCTCCTTGTGACTCTGGAGGTCCCTGGCCCTCTCTGGATGCTGGGATTCCCATCTACATTAGGGGACTTCTTTCTGACTCCCTATGATCCTGATAGGGGCTGGGGGGTACCATCTGCAGGGCCCTGTGGCTGACACAGGCCCAGGGAAGGGTTGGGACTCTGTCTCAGGCACTCCCCACCTCCCCATCTCCCTGCAGCCTGCTTCTCCCATCCCTCATCTGGACTACCCACTTCCTCCCCCGGGCTCCCCACCTCCGAATCTGCCTCACTCATTCCAGGGGGATGCAGACATCACCCGCAAACAAACAGGGCTCCTCAGGGTGAATCTAGGCACCTAGGAAATGTTCGCTTTTGGGAGGAAAGTTCCAGGCAGAGAGAAAAACACACTGAACGCCTGAGGAGACCCGGCCCATTTGGGCACAAGGGTGGCCCATGGTATGGCTCAAAGACCAAGACGCGATGGGGACACAGCGATGGGAGTGGAGGCTGGATGGGGCATGTGGGGGACAGTGAGGGCGGTAAATGCCTGTGAGGCCTGTGCTGGGGAGGCTGCTGCACAGGACGCAGGTGCTTGAGGAAGAAGCTCTGCCCACAGTGTGGGAGGCACGGCACAGGGCCGAGGAAGAAGGCAGAGGGACCGGGGCGGCAGGCCTGGGGAGTGTGCTGGGGTCGGGGAGGACTCCAGAGCCTTGACAGAAGCATCAGGATGGCCCAGAAAAGGGGCACCCACCGTGTGGATAGGAGCCTGGCTGGGCTCCAGGGTCGCCCATCCCGGGGCAGGTGCAGGGAGGTGTCTGGTGTTCAGTGGCCTCAGAATGTGGGGCCTGGTGCAGCCTTGGGGTGTGGAAGGGCTTTCATGAACTGTGAGAAAGAAATTGCTGTTCTTTATATATGACCCAGTCTATGGTGTCCGTGACAGCAGCAGGAGACGGCCTCAGACAGTGTCGTAGACTGTGAGATGGAGGCAGGGGCTGTAAGCGTGCGTGTTCAGCACCCAGTGTAGCATAATTCCCAGGGAGCAGCTGGTCAGCTCTACCCTAAAACGGGCTCTGGGCCAGGGATGAGCAGCATTATCTGTGTCAGAGACCCCACTGTCCCCTGCTAGGGACACTAAGCAGGACCCTGGCAGATACCCCCAGGGGGTCACCCACTCTGAAGGCAGAGGCTGGACTCCTGTGCCCGGGCAGGACAGACCCTCCTCTGCCTCAGCACAGCCCTGACCTCAGCCTGGCCCCTGCTGCTGACTCTGCTGACTACCCTGGACGCAGAGGGGCTGGAGAGAAGGGCCTGGGGGAGGATATGAGGATATGTGTCCAGGGCCTGGGGTTTTCCTATAACTGCAGGTGGCTCATGAAATCCTCACAGCAGCTGTCAAAGGAGGCAGGAGAGGTGAAGTGGGGTCCCCAAGGGCATAATGCAGGAAGCCGCAGAGCGGACTTGACCCCAAAGCCCTCACACTTTTTCTTTCAGGGCTGCTGCCCCCAAAAGGAAGGTGAGAGGTGAGAATGAACTTACCATACCACGTGGCCTACCATGGAAGCCACAGGCTCTGCAGAGTTGCCAGCGCTTCTCAAGCCAATGAATTGTTAGTCTCAGGTGGGAGGGGAGGAGAAGGGGGAAGGGGAGGGAGGGATGGAGAGGGAGTGGAAGCGTGTGGGAACCCCTGCCTGGCTGCCTGGCACTCAGACACTGCTCCAGGGAGCCAATCCCACCCTTGTGAAGCTGATGGCGTCTTTGCCCTGAGTTGATTGGCCTCCCCCAGGGTCTGTGGGTCCCGGTGGGAAAGCTCGATAGGGTGCTGACAAAACACTGGGCTGGGTGCAGTGGCTCACACCTGGAATCCCAGCACTTTGGGAGGCCAAGGAAGAAAAATCACTTGAGCCCAGGAGTTCGAGACCAGCCTGGACAACATGGCAAGACCCCATCTCTGCAAAAAATTTAAAAAGCTAGCCGGGCATGGTGCTGTGTGTGCCTATGGTCTCAGCTACTTGGGAAGCTGAAGCGGGAGGACTGCTTGAGACTGGAAGATCGAGGCAGCAGTGAGCTGTGATGGCACCACTGCACTCCAGCCTGGGTGAGAGAGGGAGAGGAACCCTATCTCAAATAAACCCGCTGAATCAAGGGCACGTGTCGCTGACATTCTGAGGGGCTGTGGGTAATTCATGCCTCTCTGGCCTCAGCTTCCCAATCCATGCAATGGTATGATGATCACCACTAGGCCCATCCCACAGGCTGCTGCGGCCCGGCAAGCTCATGGCGGTGAAAGCATGCATGGCCTTCTCAGCCTCCTGCACAAGGAGGGTGTCAGGATCGGTCTCCTCCTGGGGGCAGGTGCTGAGTGTGCTTGGCACCCGTGGGATCTAGGGGAAAGGAGGCTGCTCCCTGTCTGGTCTGTGGTTTCATCTCAGCCACCTGCACCCCAGGGCCTTGCTCAGCCGAGCCCAGCCCTGTCCCTCCCTGCCCGGCCCTGTCTGTCCCAGGAGCCCCAGTTCCCTAGGCCCCCATTGTTCTCCCAACCCTTCACCCTGTGGCCCTCCCAGCCTGGAGCTCTGGAGACAATTCACATTCCATTCCGTGAATTCCACAGCCCCCACCCCTGCCCTCAGCCTCCTTCAAAGTGGCCGCTGGGGCTGGGGTCTGTCTTTGCAGAGGTGCCAGGCCACATGCCCTGCCCACCTCTACCAGCTATGCCGCCTCTGAAGTTCCTCCAGCGGCACTGAGGAGGGGCCCTGTGGTCGAGGGTGCAGTTAAACGAGGCCCGACCGGGTAGTTGAGCTCAGCTTGGCTGTACTTGTCTTCCTTGGACCTGCTGGGCACCCCCAGGTAAGTCACTGCACGCCTGGACCTCAGTATCCCCCTCTGTAAAGTGGGGCAGAGACAGCAGGGCAGGGTGAAGACAGCAGGGCGGGGCTGAGACACTAGGGTGGGGAGGAGACAGTAGGATGTGGCAGTCATGAGCATGGGCCTTGGAGTCAGACACCCCTGCTCCCACCTTTGACCTGAGCAGGTGGTCAGGCCTCTCCATGCCTTGGTTTGTATCCATCCAGTGGAGAGGACACCAGTACCTATCTCACAGAGGCTGTGGGCTTTAGATGGGTCCCACAGGTCCCCATCATGATGGACTGCATATGTGTCCTCCAAATTCCTATGTTGAATCCTTAACCCCCAGTGCGATGTTATTATGGGGCCACTCGGAGGTAATTAGGTCAGGAGGACGGAGCCCTTGTGATGGGTTAGTGCACTTATAAAAAGAGACTCCAGGGAGCTTGCTTCATCTCGCTCTGCTCTCCACCATGTGAGGATACAAGGAGAACACAGCCATCTGCAAACCAGGAGGCAGGTCCTCACCAGACACTGACCTGCCGGCACCTGGAGCTCAGACTTCGAGCCTCCAGAAGTGCTAGCTCGTTGTCTAAGTCACTCAGTCTATGGGGATCTGGTGTAGCAGCCTGAACAGACTAAGACACCACCAAGTTCAGGGCCCGGCCGAGGTGAGGCTCGAGGGGAACAGCTGTTTCTAAGGGGCCTTTCAAAAGCCCCCTCCCCAGTGTCACTTCCTGCTATTCTCTGCCCCGACACTGGTTCTCCATGTGGTGCTGCCATCTTGCCTTTCCTCATGCTGCCCCCTGCCTAGCAGGCTTCTCTCAGCTTGTCCAATCCTCACCTGCACGCACATGCCAAATGGGAAGGGCATCCATTTTCCCTAGGGATCTGCTGGGCCCCAGCTATGCTAATGTCTCCTACCTCCAATCTTCCCACCTCCTCATTCTCTCTGTGGAGCCTAGCGGGTGCCTAGCACTGTACGCCCACCACACTCTCTGGGACAGGAAACCCCTCCAGCACATCTCCTTGGCCAGGTTCCTGCCGGACAGAGACTTAATTTGCCTTATGATTCAGCTCCCCTCCTGAGCTCCTGCCCTGTGCCTGCCTGGCCTGTGAGCTGCCCTCAGGTGGTTCCCAGGCTGTTGGGGATGGCGGAAGGTGACACCCTCTGAAACACAGTGATCTGAGCATATAGGAGGCTGGGGTATCCAGGGAAGGGGACCTAACTCTGTGGGGAAATGGGCTAACCAAGGAAGGCTTCTCAGAGGAGGTGGCACTGAGCTGAATCTTGAAAGATGAGTAGGATTCATCAGATGGACAAGGGAGTGGGGGTTCCTGCCTCACAGTAGGAAAACATACACGAAGCCCCAAAGGCTGAATGAAGCCACCAGAAGGGCTGCAGAATGACACATCTAACCCTTCACTAGGAGGCAGCACAGGGTAGAAGGGCTGGAGAAGAGCACTGGATTGTAGAAGAGGCCAGATAGAGCCAGGCTTAGGCACAGGGGTGCTGCTAGAGACATGCAATTAGTTGGCATTGCAGCAGGGCTCTCCTGGCTGCTGGCAAGGATGGCTTGGAACGGGTGAGACTGGAAGCCCAGAGCCCAGGGAGGGGCAGGGGCCCTGGCCTGCACAGGAGCAAGGAGGTAATAAGGAGGCAAATTTTCAGGAGCTACTCAGGCTCTGCACCGAGCCCTTCTATACTCTCTGGCCATTTCTCCTGGGCAATCTTTATCTCTACCTCCCTGTATATCTCAGGCCTCTCTTTCCAGAGCCACAGGGGCCACCTGACATCTCACAGGCTCATCTACCTTCCAAGACCAGCTCATCACTTCTGGCACCCCTCTCTATAGTTGCCTCCCAAAGTCTCCCATCTTATACCCACGGCCCCCTGGGCATCAAGCTGGACATCTGGGAACAACCTTCAGCACCAAGTCCCCCCACCACTCATCTGGACTTGCAAAAGTCTCCTTACTGGTCTCGCTGTCATCCAGGAGCCATGGTGAATTACTTAAAAATTCTTTTCTTCAGCGAGGCGCAGTGGCTCATTCCTATAATCCCAGCACTTTGGGAGGCTGAGGTGAGCAGATCACCTGAGGTCAGGAGTACGAGACCAGCCTGGCCTACATGGTGAGACCCCGTCTCTACTAAAAATACAAAATTAACCAGGCGTGGTAGTGCATGCCTGTAATCCCAGCTACTAGGGAGGCTGAGGCTGGAGAATCACTTGAACCCAGGAGGCGGAGGTTGCAGTGAGCTGAGATTGGGCCATTGCACTCCAGCCTAGGCAACAAGAGTGAAACTGTCTCAAAAAAAAAAAAAAAAATCTTTTCTCCAGCCTTAGAGCAAGGCCAGGGCATGCTTGCCCATCACCCTGCTGCACAGCCCAGGCCCTGGCACAGAAAACTGCACACTTGGTCATGTCCGCTTCTCTTTTTCAAGGGTTTCTGACCCTACACAGAATGGCTGCCTCACCTCCCATCCTCTCTCCAGGCTCCTGCGCTCCAGCCACACTGGCCTTGAACCTGCTCCTTCTTGCCTCGGCCTCCACAAGCTTTTTCCTCTGCTTGGCATGCCCTCCCCTGGCTCCTCCTCTGACAAATTCGCTCTCTTCCACCCCTCCCTGCAGAGCCATCTCCATGGTGGCCATCTGTGAGGCTATGACCGTCTCCCACCAGGTTGTGAGTCCCATGAGGTCGAGGCGGCAGAAAGCAGCACCGCTCAGATCCCAGAGCAAGGCAAGCAGGGAGCCACGCCTGCCTCGGGCCTAAGCCCTTGCCCAGGGCTGTCTTCAGAGCTCCTCTCCACCTCCTGGGGCAGGGCGGAGGCTGCTCCTGGCGGGCCCAACACTGAGAACCATCAGGGACTAAGGCAGAACCAGAACACAGGGATTTGCTCTCCTGCCAGCCCAGGCCTGCAACCCCCTCCTGCCCCTCACCTTCTTAGAGTTCCCTGGGGCCTGAGAACCCAGCAGGGTTCCACCCACAGTGCCCCGAAGGGTCACTTCCCTGCCTGCTCCCCTGATGGCCTCCTATACCTATCAAGAGCTAACTCACACCTTACCCTCTTCTGAAGCTGTTGCTGCCCCTCAGGCAGGGCTGGTCACCAGCCTCAGGGCACCCTGTGTCATTAGCTCCCTACTAGTCAGCCTCCCACCCAACCCCCTACGCACACACCAGGTCTGGAGCCCCTTGGAGTCAGAGCCTGAGCCTGCTCCATCTCCATCTCTGTGTCTGCACTCCCAGCACGGGGACTTCAGTTGGGGTTGGTGTGGAACAGGGTGGAAGGTGGAAGGAAGGATGGATGAATAGCAGAATCGAAGGGATACTCTGATCTCCAAACAGCCCCAGCCAGTTCTCCTCCCCCTCTGGTACCTCCTGCTCCACCTCCTGGGCAGGAGAGCAGCAGACCTAGCCCTCCCATTGCCAGTCCTGATTTGTAGGGTCTCTGAGGTGGTGAAAGGAGTCTAGGCCCCTTTCCCCTTCCTGCTTGGCCCACGTGCACCTCCTGGAGTCTCAGCGCCAGAGAAACCCCCTCTGGAGGGAGGCATCTCTCAGCAATGTCAGGGAAGGGACACGGTCAGCTCGTTTGTCAGCCCTGCTGGTCAACACCTGCCCGCCTCACAGGGAGGGGCTGGCGCTGGCCTCCCCTCCGGGGCCTGTTTCCCTTGGAGCCCTTTCCCAGAGCTGTCTAGAGCTCCCCACGAGCAAGCCCTGCTCATTTCCTTCTGAAAATACAAACCACTTCCTGCCTTCGCAGAGAACTGCTCCGGTGAAATGGGCCATGGTCTCGGAGTCGTCTATGCACCACCCCCCACGACCCAGCTGGTCAGAGCTGTGCCCCCGCCTCCCCGACCACACAGTCAGCCCATCCACAGGCTCCGTCCAAGTCCTCCTGCCTATCCAGCCCTGCACAAAGGAGCGGGGCAGGAGCAGGGTGTTCTTTGATTCCACAGACCTCCAGCGACATCTCCTCTGTGCCAGGACCTCAGCTGGCCACAGGGGAACCAAGTCAGCATGCCCTAGCACTGCCTATGGCTCTGCCAGCCTGGACACTGTCATCCCACATCCGGGTTTGCATTCTGACTCGGCCACTCTCAAGGCCATTTGGCCCCAGCAAATGCCTGGACCTAGGCCCCAGGTGCAGAGAGAACAGGGCTACGGGAGGAGCAGAGGAAGTAAGGTGTTTCTCACTGCAAAGCCCTCAACAAATCTTAGATAATAAGCAGGTGGCAAGGCTACAAATGCTTGGGGCTCAGCGAGCAGTTCACTCTGGAAGGGGTGAAGAGCTTCACAAACCATGATGTGGAGAACAAGAGCCTGCAGCCCCTGGAGACCAGGACCTCGAGGTCTGCCCCCCACAACCTCTGCCCAGGATCCCAGTGTACAGAAGGGGACACTGAGGTCCAGAGCGGAGCATGACCTGTCTCAGGTCCCACACTGAATCATGGCAGTGCCTGGGGTGGAAGGGACCATCAAAGCCAGGTTCACTGCAGGTGCCCTCACAACCCTAGACAAAGGGGAAGAGGAGGCAGGAAGGGGAGGCTATGGAGAGGATGGGGGCCAGGGGAGGCACAGGGGTGAAGCCTGGGGCAGGGATGAGGGGGCAGCAGGTGAACAGATGTGCGATGCACACACACAGCTGATGACCCCTGGATGCCCCCAGGCCCTGCAGACTCCCCATGCCCATCCATCCTCAAACCCGCTCTCCCTGGGTTCTCTCAGAAATGGCACTTCCAGAAGCCCAGCCAGACGGTGGGCATCCCCTGAATGACCCGCCTTCCCCTCCCTCCCCACAGTGAACTTGTCTACACCTCATGAAAACCTCTCCACGGTGACGATGTGAAGCACCTGGAGCTCACACAATGCTGGGCGAGTATAACTGAGTACAAATACTTTGGAACACTGTGTCACACATAAAGCTGAACATCTCCTATGAACCAGCAATCTACTCTTAGGGACATATCCAGTGGTGTGCTGGTAAATGTATAACAACCAGCTCTCAAAAAAAAAAAATAAATAAATAAAAAGCTGGGCGAGGTGGCTCACGCCTGTAATCCCAGCACTTTGGGAGGCCGAGGCAGCTGGATCACCTGAGGCCAGGAGTTCGAGACCAGCCTGGCCAACATGGTGAAACCCAGTCTCTACTAAAAATACAAAAATTAGCCAGTCATGGTGGCGGGCACCTGTAGTCCCAGCTACTCAGGGGGCTGAGGCAGGAGAATCATCTTTTTTTTTTTTTTTTTGAGACAGCGTCTTGCTCTGTTGCCCAGGCTGGAGTGCAGTGGCGCGATCTCAGCTCACTGCAAGCTCCGCCACCCGGGTTTATGCCATTCTCCTGAAGAATCATTTAAACATGCAAGGCGGAGGTTGCAGTGAGCCGAGATAGGATCATTGCACTCCAGCCTGGGCCACAGAGTGAGAATTCCTTAAAAAAAAAAAAAAAAAAAAAAGGAAGAAAGAAAGGAAAAGTCCTGATTTGTAACATTTGCCAAATTCTATGGTGTCAATAATCCCACTGTGGCCTATTTGAAACTACCAATGCAATGCCCCGGAACGCAGAGTTGGGAAGAGATGCATGTAATGGACTCTTTTTTTGAGACAGGGTCTCCCTCTATCACCCAGGCTGGAGTGCAGTGGTGCAATTTCGGCTCACTACAACCTCCGCCTCCCGGGTTCAGTCGATTCTTCTGCCTCAGCCTCCGGAGTAGCTGGGATTATAAGCGCCTGCTACCACACCCAGCAAATTTTTGTATTTTTAGTAGAGACAGGGTTTCACCATGTTGGCCAGGCTGGTCTCGAACTCCTGACTTCAAAGTGATCTGCCTGCCTTGGCCTCCCAAAGTGCTGGGATTATAGGCGTGAGCCACCGTGCCCCGTCACATGTCATGGACTCTTGCAAGCTGGCTCCGGCACATCACTGAATGTATCCCGCACACTTGTGTACAAATGCACCCCCATAGACAGGTTCTGGCATGCTCATAGCAGCACTGTTCCTAAAGCTCCAACCCAGACACTACCCAAATGCCCACCAACAGTAGAAAGGGAAAATCAATTGTGATCCCTTCACACAACAGAATGCAATACAGCAATGAGAGTGGCCAGCCACTGCTACTACATGCAGCCCCATGGAGGACTCTCACAGATACAACTCTGAACGAAAGAGGCCAGGCGTGAACAGCACAGGTGGAACTGAGGAGTCCCAACCCAGGGCAGGAAGGGCACAAGAACATCGTCCTGTTTGTGGACTCACCTGGTAGTTACCCGGATGTGTTCACTTTTGATAATTTATTAAGGAATATTTTTATGATTGGTGCACTTTCCTGTATGCATGTTATATTTCAAAAACAAGTTTTCATGAAAAAAAAAAAAAGCAAACAAATACAAATGCTGTCTGCTGTCCCCTCCTGTCCTCCCATGCCCTTGCCCTGTGCAGGCCAGCACCGCCTCCCCCTGGATGGCTGCCCTGGCCTTCCTCTCATGTGCTCACCTCCCCATACCTCCCACTCCCACTCCAAATTATAGTCGCCAGGCTTAGCAATAAAAGTACACAAATGCCAAAAAAGTTATTCACTGTTTATCTGAAATTCACATTTGACTGAGGGTCCTATGTTTGACCTGACAACTCTACTCCTGATGCGTGTTCAACCCCCGCCTCCTGAGAGGTCTTCCTCAAAGGCAAATTGGGCCATGTCCCTCCCCTTCCCCTGCTCCCCTCTGGCCTAGGACTCACCAAACTCCTTAGTATGATTTTTAAGACTCTCCATTTCCAGCCCCCTCCAGTGTTTTCCAGTCCCACACTCTAACTACACCAAACTTCTCATGCATTCATTCCTTCAAAAGATGTTTGCTGAGTGCTCGCTGTGTGCCAGGCCCTCTTCCCAGCCACACCGTTCCCTCTAGAGGACTGTCACTCTGCAGGTGCTGTTTTCCCTGCCTGCCTTCGGTGCCTTCCATAGCTGGGCACCCTGATGAACTCATCTTCAGAATGCAGGTCAGGCCTCCGCCTCCCCCAGGGCACACCCCCACCCTCCTGACCTCGGTCTATGTTAGGGGCCCCTCCCTGGGGCTCCTCTTTGTCCCAGCTCTGAGCACACCGCTTTGTCATTGTCATTGCCTGTGTCCACACCTGTCTCCCCACCAGACTGTGACTTCATCCTGGACGAAGGCCAGGTCTGACTCATCTCGGGGTCCCCAGCCCCGGCCCAGGGCCTACAGAGAAGCTGGCACCAGGAAAGGTGCGTGGAGTGTGTGGGAGAATCAGTGATAAATGATCACAGGGAGCAGAGTCCTGGAGTTTTCAAGACGGTTCTGATTTCGGTTTCTGTCCAGTTGCTCCCATAAGAAGCCAGCTGTGGCCAGACCACATGTCTCACCTGCTGGCTTAGAAAGCACAGTCTCCATCTACAGGAGAGGCATGGGACCTGGGGTGGTGGTGTTATATCCTGATGCTCCAGTTCTGCCTCTGCCCCAGGGGCTCCCTGCTCCCTCCAGTCCCCAAGCCTCAGTCCCAAATCTGTGACGGGGTCTGGGGAGACTGGGAAGTGTCTGAGGGTCCCTGCCATGCAGCCCTCTCACCCTCACTTGTCTTCTCTGAGCTGCCTCTGTGCCTCACGCTCGAGCGCCTTTGGCTCTGGGAGGCGAGACTGACAGCAGCAGAGGTGAAACCCCGGGTGCATTAATGGAGCCCGTGTTTACCCAGGCTGGGCCCGTAAAATGCCTCAAGCGGAACTGAGCTCGGCTTGCAGCTCCCGGGCATTGTCCGTTACGGCTGTTGAACCTTGGAATGGACCACCCGGGTGGGCATCTCATTCCCTTGACACCTTGGAAAACTCCAAAGGGAAGCTTGGGAATGCCTTGAGGCAGAGGAGTAGACAAGGATGCGTTGCAGGGCTCAGGGCCCTGAGAGGTTGGCCTGTCCAGCCTCTTGCCTTATGCTGCATTATGGCCTGGGGGAGAATGACTTGGGCTTTTTCTGCATGCTGCCTCTAAGCGGAACCCTGCAGTGGTACCCAGTAGACATGGCTCTGTGACTTGTCACCTCTGCCTGGTGTAGGTCTTCTTTCTCTACACTATTGCTGGGCTCTGTGGGCAGGTCCTGGGGCACCTCATCTCTCAGCCCCCCAGCCTGGCCCTTTTCTGAGTTCCTCTTCTCTGTCCTGCCCTGTGCAAGGGAAGAATCAGACTCTGTCTTGCCTTTAGGGAGTTCCCTGTATGAAAACAGCTAGCGCTGAGTACCCAGTAAACTAGAGGATGAGGCAGGCGTTCATCCATCCATCCACCCATTCTTGCATCCATCTCTTGGCAACAGTCCCATCAGTTTCTGGGGAACAAAGTTACCAGTGTAGCCTTGGGGGTCACGTGGTTCTGACTTCAAACCTGTCCCTATCAATCACATGACTTTTGGCTTCTCTCTCTACCTCTTTGGACCTCCGTTTCTGCATTGTTTTTAAAAAAAAATCCCACCTCACAGAGTAGTTACGGAGATTCCCTGAGACAATGCTCATCCACTGATTAGAACAGGGCCAGGCACCAAGGCAGACATACCCAGAAGCTAATAAAGTCTACACTTCAGTGCCCCTTGCTTACAGCTGTCCCTTCGCTGGAAGATAGATACCCTAGCAATGCGTTCCCATGGTCATATGTTTTTGTAAAACTTTGCACAAAGCAAGGTATTCTAGCCGCAAAGGGTTGATACCGCTGTTTCTTTTCACTTTTACTTCCCCTCCTTCCTTTCCTGTCAAGGGGTGTTGAGTGGCTGAGGCATTTGGGGGATTTAGCTGAAGGGAAGCTGAGCTGAGGATACATTTACAGTAATTTGGGATTAGTGGTGCATATTTATATGGTTCGCGGTCACTTACGGGTAGAGTTATTACTAGACGTTCTGGTATAGGAACAGCTTTCAGAATGAATACCTATACTGCCTGCCCACCGTGCCGACTCATTTGGTGTCATAGCTGTGACCGGGGCTGGAAGTCTGTGGACAGTGGAGGAGAAACAAGGTTTGAAATGTATAGAGACTGAAGCCAGTCTGGAGTATTCGTTCAGGCATCAGATGTACCAAATTGTAGGCAAAGAATTTGGGCCTCATCAAAACAGAAATTATCAGCCTCGTGTGGTGGCTCATGCCTGTAATCTCAGCACTTTGGGAGGCTGAGGTGGGCAGACCGTTTGAGTCCAGGAGTTCAGGACCAGCCTGGACGACATGATGAAACCCCCATCTCTACAAAAAAATGCAAAAAAAAAAAAAAGTTCTTTGGGCATGGTAGTGCATGCCTTATAGTTCCAACTACTCAGGAGGCTAAGGTAGGAGGATCACTTGAGCTCAGGAGGTGGAGGCTGCAGTGACCCATGATTGCACCACTGCATTCCAGCCTGGGTGACAGAGTGAGACCCCCTCTCAAAAAACAAACCAACCCAGTAATGATCTTGCATCAGGAATGTCATAGATAGTGCAGCCTATATAATTAGAAATTATAAATACATCTTTTCTGGACCGGGTGCAGTGGCTCACACCTGTAATCCCAGAACTTTAGGAGGCTAAGGAGGACAGATTGCTTGAGCCCACGAGTTTGAAACCAGCCTGGGCAACATGGCGAAACCCCATCTCTACTAAAAATTCAAAAATCAGCTGGGAATGGTGGCATGCATCTATAATCCCAGCTACTCCAGGACTGAGAGGTGGGAGGATCACTTGACCCTGGGAGGTAGAGGCTATCGTGAGCTGAGATCCCACCACTGCACTCCAGCCTGGGTGACAGAATGAGATCCTGTCTCAAAAACAACAACAACAACAACAACAACAACAAAAAACCACAATAGGCTGACGCAGTGGCTTATACCTGTAATCCTAGCATTTTGGGAGGTCGAGGCGGGCGGATCACTTGAGGTCAGGAGTTCGAAACCAGCCTGGCCAATATGGTGAAACCCTGTCTCTACTAAAAATACAAAAAAAAAAAATTAGCTGGGCCTGGTGGCAGGTGCCTGTAATCCCAGCTACTCAGGAGGCTGAGGCAGGAGAATCACTCAAACCCAGGAGGCAGAGGTTGCAGTGAGCCGAGATTGTGCCACTGCACTCCAACCTAGGTGACAGAGTGAGATTCCATCTCAAAAAAAAAAAAAAAAAACAGACAAAATAAATAAAAAGTAAATAAATACATCCAGGTTTTCTTCTTGATGGGAATCATGTGAAATAGAATTTGCCAGAGCTCTACATTTGTAGGGCACAACCCTACAGCAGTAGAACAAATAGCAAGTGTATTTGTGTCTGAAGCTGCATATTTTATGCATCTCAATTGTCAATCATAATACACTAGTTTCAATCAATCACATGAAAAAAAGACTGAATTATCTTTCTATTCTTTCTATAGAAAATATTGCATAAGTTGTCCAGGCGCAGTGGCTCATGCCTGTAATCCCAGCACTTGGGGAGGCCAAGGTGGGCGAATCATGGGGTCAGGAGCTCAAGGCCAGCCTGGCCAACATAATGAAACCCCATCTCTACTAAAAATACAAAAAAAAAAAAAATCTGCCAGGCATGGTGGCAGGCACCTGTAATCCCAGCTACTTGGGAGGCTGAGGCAAGGAGAATCGCTTGAACCTGGGAGGCTTCAGTCTCTATACATTTCAAACCTTGTTTCTCCTCCACTGTCCACAGACTTCCAGCCCCAGTCACAGCTATGATGCCAAACGAGCATCTTGGATGCTGATACACCATGTTGACTTCTGATTAACCCCTGTTCTGGGAAGGCCTCTAAGATTTCCAGTTTCTCTATTGTTCCTTGTGTAAGAGTGCACACTTACTGTAAATCCTGCCCTTAGGCCAAAACAACCTTGATGTTGTAGTACTTCGATTGTCCTACACATCCCTTCTGAATCACAGATGCCCTTTCCCTATGGTATATAAGCCCTGGGTCTTCGGGGGATAATGGTGCAGGGATCCACCATCTTGTCTCACTGCCACCCAAGACACAACAATGACTTCTGTTTGTCAGACCCTATTACATTTTTCTCTCTAAGAAACTGATTTGGCCAGCTTCAGCCTCTCGGTTTCCTCGGACACTGGGGACAGGTTTGCATATGCTTGCCCACCATGGAACACCATCCTATGGGGTCCTTGAAGCCTGGTGTGCACGGTTAGGAGCCCAGTGTAAAGGCTGGGCACACAGATGAGTTGAATACAGTTGCAATCTGTGGGCATACTCCCATAGAATGCACAGATACCTCTGTAAGATGCAGAACCCCTGCCTTATGTGGGCAAATAAAATAACACAATAGCCACTTACTGAGCATCTATAATACATGAAACCTATTTATATAATGTAACCGCCAACAGGACTCAGTGACTTACACTTGTAATCCCAGCACTTTGGGAGGCTGAGTTGGGGGAATCACTTGAGGCCAAGAGTTTGAGATGACCTTGGGCAACACAGCAAGATCCTGTCTCCACAAAAAATAAAAAAATTAGCTGGGCATGGTGGCTTGTGCCTGTAGTCCCAGCTACTCAGGAGGCTGAGATGGGAGGATCGGCTTGAGACCAGGAGGTGGAGGCTGCAGTGAGCTACGAACGTGCCATTGTACTCCAGGCTGGGCCACAGAGTGAGACCCTGTCTCAAAAATAAATAAGTAAAATATAATTTAATTCCCTCTTGGAGTATTATCCCCATTTTACCCAGGTGGGGAAACTGAGGCCCAGGGAGGTTAAAAACTTGCTCAAGATCACAGAGATCATGAGCTGTGGCTGGAGTTTAAGCCCCACCATCCACCCCGGAAGTGGATGTTCTTGTCCTGCCTGTTGCCACCCACCTCTTGGTTCAGGCCCATGTTACCCAAGCCTTCCTCTGTGCCCGGCCCAGTGTTGGGGCTGGGGTACAGGATAAACCTTCAGGGATCTGCCAGGGCAGGTTTGCTTCCTACATAGTCAATGCTAAGATGAGATAGCCGTTCTCAGAGCAGAAACTGGAAGAATCTGAGCTGGGGTCAGAGGGCCAGAGGTGGCCTTTGCACAGAGCCTTAACAGGTAAAGAGCGATGAGCCTCAAGACCATCTGCTTTGAATCCCCATTTTACAGACAAGACCACAGAGGGGTGCAGGAAGCAGGGGCACAGCTGGGCCTGTAACCCAGGCCCTCACACCCAGCCGGGCATTCAGGCCCTGCTCTCTGCCCACGGCCTCCTGCGAGTCCTTGCTGACTGTTCAGAGGGCAGCCAGGTGGTAGGAAGGTGGGAGCAGGGAAAGAATGGACCAAGAGTGGAGGTAGCCTCCAGAGGACACAGAACGCTCCTGTCACAGAGGGCCTGCCTGGGCAGAGGGAGTGGCAGACACAGGCTCCACCCACACTGGACTCACAGTATTTGCTGAAGGAAAACATGAACAAATGAATGAGTGGGGTCCCAGAGGGCAAAGTGAGGATCAACAGAAAGGAGGCTCAGGAAGCCAGATGTTTGAACCAGCGTCTGGAAGCATCTTCTCCCAGGCAGATGGGCCCCACATGAGGTTACTCTGGGAGGAGGGAGCACACGCCCCATCAAGGCAGGGGTGGAAAAATCACTTCCTGGAGGGCTATTGGTCAGGACTGCTGCAGCCAGGATTCCCTCCTGAGGAGCTGGTGTCTCTGGTCTGAGCTTCTTCCCACAAAGCCGCCTGGCCCAGAGCTGACTTGCATTAGGAGAAGGGACGTGCTTGCAGGCCAGTGATCTAGCCAGCTGACAGGTACCCCTCTGCTGGGCCAGGGGGGCCAGCCTCTGACCTCCACACCAGACACCAGCTCCCAGTGCCCGCTGGCCCCATGGGCCAAGGCCAGCCTGCCACCAGCTCATGGCGTGGCTGCGTGGAAGGTGGATCCCCTTGGTGCCTTCGCCTGCCCTGTCTGCAATCAAGACTGTTTTGATGCAAAAATCATTCCTATTTCCCCCCATGTTGCAGCCTAAAAACATGTTTACTTTATTCCTTTCATATAAAGGGTGGAGGTGGGATATAAATTGTATCCTCAGTCACGGATACAATTTCTTGGGTACAAAAGCCTCCCCCTGTAGTCGGGATGGGGGTGGTCCCCAGAACAGCCTGTCCTGGGTCATTTCTTTCTCCTCCTCTTTCTCGTCCCCAGGGCTACCTTGTTCTTCCAGTCTCTTCACCTCTCTGAGTCTTGGTTCGTGTCCTGTAGAATAAGAATATAGCGTGATTTTACAAAATCAAAACAAACCAAAAAATGTTATTTAGAAAGGAATGATCGTCTGCACCCAACTCAGGGGCTATGAGGACTGGCAGGACGCCTGGCAGGTGCCTGTTCCCTGGCTGGCTTTCAGGCCCCCAGTCTCGACCCCCACCCCACGGCAGGCCTGAGCGTGGGAGCTGCCCCACAAAGCACTGTGTCCAGCTCCTGCTCCTCTCATTTTGTGCCTGGGAGAAAATGGAAACTCTGAGGGCTTCAAACTCAATGTGTTTTATGGGCCCTGTGAACCCAGCAGCCCCGTAAAGTTGCTCTAGATGGTTTCCAGGTCCTGAGACCTCCTGGGATCCCCTGACCCAGGGAACCCTGAGCTCACTGGAGAGCACTGGGCCTCAAAACCAAAGGACAAGCTGCCAGACCCATGGGACTGGGCCGCCGAGATAACTCCCTCTGCCTACCTTGCTGCCCTTGCAGCCTGAGAGAGGCAGGGAATGGCTCTCACCATGGATGGGGCCATCAGAGGACCCAGAGAGGGATTCTACCTGCAGTGATTCTCAGCAGCTTCTGGCTTTCCAAAGAAATAATGTATCAACCCAGCCAGGGCCCGGGCGCTGAATGGGCTGAAGGAGTGGCCGTGCTGCCCACCCACATGGCTCTCACAGAGGTGTGGCGGGGGCCGCTGGAGAACGGCAGCCTCCCTCTGCTTCCCTTCCCAGGAGGGCCATGGTTATAGACACAGGTTCGGAGTCAGCCCCAGCTTGAATCCTGCTTCTGCCACCAGCCCTGTGACCTGAAGCAAGTGAGTCCCAATCACCTCATCTGTGCACTGAGATGCAGAGTGGCTATTTCTACTGCATGTGGCTGTTGTGGGGACTGGGCGAGAGAGATCCCCAATAGGTGCTATGATTTTTCTCCCTGCTTTGCCCTCCAGGTAAGATGGTACCAACCATGGACCCAACAGATGGGCACATCCTGTTGTTGCCATGTCCCAGTTCTCTCTGGGGCTTTGCCCAACCCAGCTACATTCTTTCTTTCTTTCTTTTTTTTTTTTTTTTAGAGCGGAGTTTCGCTCTTCTTGTCCAGGCTGGAGTGCAATGGTGCAATCTCCACTCACCGCAACCTCCGCCTCCCAGGTTCAAGCGATTCTCCTGCCTCAGCCTCCCGAGTAGTTGGGATTACAGGCATGCGCTACCATGCCCAGCTAATTTTGTATTTTGAGTAGAGACGAGGTTTCTCCATGTTGGTCAGGCTGGTCTCGAACTCCTGACCTTAGGTGATCCACCCACCTCGGCTTCCCAAAGTGCTGGGATTACAGGCATGAGCGACCACTCCTGACCCTACATTCTTTCTTGTTCCTTGATTGTCAAGGAACTTCCAACGGAAACATCTACTTTCTTGTTCTCTAGCCATACCCGGAAGCCCCCGAGTTTTGATCTGGCCCAGGTAGACCGATCATTTCCTCCAAGTCCCCCTTCCCTGAGGAGCTGGCGTGCTTCAGTCTCACAGGTAATACCACTACTACTAATGTCCATAATAATGATAGGAATAGCTGGCATTTACGGAGGGCGAGCCCCTCATGTATTGCACGTTACACACAATTGAGTTACAGAAACAAACCCAATTCATCTTCACCACTATCTGTGACATAGGTGCCAACATTATCCCATGTTACAGATGAGGATGCTGAGGCACAGAGACAAGTAACTTGCCCAAAGTCACATAATTAAGGAGTAGCAGAGCTGGAATTCAAACTTGTGAAGTCTGGTTGTAGAGCCCCCACAATGATCATTCTTGGCACATGCTATGCATGCATTCATGAGACATGAATGGGGACTGGAAGGCACAGAGAACGTGGGACAAGAGGAGTGTCCTCCAGGCTGGACATCCACAAAGCCCAAGTGTAGATGTGTTCCGCAAATGCTGCATGCCCACTATCTCTTTTTTTTCTTTCTTTCTTTCTTTCTTTTTTTTTTTTGTGATGGAATTTTGTTCTTGTTTTACAGGCTGGAGCGCAATGGCATGATCTCGGCTCACCGCAACCTCCACCTCCCAGGTTCAAGCAATTCTCCTGTCTCAGCCTCCCGAGTAGCTGGGATTAAAGGTGCATGCCATCACACCTGGTTAATTTTTGTATTTTTAGTAGAGACTGGGTTTCATCATATTGGTCAGGCTGGTCTCGAACTCCTGACCTCAGGTGATCCGCCTGCCTTGGCCTCCCATAGTGCTGGGATTACAGGAGTGAGCCACTGAGCCCCGCCTACACGCCCACTATCATTGCCATTTTCAGATGAGGTGGGTGAGCCTGAGAGGCGGAGGAGAGGTGAGTAGCCTAGGAGCTCACAGAACTGAAGGAAGGGACCCCAGGGCCCTGCCTGCTGAGGTCCAGAGATTTCCCTGGCGGTATGATGCCCCCATGGCCTGGGCATTCTGGAGCCGACCCTGTCACCTACAATGTTATTCTCACCGTAAAGGCATCAAGGTGAGGGTGGTGCTTCCCAGGACATGCTCCCTGGACCACCTACCTGTGCCAGAGTCTCCCAGACACTTGTGAAAATGCAGATTCCTTGGTTCCATTCCTGAGCTCCTGAATTAGAACCTCCAGGGGTTGAGAAGAAGCATTAGGCTAGAAGGATTTCTGCTCGGACGTTGGAATCCATTCAGATACAGAGTCAAGGATCCCTGGGCAAGTCATTGAATTTCTCTCAACCTTCATTTTTTTTCATCTATAACTTGGAAATGATAAAACCAGTGGCTGTGAGATTCAATGAAATAGTGTGTGTGTGACTGGTGTATGGAAGAGGCCGAATCAGTGGCATGCAAGTAAAAAACTTTTTCGCTACCATCTTTCTTTTTTTTTTTTTCTGAGACAGAGTCTCGCTTTGTTCCCCAGGTTGGAATGCAATGGCGCTATCTCAGCTCACTGCAGCCTCCGCCTCCAGGGTTCAAGTAATTCTCCTCCCTCAGCCTCCTAAATAGCTGGGACTTTAGGCGCGTGCCACCACACCCGGCTAATTTTTGTATTTTTAGTAGAGATGAGGTTTCACCATGTTGGCCAGGCTGGTCTCGAACTCCTGACCTTAGGTGATCCACCCTCCTCGGCCTCCCAACATACTGGGATTACAGGTGTGAGCCACCATGCCCGGCCTCACTACCATCTTTCAAACCTGCCCTGTTGGATCTCCCTCCCCACCCCTTGAAAAGGACCTAGGGACCAGGCACGGTGGCTCACTCCTGTAATCCCTGCACTTTGGGAGGCCGAGATGGGTGGATCACAAGGTCAGGAGTTCAAGACCAGCCTGGTCAACATGGTGAAACCCCATCTCTACTAAAAATACAAAAATTAGCTGGGCATGGTGATGCATGCCTGTAATCCCAGCTACCTGGAAGGCTGAGGCAGGAGAATTGCTTGAACCCAGGAGGTGGAGGTTGCAGTGAGCCAAGATTGTGCCACTGCACTCCAGCCTGAGACAGAGTGAGACTCCATCTCAAAAAAAAAAAAAAAGGGAAAGGACCTAGGGTGGACCCACATCTCCCTGCTCTGCGTTCAGTATTAAGGAACAGGCTCGTCTTCAGCTGGTAACAGGTGCACCCAGTCTGACCCCAGGAGCTTAATCTCATGCCCAATTCAAAGTTCCTCCTCCCCCAGCTCAGGCCCATTCCCTGATTCTACTGCTGGGTGGGGAGGGGCTCAGTTGGTTCCTCTCTTACCTCCTTCCACTCCTCTAGGCTGCCCTCTGCCCACAGTCAGGCCTAGAATGGGGAGTGGAGGGCAGTGTGGAACACCAGTAGGGTCTTACCAGAACTGCTGAATCCAGGATAGGGGAGTCCTCTCAGGGTGGCAATGTGCAAACGCCAGCCTTCTCTCTTTGGGGTGTCCTGTGTCCTGTGGGCTCTTCAGTGACCCCTTTTTGCTAAGAACCTCCAACCCACAATTCATCGGCCTGGGCACGCCTCCTCTTCCTGCTGATGACTTAACCAACCCCACCCTCAAGCCCACCTGATGTCTTCAGTCTTCCCTTCAGCCCCACACAGAGGCTTTCTGTTGGGATTCCCTGATCCTGGCAAGCAGCAGACTCCTCGGACTGGTCCTTGCTGCATGGTTTGAGCCCCACTCCATTCCAGAGTGTCTACTTTGACCGACAGGAAACTTGGCTTTTGCCTGCCAAACTCTGGCAGAGAGGGTTTGCCCCTGCAGCCCCCTCTTCTCTCCCTCCAGCTTCCAGCCTCCAGATGGTGTTTCAAGTGCAAATCAGACATCTGTCCCTCTGCCCCTCAAATCCAGGACTTGCCAGGAAGGGGACAGTCCTTGCACACCAGACCTCTCCTTCCAGTCTCTGCCTCCTTTCATGCTTGGGCTAAAGGTGGTTGCCAGTAATAGAACTGGTTTGGGACCATCCCTTTCTTCTGTCCTACACAGAGACCTTAAAATGTGTGGTGTTGAGCATCCGTGGTGTGCACTTTGGGGCCTCAGCACCTAACACAAAGAAGGAGTCCATAAAGAATCCCAGACCCTTCTCTTCCTAAAACAAGGGGAGATGGGGACTCAAGGGAGGAAACAGAAGAGCAGAAACCGGGGCTACGCAAAGCATCAGGCGGAGCGGGGCACCTCCACAGGCTCCCGGAGACGGACATAAAACCAGGGATTGGGAGAGATCCGTTTTTAATTAAAAAGCCATCAAGGCCCAGGTATAAAGTATCATGACACTAACGGCTCAGGAAATCTGGAACCTTAAATCACAGCAATTTCTCCCCGGAGGGCAGGCCTGGGACCCCCAGGATTAGATAGAGGGCTTGGCGTGTGCCAAGGCAGGAAATGCTGAAGGCGAGTGCAGACTCCTCCCTGCTAAGACATTCAGATACACAGCAGCATGAGAGCTCAGAGGCTTCAGAATCCAGCTGGGTGCCATCATTTCACAAATGGGGAAACTGAGGCCCAGAGTCACACAGAGAGCAGGGGCAAAGCCAGAAGAGGAGCCTGAGCTGGAGGCCTGTCCCTGTGCCAGCCTTGAAATCGCACCCCAGGATGGAGGGCTTTCCACACTCCCCTGCCAGGGTTCTCCAGCAGGCCCTGGGGGAGGAGAACTCTGCCAGGGTCACTGAGCCCAGAGTGTTGAGTTTCTGCAGAGCTGTTGAGTGCTGGTGCTGGATGGGGCTAACCTAGAGATCTTGTAAACAGGGTGAGCCAGCTGTCCCCACAAGTAGAGGCCACCGGCACTCATTATCTAATGTGGTCCTCCCCATCTGCCTGCACCGCCTTCCAATAGGGACTCCCTGGGTAGAGGCACCTTGCCAGCCTCCCTCTACTCCAGCCTCACTTTCACCATCTCTATGCAGAGGAGGTTGAACTGGACCCTCTGTAGAGGCCCTCCCAGTGCTGACAACCTGAGATTCCAGAGTCTATCAGTCTGCTGTTCCATCCCCCAAAGAGTGGTGTTGTGAAGGCAGAAGGCAATCAGCAGGGTGAGGGGAATGATGAATGGAAAGACAGGAAGTATTTTGAGCTCCCAAGGAAAAACTGTAACACCACCCCCAGCCTTGAAGATTGCTCTGTGCCCT
This sequence comes from Homo sapiens, assembly GCF_000001405.40. Taxonomy (NCBI): domain Eukaryota; kingdom Metazoa; phylum Chordata; class Mammalia; order Primates; family Hominidae; genus Homo; species Homo sapiens. The sequence continues at coordinate 76,303,353 of NC_000011.10, forward strand.
CTAATTCTCCAGATTTCCCTCCTCAGGGCCGGCATGAGCCAAAAATCAGACACTTCATTCATTTATCCCACAAGGATTTATTGCTTCCCTGGAATGTTCTGTGCTTCTTCTACAAATCTTAAAATATCTGAGAGCATCTAGCCAAAGTGGACGGGTCTCCCTGCTGCAGCCGAGTGAGACAGGCTGCCAAATAACTACTGACCTCTTTGGCCACCTCAATAGAGATATTGTACCCAAATCCAGGGAGGTGATTTTCTCAATCTGCTCCACACTGACTAGATTCCTAGAGAGTTGTGGTGACCAGTGTGGAAGCATAACTTTGAGTGGAGCTAGACGAGGTGACCAGGGAGGTGGGAGTTCTGGAACCAGAACATGTGGGGAATGTTGAGGTTGCTGGGCCAGGTCAGCCCAGGAGAGGGGTAATCTCAGGGGACAGGGATGCTAGTTCCAAACCTCTCTAGAAGACCTCAGAGACGGCTGGTTCAAGCTCTCCCCGCATAGTCTCCCTGGTTGATAAACCCTTATCCAGCTCACGTTCTTCCTGTGGCAGGGAGCTTCCTTCCACCTGGCAGTTGCTTCCACAGTAAGAAGATGTGGGCTGGTAGAAAGTTCCACTTATAGTCGGGTGTGGTGCCTCACGCCTGTAATTCCAGCACTTTGGGAGGCCAAGGTGGGCAGATTGCCTGAGCTCAGGAGTTCGAGACCAGCCTGGGCAACACGGTGAAACCCTGTCTCTACTAAAATACAAAAACTTAGCCAGTCATGTTGGCATGCGCCTGTAGTCCCAGCTACTCGAGAGGCTGAGCCAGGAGAATTGCTTGAACCCAGGAGGTGGAGGTTGCAGTGAGCTGAGATCATGCCACTATACTCCAGTCTGGGTGACAGAGCAATACTCCATCTCAAAAAAAAAAAAGTTCCACTTATTTGTGGTACCCCCACTGGTTACATCTGTGTTGATCTCTGCCAGATACCAAGCTGGGTGCTTTATCAAACCTTTTACATTTAATTTTCACTGCCCTGAGAAGTAAAACTTATACTCCATTTTCTACAAATTCTGAGGCTCAGACAAGTCAAATAATTCACTCAAAGTCCCACAGCTAATAAGACCAGAACTGGGGCTCAATCTTGTATCTCTCTGGTTCCAAAGCCATTTACATCAGAGTGTTCACTTCTTTCCTGCTTCAACCACATGGAACTTCTTGTCCTTTTCCAAACTCATGATATCCATTCATGAGTCACTGCCTTTGCCTATGAGCTCCTTTTGCCTGGAGTGTCCTCCCTCCATGTCCAGGAGAGAAAAACTTCTATTCTGAGGGTTATGACTTTCTTCACTACTGTTTCACACACACACACACACACACACACCCCTAGCCAAAGTGGGTGGGTCTCCCTGCTGCAACTGAGTGAAAGACAGGCTGCTAAACAACTACTGATCTCTTTGGCCACATCAATAGAGATATTGTACCCAAATCCACGGAGGTGATTTTCTCAATCTACTCCATATTGACTAGATTCCTAGAGAGTGGTGGTGACCAGTGTGGGAGCATAACTTTGAAGTGGAGCCAGAGAAGGTGACCAGGCTCCACTCAAAGTTATGCTACACACACACACACACACACACACACACACACACCATCTGTGCCTATTATGTTTTCTGACACATAGCAGACACTGTCTAATCAATACATGAATGCATCAAAAATTCCAGTCCTCAACTCAACTCTCACCCACTCAGGGAAGTCTCCCCTGCCTCCTGCCTACAGGGGCTGCTGCAGGCCCCCTCCCTGCTCCCACCGTCTCCACCACCACCCGCATCCCTACCCCATACACACCCCCCAGCTGACCACTGGCGTCTCTCCTGACATGGCCTTGGCACGGAGGAGGAACCCAGAAAGGAACGTGGAGTGCACTGTAATGTTAGACCCCTAATAAAACTGAAAGATGACTATATCTAATCCTCTATTGTTACGAAAGAGGAAACTGAGGCCTGGAGAAGGCAGAGTTGGGAGGACAGGAATCCAAGCTCCAAATCCCCATCCTATTAAATGTCCTTACCAAAGAAAGAAAAAGGCCAATCAGATGAAGAGGAGGCCTGTGGGGGCTTAAGGGTCTGAGCTGGCGCTAAGTCCCACCTCGGGTCAGCCATCCCCGTAGTGGAGCTTGTAAGACCTGCCTCTGGGGCCCTGGAGGGGTGAGCTGGGGGTCAGCAGGAGTTACTCAGGCTCCTGCCTCCCCACAGAGGCCTTTTATTTTCCAAGCCAAGTGCCTCCTCCTTGCACTGGCTGGAGGAAAGGCCTCGGTGGGTGCTGAGTGGAAGGCTGAGGTTCAAAGGCTGCCTGTAGCAGGCGCCGGCCCTTAGCTTCCACCATAAATTTACAACCCCCAAATGGCCCTGCATCCTTCAGGGAGGAGGAGAGGTGGCGAAGGCAGGTTTTTCCATGGCTGGCCCCACTGCTCTACAGAGTCAATGACTTGTTGGAAAGTCTGAGTGAGACAAAGTGGTCCATCCATGCTGAGGGAAGTGGTGGGCCTGACCTGGGTGTAAAGGGTCTGCCCGAGGGGCCTCACTTGGGGGCATCTCCGGACAGGCTTATAGCCTGCCCCCATCTAATCAGGCCATTTCCTGCTTAGCACAAGCTCCCACACCCCATAGGATGAAGTTCAAGCCCTGGATCAAGAATCAAAAACCAGGGGTGGGTGGGGTGGAGGAGAGAGGTTAACTCCTTACCTCCAACCCCTGGGGGGCCTCTCTGGGCCCAGAGCCATGTGAGCCTGGCAGAAGCTGCCAATCCTACAGATGGCAGCCAGGATCCCAAAGTGGAGTGTCTGGGCAGCAGCGGAAGTGGGCAGCACAGTCAGATTGATGGATGGTTGCAGGTTGGGGCCCAGCCCCGCTGCCGTGCTCAGCCTGGGACCACCCCTGACACCCTCCTCTGTCTTCCTCACCTTCATGGCCCTCAGAAGCCAGTATCCACACTGGCCTCTGCTTGGTAGGGCAAGACTTCCGCACCAGAAACTGCAGAATCCCTGAGCATCAGATGCAGGAGGGGCCCGGGGTCCCTGACACCATGTCTTGCCTTTTGCAGAATGGGCAACTGAGGTTGAGAGAAAGGAAATAACTTGTCCCAGGCCAGCAGCTGAGTCACGACCAAGGCACTTCGTTCTTCATCTAGTGCGGCCTGTGCAGGTGAGTGATGACCCAGCCCAGGCTAGGGACTGGGACAGAGTCACAGCAGGAGAGCTGCCGGCAACTCTCAAATTATCTCACCTCCCCTGATGCCACCTTCATGCCAGGCCTGGCCTGGCCCTGGGGCCTGGTGCTGATGGTATCTGCCTCTGCCCTCCTAGTCATTTCCTGGCAAGACAGACCACCACATTCTGAGTGCTAAGTGCAGGGGTGGGGAGAGGATCGAGTGCTGTCTAGGGAAAGTGAGGAAGAGGAGGTCCTAAGCAGGGGAACAGCACGGGCAAAGGCCGTGCCCAGCTGGGGAGCTGCAGGTGGATTCGGTCTCTCTAGAATATAGGGTGGGAGTCAGGTGGAAGGAAGATAACCAGGAGATGAAGCACGAGAGCCAGGTGAGTGAGGCTTTGTGAGCCGCATTAAGCAGGTGGGCTTTATCCTGAGCCTGGGAAGGGTTCGAGGACGTCCTCACAGCCAGCTGCAGCAGAGTCACCTGTGGCCCAGGTGCCCAGCTCTCCCCTGCACCTGCCCACTCAGCAGAAAGACCCATGGGTCCCCTTACTGGGGAAAGTGAGGCACTGAGGTCTGGCCATGAGCCAAGGCCACCCCAAATGACCTTGTCAAGTTTCCTCCCTGGAACCTTGGGAAACTTGTTCTTAGCCAGGCCTGCCAGACCTCACCTCGAACCAGGAATCAGCTTCCTCAAGTCTTTATTTAATTAAGGTAATTTTCTCCCAACCTGCACATCAGACTGAAAACAAAACAACAGCCTAGGCCTTTCCCTCCGCTGCTGGGGACTGGCTTTCCCACCAGGAGGGCGCAGCCTCCACATTAACCTCCCCAAGGCCTGGGCCTGGCCCAGGGTAGGTGGGTCAGGCCGGCCCCCCCATGGCCAAGGAGGGGGCTGGAGCATAGTGTCCATATAAATTAATTTAATTGGGCCCTATTATCACTTTGCTCCAAGCCTGCAAGCCTAATCTAGCGTTGAAGTAATTCATTGGGTGTGAAGTGTCCTGGAGCCAAGACTTCCCTCTGCTCACGGAACAAACCTCTCCACGCTTGGCCCAGGCCCTGGGCCACTGCAGCCTAGCTCAGCAGAGGGGCTGTGTGGGGAGCAGGGCGGGCGGGGGAGGCATTAAAATAGCTCTTTGCCTTGGCTACATCCCCTGACTTTCCCAGAAGGAGGCTCTAGCCCACACCCCACCTCCCAACACACACACAGCCACATGTCAGGGTGACGGTCGGACCCTCACGGACCTAGAAGATGGCTGAAGAGGTCCAATGAGACCTGGGTGAACCCCCAAATACTCCAAAATTTTGGACAAGTATTTTTTCGCCTTTCTCTGCCTCAATTTCCCTTCTTGCAAAATTTTCTGGCTTCTCCCTTTAGTAGCTATGTGACCTTATGCAAGTTATAAGACTCAGTTTCCTCATCTATGAAACACAGAATCCAATAATGACCATCTTATAATGCTACTGGAAGGGCTGAATACATTAATATGCATAAGGTGATCTGAACTATGCCTGGCATACAGTAAGCACTGCATAAATGTTTGCTCATTCCTATTGTGAGATGTGGGTGGGATGGGAGCAGAGAGCCCTCTGTGCAACTGTGATTGCTGAGGCCAAGGTACACATTGTCATTATAATTTCAGAGAAGTAGGAGGGTGTGGGACGGTGTGGTTCCCACGGAAGTTCTCTCCCAGGATTAGGGCCCCTGAGAGCTGAGAGAATGCAAGTTGCCCAGCACAGTGTTGTTATGATTAGATTTGCATAACTTATGGTGCAATTATTTGTACCCTGATGCCAAGCTCATTAAGCAGTCAGGCACCATGAACCCACTGGTTGAGGCCCAATCTGAAGGGGAGACGTGGCTTGGGGGCTCTAGGGGGCCCTGCTCTGGGGGCAGAAGAGGACACTCATGCTTGAATGCAAGTGTGCATACCACATACCCACAGGGGGCCCAGGCACTGCCCGGGTCTCATCAGGAACAGGTAAGGGCCATAGGCCCTAAAACGATTAGGGAGGCTGAGGATTTACTGGTCTGCCTGCCCATTCCTTTACCCCTCCTGAAATACCAGCTGACTTTTGCAGGGCTTTTGTGCTCCAGAGCCTGGGCCTGTGTTAACCCCTGCCATCTGAGCCATGCAGCATCATGAAAGACAGCATCGATTAGCACTACTCCTAGTATTAACACCCATTTAATGGCTTTAGCACCCAGGCCAGTCTCCGGGGAGGTTAATGGGCAACACAGTGAGACCCCCATCTCTACAAAAACTTTTTAAAAATTAGGCACGAGGCTGGGTGCAGTGGCTCATGCCTGTAATCCCAGCACTTTGGGAGGCTGAGGCGGGCGGATCACAAGGTCAGGAGATGGAGACCATCCTGGCTAACACGGTGAAACTCTGTCTCTACTAAAAATACAAAAAATTAGCCGGGCATGGTGGCATGTGCCTATAGTCCCAGCTACTCAGGAAGCTGAGGCAGGAGAATCGCTTGAACTCAGGAGGCGGAGCTTGCAGTGAGCCAAGATCGTGCCACTGCACTCCAGTCTGGGCAAGACTCCGTCTAAAAAAAAAAAAAAAATTAGGCAAAATGCTGCATGCCTGTAGTCCCAGCTACTCAGGAGGCTGAGGCAAGAGGATCACTTGAGCCCAGGAGTTTGAGGCTGCAGTGAGCCATGATCATGTCACTGCATTCCAGCCTGGGTGACAGAGCGAGACCCTTTCTTTTAAAAATGAACAAATAAAAAATAAATATAAATATAAAATTAATCCCCATTTAATGGATGGGGAAAGTGAGGGTTGGTTGGTCCAACCAAAATTTCTCCCTAATAAGCACAAAAGTGAAACCAAAGGCTTCTCCCCACTGTTATTTACTCCCCAGTTCAGAGATCATAGGATACGCGTCCTATCATTTGTGGAAATAGCTGGGAAACAGCAAAGGAATCCTGGGCTGGGAGTTGGTAAATCTGAGTGAGTCCTTTCACCTCTCTGGCTTCAATCTCCCCATCAGAGCCATGGGAGTGATAATCTCTTTCCCACTGGGCCGCTGTGCAAATTGGATGGGCTCAGGGACTTACAACACCCCTATGCGGGGCTTGGCACCCACTAGGTGCCCACAAGACAAAATAGCATCTGAATTCAGCCCCAGAAACACTAAACCAGGAGAATACTCAAGTGGCTCCTGACACACCCCAACCTCTGGAAGAAAAGGCTTCTTGGTCAGAAACCATTGCCTTCTGCATGTCGCCTGTCACCTATAAGGAGACTCCCCACATGTTGCCAGACAGGGTAGAACGCAAGTTGCCCAGTGCACTGTGAAGTGAGCATCCCAGCTTCACTACCCGAGGTGAAACCTTCCTTGTTCTGTAGCCAATGGTGCAATTATTTGTAACCCAGTGGCTGGGAGGTGGAGGGTGGCTCTGCTCCTCCTTCCCCTCTCCTCCCTCAACACCCAGGGCTCAGCAAAATCCAGGCGGAGCAGGTCAGGCAAGATTCACCCAGGGCGCTGTGGCAGAAGCAGCTGTAACCCGCTCCATCTCCAAAACACCCCCAAGTGCAGACCAGAGATGGCCTGGCTGAAACAGGGCTGAGAGGCATCCTCTACACCCTCCCTGAGGGCTGCCAGCGCCCTGGAAAAGTGGTGGCAGCTCACATCTCAAGTCAGGGACTCTCCCCCGACCTCACTCCCATTCTCCACCTTGAATTCTCTCCCTCCTGGGATCCTCCCATCAACACTTATCAGCTGGATATCACCGTGCAAGTCACTAGAGCTTTTCAAGCCTCCATGTCCTCATCTTTAAAATGGGCTAAGAAACTATCCCTCCTGCCAGGCGCGGTGGCTTACACCTGTAATCCCGGCACCTTGGGAGGCCAACACGGGTGGATCACCTGAGGTCAGGAGTCCGAGACCAGCCTGGCCAACATGTCAAAGCCCCATCTCTATTAAAAGTACAAAAATTAGCCGGGCGTGGTGGCGGATGCCTGTGATCCCAGCTATTCGGGAGGTTGAGGCACGAGAATTGCTTGAACCTGGGAGGTGGAGGTTGCAGTGAGCCAAGATCACGCCACTGCACACTCTAGCCTGGGCAATAGAGTGAGACTCTATCTCAAAAAACAAAAAAAAAAATTGTCTCTCCTCACAGAGTTGTGAGAACGACCTGCAGTGTAAGTAAAGCACCTGAGGAAGTGCTTGGCAAACAGTAACAGAGGGCTGGGGAGCTGGGGGTTTTGTTTTGTTTTGTTGTTTAGCCTGTCTAACCCACAGTCCTGGGAATGGCAGGCCCAGCTCTGCTCACTTGTCTTCCCCCTCAATCATACCACTTACATCACCTGCCGGCTCTTGGCCAGTACCCAGGCTGTGCCTCTGAAGGGCACGGGGGCCAGGGATGCTACCAGGGGCCGAATCATGAGGACAGCTCTGATTCGGGGGGGCCTGAGAGCCCCCACACTCTATACACAATGGTATGGCCCCCAGAGGCAGCATTTGCAGTGCCCCTCCATGTACCAGGTGAGGCCAAGTACCAGACCTGGCAGAGGAACCAGCCCTCGCTGCTCCTCCAATGCACCCCCACGGTGCTGGATTATTGAATTCTCTGGAGTACCCCTCAGCCTCTCCAGTGCTCAGCTGCCTCCACGGCTCCCCACGGGGAAAGCAGGTGCCAAAGGAGGAGAAGTTTGGAAGCAGAGAGATAATTATAAGGCTGATGGGTGAGCCGTATGATGACAGGAAAGCCTGTGACTCCTGTGAGCCTCAGTTTCCCCACATGCCACGCATGGGTGATGACACATGCCTCCCATGTGCGATGCTAGGCCTTCCAGGTCCCTCTTCAGAAATGAAGTGCTGGGAGTGCAGGAAGACAGCCCCCAGCTGTCAGCACTTCGGCAAAATCAGCTCTGCTGAAGAAAGCTGCCTTGGCCAAGATCACTCCCTCTTCTAGGGGCAGCTTCCACCAATGACTGACCAGCTTGCAGGGAGGGGAGACCCAGCCCCTCACCTCAAACTGGGGCAACTCTGAGTCTTGTCTCAGGTCCAGAGCTCCCGCAGGGGCCAGCTGAGGCCTTCATACGACTATCACAGCCTCCTGCTTCCTCCCCTCCCTTTAGTAGGGATGATTCCAGGGACACCCCTCATCAGCCAGCCAGGAGCTGCCTCTCAGGGAAGCCAATCTGTGATCAATGCCATGTGAGAAGTGGCAAATACTTGTCCCAGTTTGTCTCTATTTCCTGGGCATTTCTCTGCCAACATGAGCCTCCCTCATTGGGATCCAGGCTCCCTGAGGGCCAGGACCCTGCTTATTTTTGTTCATCACTGTATTTTCATGCCAGGTAGATGGTAGGCACTTAACAAATGTGGACAGAAAGAAAACAGGCAGGAAATGGAGATCTTAGGATGATTTTTTTTTTCTTTTCGAGTCGGGGTCTTGCTCTGTCGCCCAGGCTGGAGTGCAGTGGTGCGATCTCAGCTCACTGCAACCTCTGCCTCCCAGGTTAAAGTGATTCTCCTGCCTCAGCCTCCCAAATAGCTGAGATCGCAGGCGCCCACCACCACCGAGTAGCTGAGATCACAGGTGCCCACCACCACACCCGGCTAATTTTTGTATTTTTAGTAGAGATGGGGTTTCGCCATGTTTGCCAGGCTGGTCTTGAACTCCTGACCTCATGATCCACCTGCCTCGGCCTCCCAAAGTGCTGGGATTACAGGCGTGAGCAACTGCGCCCGGCCAAGGATGGTCTTAAGGGAGGAAGGAAGGCAGTCAGAAGGGACACAGGAGAACCCACTAGACTCAGGTTCAGGTGAGAATAACCCCAGGATAGTGCTGTTCAAACTGAGAGCTGATGGGAGGGAAGACACTGGCCAGCGGTGGCCGCCGTGAGGAGCGGACGGAGGGGCAAAAGGACATATTCTTCCAGGCACAGGCAAAGGCTCTGAAGCAGGAGTTTGAGGAGCTGAAAGAAGGCTGGGTGTAAAGCCCAGGGGGGTCACGAGATGAGGCCGGAGAGGTGGGCACAGCTGGACACTGCCCCATGGAACATGGCCTGAGCCTCGAGGCAATGGGAGCCTGAGAGTTTTAAGCAGAGAGAGACAGGGTTTGGTCTGCGTTTGGAAAGATCTTGTTGCCACTGTGGAGGAGGGGTGAGAGGAGACTGTCACGGTCCAGTGTGACTGTGCTTCCATGACTGTGACGATGGTGGAGACGGGAGAATTGGCAACAGCAGCTTATTTGGAGGCAGTATCCTCAGATTTTTACTGCTTGCTTGTTTGGGTGTCAAGGGTGAGTGAGAGGAGAGAGGAATCTAGGAAGATGTGTAGATTTTAAGCCCTGGATGGATCATGGGGTCATTTACTGACCTGGGGAAACCTGAGAGAGAAGCAAGTAGCGGGTAGGGTGGGGGACAGATCAAGTGTTCTAGTTGGAGAAACCTATGGGACACCCAAAGGGCAAAGTCAGGGCGTCTGTGAGATATAAGGTCTGGACCTGGGAAGAAGTGCCCAGGTTGAGGACTGAGATGTGAGGGCAGCTTGGAGGTGGATTGTGAGTCTTTGAAGGGAGGACCCCGTGGGAGTCTGCTCAGCAGTCCCACATAGCCTAGGCCTGGGACAGAGACCATGCTGGGTAAATGTTTGCTGGCTGGATAGGTGTGTGGATGGACGAATGAATGGATGGTGGGGGATGGATGGAAGAATGGGGGGATGGATGGGGGGTTGGAGGGATGTGGGGATGGATAGACGGATGGATGGATAGATGACTGATGGTGGATGGATGAACTAACAAATAGATGTGTCCTCCCCTGTACATCCATGGGTTCCCTAAGGGTAGAGACTGGGCCCTCTCTTGATGCCCACAGCGCAACCCAGGCCTGAAAAATAACCAGTGCACAGAATGCTCCTCTTGCTACCACTTTCACTGTGAGGGTGATGGAGCAAGAGTGAAGAGGAAGTGGGGAGGAACAAGGGACAGCCAGGCCCCTCACTCTACAGACAGAGAGCTGAGGCCAGAGAGAAGCGGAGCCAGGGCCCGGCTCCCAGCTGGTGCCTTTTCCATAGTGCCCAGCAGCACCTCCACCTCTCCAGGCACCTTCAGGAGTACCAGGCAACAGCTATCCCCCTGAAACAGATAAAGAAACTGAGGCCCAGAGGAAATCACCCACTTGCCCAAATTCATACCTCGAGATAGCACTAGGGATTAAAATAAACCAGTTTGGAGTTTAAGACTTGAGTCCAGATTCCCAGCTGGGGCACCAGTCACTGGGCACTCGGGGCTGTTCCAGCCCCTCCCTCCATGGGTCTCACTTTCCTCAGTAACAGAGTAATGATGGGGAGTCCAGCCCTCTGGGGTGTGGGGTGGCTGGGCTGGGTGTGGCACAGGCTTGGAAACCTGCAGAGCATTGTAGAGGCTTTTTGATCCTGTGGGTGGATTGCAGGGCTCGGCCCCCAACTCTGGCCCCCAGCAAGTCCTGGCTGATGTCAGCAGGTCTGCTGGCCAAGCTAGCTTGCTTGGGGCAGAGAGATGAGAGCTAAGATGGAGCGTTTCTGAGATGAGGCAATGCGACGGACGCAGTGTGAAGGGAATGCAATTTGACGGGCCCTTCCTCCACCCTCGGTAGGCGGGGCTCAGGCTGAGGGGACAAGCACAGGGAGGCAGCTTCAAGCTGAGCATCTGCCAGTGGCGCTTAGCCCCTCCCTCGTTACCTGTTTCTCAGGGGCAGCTGAAGGGTCCCATGGCCACAGAGCACAGACCGGGCATGTGAAACCAGAGTGGAATGGGGCTTTGCCAGCTGGTGGCAGAACTGAAGCCCAAGGCTTGCAGGCTAGGGATATTTGCACTGCTTGTTTTATTTATTCATTCATTCATTCATTCATTCATTCATTCATTCAACAACCTTTCCTTCTGGCCCTGTCATGGGAGCTGCAGACTCGGAGAGGAATCAAACAACCCCCTGCCTTCAGGAACTCCTGGTCTGGTGGGGGAACAACCACATAACTAGTTGATGACAACATGGAACTTGTGTCACAACAATTCACAAGGGCTGGGGAGCCCAGAGCAGGGCCCAATCCAGGCTCCAGTGCAAGGAAGCTTCCTGAAGGAGGCTGAGTCGTAGGAGAAGAGGGGCTCCAGGGCTACATCCCAGCAGGGCAGGGAGTACAGAGAGATGACAGGAACTCGCAGAGGGGACACCCTCCGCTAACTAATTCAGGCCCCACCCTAATCCCCAGTTGTCTTCCCGCTTCTCAGATTTGCTTCGCCTACATCTCAAAGGTGGTGGGAACAAGCATGCTCTGCCCACAGGTACCCGAGCGGAGCCTCCCCTCACATCAGCAGCTCTCTCCACACAGTGTGGTTTCCAACAGGGCCAGTGCTGAATGCCAAGAAGGGCAGGTCATCTCAGCAGCTCCCAGTCCTAAGAACTAGTTCATTTGCTCACAACAAGTATTGACTGAGTCACTACTATGTGTTAGTTATTCTTACCAGTTAGAGTCACTTTAAGAAAAAAAAAAATGAATGAATATTGCTTCCCTATGCATGAATAAGGACAGCTTAGGAAAAGGTGAGAAACTGGATTCTGAAAGACATTCAAGTGCTGATTCCACTTTTAGTGGCTTGGCAATTCAGGATCTCAGCTGGTTGATGGGGATGGTAACACCTCACGGAGCGGCTATGAGGACTCTGGTGGAGGAGGGCTTTACACCACGCAGGGGCTCAGTAAAAGTGTATCTCCTCTCATGAGCAGCACCCTCCCCACACCTCCCTGGGCAGGGAGTGGGAGTTTCAGGGATGAGGCAGGACCAGAGGCAGCAGGAGAGGCTCTGGGGCATGCTAATACTTGCCTGACTTCCCCACTCAAGCTGGGATGATGCTTTACCCTTCGTGTTCCCTGGCGTGAGTTGGCGGTACCATCCCAGGGGCCAATCTGACTTTTCCCACCAGGAAACCAGCAGGGACTCTCACTGAAGCCCACAGCTAAGGACCAGTGCCAGAGGCCCTGCTGTTCAGAACTGGGTGGTGCTTGGAAGAGTCACCCTGCCCTGAGACTGAAGACCCAGGGGAAAGGTTTACCCTCCAGAAGTGGCTGGACCCCTTGGCTGAGTCAAGGAGAAGCCCCGACCACAACCCCAAGGGACCCGTAAGAGGTAGCCTCCCAGCAAGAGGCTGACCTCACCAAGTGGTGTGATGCTGGCAGGGGTGGTAATAGGAAGGTGGGCATCAGATTGCACTGGGCATCACCACCAAGCAGACACTCTCCAGCAACTCCCCACACTGTCCTGCCCCAAACACACCCCCAAGAAGGATGGCTGCAGCTAGGCCACAGGGTAGACTAAAGGAAGTTCTTTAGCATGCTCACCCGGAAGGCAACCTGAGTGCTCCCTCCTGGGAATAAAGATGAAGCTGCAGGCTGGGCATGGTGGCTCACGCCTATAATCCCAGCACTTTGGGAGGCCGAGGCGGGTGGATCACTTGAGGTCAGGAGTTTAAGACCAGCCTGGTGAACGTGGTGAAACCCAGTCTCTACTAAAAATACAAAAATTAGTTGAGTATGATGGTGGGTGCCTGTAATCCCAGCCACCCAGAAGGCTGAGGCAGGAGAATCACTTGAACCCAGGAGGCAAAAGTTGCAGTGAGCCAAGATAGCGCCACTGCACTCCAGTCTGGTGATAGAGCAAGACTCTGTCTCAAAAGAAAAAAAAGATGGGCCAGGCGCAGTGGCTCAAGCCTGTAATCCCAGCACTTTGGGAGGCTGAGGCGGGTGGATCACGAGGTTAGGAGTTGAAGACCAGCCTGGCCAACATGGCGAAACCCCATCTCTACTAAAAATACAAAAATTAGCCAGGCGTGGTGGCAGGTGCCTGTAATCACAGTTGCTTGGGAGGCTGAGGCGGAGAACTGCTTGAACCTGGGAGGCGGAGATTGCAGTGAGCCGAGATCGCACCACTGCACTCCAGTCTGGGCGACAGAGCGAGACTCTGTTTCAAAAAAAAAAAAAAAAGAAGAAGAAGCTGCAGCTGCCCAGCCAAAGAGGCTGCACCAAATGACCACCAAAGGGCTCCCTAAAGGATCTGAACACTTGCCTTGGAAGAACAGGAGGGAGTGTGCTTTGTGCCGTAACCAAGTCAGACTTTTCAGGAGTTCTTGGTTCTGGGCCTGTGTTCGTTGTGGGATGTGGGCAGGCCCAACCCTTTCTGAGCCTGAGACACCAAGGGCCCTTCTACCTTTGACTTCTATGTAGCATCAAAACTGGGCACCCAAATACAGAGGCCCCTTGGGGGACTTCAGGCTAAAATTTCCCTTATTGATGCCTAGAGAGGAACAGGGATAAGATCAAGGTCATGCAGCAAGTTGAGGACACTCCCATCATTGGTACAGTGACCTAGAATCCTGAGTCCACTCTGCTGGCCTCTGCGTTTGCCCTTCCATGCTCCTGGGTTTTTCTGCAACAAATATTTGCAGTTTGTTACCATGGTTTTTTGTTTTGTTTTGTTTTTTTCTGAGGCAGAGTTACTCTGTCACCCAAGGTGGAGTGTAGTGGTGCAATCTTGGCTCACTGCAGCCTCGACCCGCCAGGCTCAAGCAATCCTCCCACCTCAGTAGCTGGGACTACAGGTGCATGCCACTGCTCCCAGGTAAATTTTGCATTTTTAGTAGAGATGGGGTTTTGCCATGTTGGCCAGGCTGGTCTCCAACTCCTGGGCTTAAGCGATCCGCCCACCTCAGCCTCCCAAAGTGCTGGGATTACAGGCATGAGCCACTGCACCCAGCTCGTTACCACATTCTGCCCACCTATCTTCATGGGCAGCCCATCACTGCTTACTTCTTGCTTCCAGGCACCCAGCCTACTGACCACAGGGCCCCTTGAAAGGCCTTGGTATTAACATTTTGGCCGGGCCTGATCCCAGACCATGTGCTGCTTGCCCCACTGGGCCTTGCCTCTCCCTGGATCACTGGGTCGGCCTCTTGGCTGGCCTCCAGCTGCTGGTCTCTACCTCACAGCAGCCACAGAAGTGCTTCTGGTACTCAAGTCTGCCCAGGTCCCTGCCTGACTTGGAACAACTGGAGACTTCCCATGCTCTAAAACAGGGAGGGAACCTGACTTCTTGAGGGCGCAGGCACCTGAGTGGCCTCCTGATAGCTCCACATTAGCTTTGCTCAGACCCTGGGAGATTTGGCCGCTGCTGCCCTGTAGCTCCTGGGAGCAGTCTCACCATGCTGAGCCCATCCCTTTAGCTGCCTGTGGCCTTGCTATGCCAGGCAGCCTGATGAGCCTGGTTTCTATCACTCTCTTGCTGTGTGACTTTAGGCAAGTCACCTCTCCTCTCTGTGCTTCACTCTCTTCTGCAAAACAGAGTTAGTAATTCCAGTGTGACCCCACCAAGCTGTTGTTAGGATTTCGAGGCTGTGCATGGAAGTACCAGCACGGTGCCTGGCCCATTGCGGTGTACCGTGATCTGGTAAGGATGCTCTCAGAGTGCACCTGTCATTCAGTCATTCATCCAAAAGGACAGCACAAAGCTCCCATGGGGGCCAAGCCCCGTGCCACGGGGAGCAATGTGAATCAGGTGCCAGAGTCCCCACCCTGAAGGCGCTCTGGGTGATTCAGCAGAGAAGATGGGTGCAGGGACCCTCAGTCACACAGTGTGGTCACAGCTGTGGCAGCCCAGAAGGGGCACCTAAGCCCCCATACCTTGGAGGACCCCACTGAGTCATGGAAGGTGAGAAAGAGTGCGACATTAGGATCGGCATGGATAAGTCATGACGGCCAGGGTGAGCAGGGGCCTGGGAGCCCAGAGCAGATCTGCATCTGCTAAGCAGCATTTAGGGATGATGGGGGGCAGGGAAGGGTTTAACGGAGTGGGGGTGGTGATCGCTGGATCTGTGTGTGAGGGAAAATCCCTGGGCTGGGTGGGGGATGGATGGGGTGGGGAAAGGTATGGGCAGGCATGGAAGAGACAACACAGCCATCTGTGAGGAGGCTGGGACAGTGGTCCAGGCCAGGTAGATGGTGGGAACCGAGAGGAGAGGGGGCAATGGGGAGGGCAAGAGGAGGCAAACGGGAGGGATTTAGGAGAGGGAAGGGATGGGATGAACTCCCACATCAGGCACTGGAACCACCCCTGAGCTACTAACCCATTCAGTGACTCAGGCAAGCCCCTCCCCCTTGGGGGCCTCAGTTTACCTACATGTGAAATAGGACATGGGCCAGAAAATCCCTGGAGGCCCTCTCTACTCACACATCCTGTGGCTCTGTAAAGCAAGTGGCCTTCCCTGCTTCTGGAGGAGGAGGAGCAAAGCCCATCCCCACCCTACCCCTCCAAGCCTCATCCCTGGAGATGGGGCCCAAGCCCCAGGGCCAAGTGGGACAAGGGGTCTGACCCACTTAGGTGAGGGCAGGTAGCAGCGCCCTGGAGGCTGCATACACAGAGCTGCAGCGCCACCTACTGTCCATGTGGGAAGAGGCCACCAGTCCCAGGAGCCCGGCTCTGACCTAAATAAATCCCAGTGGACTGAAGCACAGCTAAGAGTTCCTACCTGGGCCCACTGGCCCAGTTCCCTCCCCGCCACCCCCAGGTCTCTCCAGATGGCTCGATGAATGCAAGATGCTTCCTTCTGTAATGGATTCTGACCACATCATTCTCTTGCTCAGAAACCTTTCATGGTTCCTCACTGCCCTTGGAGTCCATGCTTGCTCCTTAGTTGGCATTCAAGGCTCTTCCCATCCGGGCCTCTGCTGACCTCTGATGCCCCATTTCCTATACAGCAAAATACTCACCAGCTCCTTAAACGTTCCATACTTTCCCCAGTCTTGTGGCTTTGTATTAGGTTGGTGCAAAATTGCAATTTTTGCCTTTAGTCAACAGCAAAAACCACAATTACTTTTGCACCGACCAATATATATTCTTTTTTTTTGTGTTGAAACAGAGTCTTGCTCTGTCGCCCAGGCTGGAGTGCAATGATGTGATCTCAGCTCACTGCAACCTCCACCTCCCAGGTTCAAGCAATTCTCCTGCCTCAGCCTCCCGAGTAGCTGGGATTACGGGCACACCTCACCACGCCCAGCTAATTTTTGTATTTTTAGTAGAGACGAGGTTTCACCATGTTGGTCAGGCTGGTCTCGAACTCCTAACCTCGTGATCCACCCACCTCGGCCTCCCAAAGTGCTGGGGTAACAGGCGTGAGCCACTGCGCCTGGCCCCCGATATATATTCTTGCCTCTGCTTGAAATAACTTTCTCTGCCTTCTTGGCTTAAAAACCAGTGCAGGCCAGGCGTGGTGGCTCACACCTGTAATTCCAGCACTTTGGGAGGCCGAGGAGGGTGGATCACTTGAGGCCAGGAGTTCGAGACCAGCCTGGTCAACATGGTGAAACCCTGTCTCTACTAAAACAACAAAAATTAGCCAGGGGTGGTGGCACATGCCTGTAGTCCCAGCTGCTCTGAGGTTGAGCAAAAGAATTGCGTAAACTGGGAGGTGGAGATTGCAGTGAGCCGATATGGTGCCACTGCACTCCACCCTGGGCAACAGAGCAAGACTCCATCTCAAACAAAACAAAAAGTGCCAGTGCAAAGTCACCTCCTCCATGAGTTGCCTTCCTCAATATACCTTTCTCCCCAAGTTCACTACTGGGCACACAGCCTGCTCTCGATAAAAGTTCAATCCCATCTTCCTCTGGGTCCCCATAGTTCCTGTGCTGTCCTTTATCCCTGCATAGGCCAGGAATGTTTCTGTACCCATCTCTTGCCCTCCCCAGGCTCTGAGCTCAAGGGAAGAGACTGTGTGTGACCCATTGCTTCTCAGCATAAGGTCTGGTGTTCAATACATTTGCATTTATTAAGCATCTACTATGTGCCATTAGACTAGATGTTTTCCCGTGCTTTACCTCATTATAGACTTAAGTCACCTGTGTTGAACATGGGAGTCTTGACCACTTTGTTCCTGCTCTTCCTGTCAGCCAAAATGCCTTCCCATGAGCTTGCCACATAACCATGGGTGGCTCACTGGACTTTCATCTGGGCAAAGAGAAGGGTGTGCTGACACTACTCATGGCTCCTTCATCTGGGACCTACCCAAATCCCGTGGCTTTGCTCACAATCATCTGATCCTGTTGTGCCCAAGATGCCTGCTCCCATGCCTGGATACCTGCTGCAGCTGCTCCAAGCCAGGACCCTGCCAATCTGTCATTTTAGATCTTCAGCTCTGGGTTGGTCTTCCAGGTGCCTCTGCCTCCCAAGGAAACCCAAGGAACTCCGCCAGAAAGGGAATGCCTAAAAGAGCAGCAGTGGGGACTGTAGGGGTCCTCCTGCCTGCCCCTTTGTTATCCAGAGTGGGGCCCTGACTTGCCTGAAGTCACACAGGGACTCCGGTATTCCAATCCTCGGCCTTAAGATCGCTGCTATCCGGTTACTTCTATCTAAAAGCCCTAGAGAAGTTTCGGGAGACACTCAAAGGGCCCTTGTCTGGTTTCCAGGCTGACCAACTCTAATGGAGAAAAAGCTCACTCACTAAGCATACATCAAATGCCAGGCGTATAGAATCCTTCAGTGGAGGGATCATTCTCCCCATTTTACAGAGGAATAAAGTGAGGCTCAGAGTGAATGAAAGACTTTCCCAGGTCACATGTCTGCAGTAGAACTGGGGTTCTCGGGTGGCCTTGATCACCATGCTCGGCTCCCTTGAAGGCTGACGCACACAAATTAATTCCAAAGACAAGGCAGCAAATAACCAGATACAGGCTTTGGCGTTCTGAGACCCTGAGGGAGCAGGGAAGACTTCCTGGAGGTGGTGAGTGGGGCACTGAGAGAGGCCTTGGAAGAGGGTCCAAGCTGGACTAACGAGGAAGGAGGAGGGTTGGCAGGAGGGAGACATTCCCACTCCCGTCACCTGGGTGCAGGCACTGTGACTTCTGCCTACAGCCTCCTCACCCATCCCCTGCCACTCCCCCAGTCCCCCCCCGCCCCCCCCCGACACCAGCCAGAGTGGCCTTCCCGGAAAGCAAATGACTGGCCAGTCAGGGTCCTGCTTACAATCCCTCAGAGTCGCCCATCCTCCAGCATGGTTTGCCAAGGACCTGCTCGGGACTGGCTCTCCCCACTCTCTCCAGCCCCATCTTGAGCCACTACACCTTGAATTCAGCGTTTCAACAACACACAGTATTTGGAATTTCTCCAACTGCCCCCCTGTTGGTCTTTGCATATTCTGTTCCCTCTGTCCATCATATCCGTTCATCTTTCAGAGCTTAGCTGAAATCCCTCCAGGACGCCTTCCCTGAGCCCCGGATTGAGTGGGGTGCCCTCCCCCAGCTCCCACCCTGGGTCTGTGTCTGCCTGCCCTGCCCATGCCCGCCCCACAAGGCCCACGCTTGCGCCCTCGGGCTGCGCAGGGCGAGGGTTTGGGGGCGCGGTACTGACGGGTGTCCAGGCCTCTCCTCGAAGGGTTCCGCGCGCAGAAAGGTGGGCCGGGGCCAGAAGACGCGCTGGAAAGGCGTTTTCTGCCCCCTCCGGGCCTCGGGAATATTTGTGGGCTGCCGGCGGGGCAGGCGGGGTGGGGGAGGCTGCCCGGCGGGCGGGAAGCCCCGCGCACTCGGGTCCCCTGCGGTCCCCGGCGGGGGTCGGCGCGTGCGGAAAGCGGCCCGAGCCCCCAACCTCGGCCCGTCCGCAACCGAAGAGGAGGCGACCGCAGCCTGGAAAAGAAGAGCCCCCAGCTGTTTCCTTCCACCCGGGCGGGCGGGACGGAGAAGGGAGGGAGCCTGGGAGAGACGCAGGTGTGGCGCTCGCCTGTGCTGGCGGGGTGGCAGCCGGGGCGTGGCACCCTCGGAGTCTCGACTCTGCCCACTTCTCAGGCAGAAAACTGAGGTGGTCCCATGGCCAGAGCTAAGAAAGGCAGTGCTGATTCCTGGGCCCCCGCTGCTCACAGCGTCCTTCAGCATCCCAGTAGGCCGAGGGCATCTCACTCTTAGGTGACCACAAGAATCACGGGGACAGTTGTTAAAATGCAGATTTCAAGGCCCCATCTCCCAGAGACGCAGTAGGTCTGAGATGGGACCCAGAAATCAGCTCTTTAAAACAAGGAAATAGTCCACATGTTGTGAAGCACTGGTGAAGAGATGCTTTGGAATAGGAAGCTTCCCCCTCGGCCTAGTTACAGCAGAGAGCAGAGAGCGAGGACTCGGAAGGGAGGGACTTGGACCCTGAAGCCCAGGCTTTCCTGCTGGGTGACTAACTTCTCTGTGTCTTGATTTTATCTTGCCTAAAGTGGAGATAACATTCAGCCCACAAGGTTCTGTAAAATCAAAGAGATGTGAGTAAAAGTGCTTTACTAACTTCACCACCACCATCATTATTATTCACTGTCACCGCCCATCCCCTAGGCAAGGAAAGAAGCCATCCTGAACCTGTGGGGTGATGAGCTCAGATGCTACCACCTCTGCAAAGGCAGCCCTGGTCATTTGGGAGGAAGCCCTCTTTCCTCTGAACTGAACACCACTCCTTCACCCCCATTTGGTGCTCCTTGTACGTGCCCAGGGCTGACTGCAGTACCATGTGCCATTTTTTCACCAAAATATGAGCTCTACCTTTGGGGCTCCTCAAAGTCAGCAATTATGTCAGAAGGGCTGCATGGTAGAGACCTGAGTTTAAGTCTCAGGTCTGTCATTTACTGAGAGATCTTGAAACCGCCTTTGTAAAATTATGACTGAGACAGTGAAAGAGATCTAACTTAACTGACTCCATTTTGCTTCTAACCTCCAAGCTGTCCTTGTTCATTCCTAAGCATAGATTGAACTATCTTTGGGAGAAATTTAGTTTATAGTTTATTGTTTAAACAAAGATGGTAACAGACCTTTCCCAAAGCAGACCTCCTTCTTGCCTGGGGACTAGATTGCTTTGGCAGGTCTAACATTAGCCACAAGATAAGGAATTATATGCAGCTGGAGGATACAAGATTCTGACCCTCTCTAACCTGCTCTAAGATCAGTGCTTGAGATGTTTCACAGGCCCTGCACTTGATGGATCAGCTGGCACCACCCAGATCAATAAACTGGCTCATCTGATCTTGTGGCCCCCACCCAGGAACTGACTCAGCGCAAGAAGACAGCTTCCACTCCCTGTGATTTCATCTCTGACCAATCAGCACTCCTGGCACACTGTCTTCCCCCCACCCACCAAGTTATCCTTCAAAACTCTGCTCCCCAATGCCTGGGGAGACTGATTTGAGTAATAATAAAACTCTGGTCTCCCGCACAGCCAGCTCTGCATGAATTACTCTTTCTCTATTGCAATTCCCCTGTCTTGAAGAATCGGCTCTGTCCAGGCAGTGGGCAAGGTGAACCCCTTGGACTGTTACAATCTCAGTAAATGTAAACTGTCAGTTTACTGAGATCTCTCAGTAAACTGCCCCCGTTATTCTTGGGGCCACCAAAGAGTGAGCTGCCCTTGGCCTACTGTGATGCCAAAGGGCGCCGTGAGCAGCGGGGGCCCAGGAATCAGCACCGCCTTTCTTAGCTCTGGCCATGGGACCACCTCAGTTTTCCACCTGTGAAGTGGTCAGGAAGGCTGTGGGATCTTGATCAGTGCATCCACCTCTCCAAAAGTCTATCACTTTAGAGTGTAAAGGTTTAAATGGAATAATGTCTATAAAGTACTGTAATGTCTATCACTCAGTTGGCCTAACTTGAATAAAACAAATACAAGCTGGGCAGTCTGAGGAAGGCATCGCAAGGAGTGGCTTTTGACCTGGGCTTTTAGAGCCAGGAGTCTTAATAGGTAAAGAACTGGTGGGGAAGGGCCCCTCTAGGCCCTTTTCCATATTCTGGTTACAGTCTCTGTTAATGTTTATAACTTTAAACAGAGACTTCCTGCTCTGAAATGTGTTGTTACTGCCCATTTAAAAATTGAACTAGAATAAAGATAGCAAGCGGAACTCGCACTATGGTCTTCCCTGAAACCAACTAAAACAACACTAAAGGGATTTATCATAATATTGGAAACCAGACACAGCCAACAAAGAATGGTAATTGATTAAATCCTAAAAGGCAATAAAGAAAGTTGAAAATCAGCCCAATTTACACTGTTAAACCCCCAAATGGTTCAGGAGTTGGTTGTACCAGGTACCTCTGGAAAGTGGGTGGGTCGGAGGTGGGCGGGGTGGAGGCTAAAAACAGAAAGATTGCTTGGAAAACAATCAGACTTCCAGATACTCTCTCTCCTGGCAAAATACTAATACTCCAGACAGGATACACAGAATGCTTCAGGCAGG
Organism: Homo sapiens; assembly: GCF_000001405.40. Lineage (NCBI taxonomy): Eukaryota > Metazoa > Chordata > Mammalia > Primates > Hominidae > Homo > Homo sapiens. The sequence continues at coordinate 76,324,781 of NC_000011.10, forward strand.
AGATTGGAGGAGCTTTTCTTTTGACTAGCACAAAATAAAAGACATGGAATGGCCCAATCATGTGCACAGCCCCAATCATGTTCAGAGGGTATCAAATCTGTTTTAGTGTCTCATTCTTAAATATGAGCAGACAGCAAAGGATGAGTAAGCATTTGAGAAAAGCCTCTAATTAAAAAAGAAGTCAAAAGAATAGGGGGAAACAACAAAGGAACTTAGAAGCTGGCAACTTTGCAAAAAGCTGAAAACTTAAAACTATAATTAACATCCTAAGAAATAAGATATTGCTGCAAAATGGGGAAATGTCTCCAAAATTCTGAAGAAAGTTATATTTCCATCCCAGAAAGTTATATTTCCACCCAGCCAACTGATGATCAAGGGTGAAGAGAGAATACATTTCTAGTCATGTGAATTATCTTTGCATGTTTCCTGAGGAAGCTTCTGGAGGATGTGCTTCAACAGAAGTGAGGGAGTTAACCAAGAAAGAGGAAAACATGGCATCCAAGGAAAAGAAAATGTAACAAAGGATAGGGGCAAAGGAATCCCCAGGCCATTCTATTCTATTGTGCAATAGAAGACAATTCATCCTAATGGGACATGGTGGAAGACTCTGGGAGGGACTTCTTCAGGAAGATGAAATCAGTAGACTAGCCAATGCATTTAAACATATTGAAAGGAGATATGCATAACCACAATTGTTATGCAGGGAAGGAAAAATAATTATAGAATACTACACGGCCCAGTTGTCAATAGCATTTACGTAGCCTAATAATGAAAACATGAATACTGTTCCAATCAAACTTGTGATACTAGGTGGAAGTAGGGAGACACAAAATGTACATGTGAGTGTGGAGAAAGTAAGGGGAAAGAGAGAGAGAAAGAGAAAGAAACTGAAAAATCAAGAAGTAGTAGTATAAGCAAATAATTTAGAGTCAAAAGCAGTGACACAGAGAGACTGCTCAATAAAATATTTGCTGAATGCATGAATGGTCAACACCTAGTGAGGGCCAGGCACATATTTATTGAGCATAATAGTACTTAAGACTTACTGAACAGAAAGGGTCTTCTTCCTTAGAATCACCTTGGTCTGTGTTTGGGTACAAAGCAAGTCCTTGACAAATGTGCATTGCCTTGGTTGAGCGGATGTGGCCTCCTGGATTCCCAGCCTGTTGTGTGATTTTGAACAACTTTCATAGCCTTTCACAAAGGTGCCAGGGTTTCTCCATTATCAATAGGGAAAAAAACGGTCAGAGGATGCTTCCTGGGTCTCAGAGCTGTGACTTGAGAATTGAGTGGGGGAGAGGGGATGGCAATGGTGATGCACAACATGCACCTGAGGATTCCTAGGTGTCCGGAAGACCTGCCCCTGGGGTGGGTGGGTGGAAGGGAAAAGTAATGGCTGATGAAAAGAGGCTGCGAGAGAGGCCTGAATGGGAGGAATGATTCATCCTCCAGCATCTCCCATCCAAAGCCACTCCTCCTCACTGCCCCTTGGCTCTGGCATCAAGCAGCCAACTCTGCTGAATCTGGAGGGGATGTTTTGGCCGGATTCTTCCTATCTCTTGAGATGGGGTGAAGTGGGCCCCTGGCCCACGTCTGCTTCCCTCTGGTTGGTGTGTCACAGAAGATAATGGCTCCAAGGGCTCCAGCAGCACTGCGTGGAACATTATTAGATCGGCTAGCCCAGAACATCTCCAAATTCTAGATTTTACCAACTGGTAAAATTTAAATGAAGAGGAGGTGACCAGCGTAAAGTTACCAGCTTTTTTAGTTTGCTAAAAAAACCAAAACAAACAAACAAAACAAAACAAACAAACAAAAAACATTAGAAAAAGAACTATCATGATGTTCTGTGGTTCCATGGTGTGTTCACTTAGTGGTAAGGCATCAAGCTGTACATTTAGGAGTCTGATTATTCTGAATACATATTAGACTTTGTGAAAAGTTTACTCGAAAAATATCATGTACTAGGCTGGGCGTGGTGGCTTACCCCTGTAATCCCAGCACTTTGGGAGGCCAAGGTGGGCAGATCAGCCAGAAGTTCAAGGTCAGGAGTTTGAGACCAGCCTGGCCATCTTTACTAAAACTACAAAAATTAGCCAGGCATGATGGTAGGTGCCTGTAATCCCAGCTACTCAGGAGGCTGAGGCCAGAGAATTGCTTGAGCCCAGGAGGCAGAAGTTGCAGTGAGCCGAGATCGCACCACTGCACTCCAGCCTGGGAGACAGAGCAAGACTCCATCCTCCATCTCAAAAAATTTTAAAAAAAGAAAAAAAGAAAAACTGTCGTGTACTATTGCACCACTACTTCATCTAAAATAAATTTTTGATGCCCAAAATGGGAAAAGCGTAATCTCAATAGAGTCCAGTTTGTCCTTATGAAAAGGCAGTGAACAGTGAATGGTAGGTGAAATTACAATAGTATGCTTTACATGTGTGATAGTAACATTCTAGGGGAGAAAGCCAAAAGTGTCATTTCACAATATCACTCACACATTGGTTTTTGTCAATTGAGGGATTCAGATGTGAAGTGGAATCCTATATCTAGCTTGTTCTTAAGCTTTATCATAGTTGTTGAGAAAAATCCAGTTTCACTCGGTTATCTTAAGGGAAGTGGAAGCCACACCCAGTGTAGTTCCACTGAATTTCTAATGTTCTCTGACTTCTGAGAGAGGCTGAGAACAAAGACAGCAGCTGCCAGCCCCTGCTCTCCCTACCACTGGAAAGGCCAGAGGCCAGGTGAGGGGGACTCACAGCCATTGGGCACCCTGATCACCAGGCACAGAATAGTCAGATCTTTATTTGAAAGGGATGCTATAGACCAAGACGACCCTGGCCAGTCCATCTGTAAGCACTTAGGGACCTTCTGTCAGTCTCCCTTTTATGAGAACTGAGGTCCGGAGTGAGGAGGTGATACATTCAAAGACACACAGCAAGTTAGTGAAGAGCTGGAGCTAGAACCTGGCCTGCCAGCCCTGTGTTCTCCCCATGCACCCTGGCTCAGGAGCTCCTGGTGGCCACCCTCCTTGACCTTGAAAACTGCTCACTGCCATGTTGGAGGTAAACTCTTCAGAGCTCCGGCTCTGGTGGCCAGAGCTGGGCTGGTGCTGGGCTGCAGGGAATCGAGTTACCTAGTTGGAGAGGATCCCTCAGGAGCCAGCCTCTCTCCAGTTGGCAAGAGGACAACTTGGCGAGGCTGGGCTCATAGAAGATGCCAGAGCTGCTACAATGGAGGGCTTCAACCATCCAACACCTCCTTCAGGGCTGCTGTCACCAAACCCAAGCTGACACCCTGGCTCTGGGCAGAGGCTGGCGGGTGTGGGTGGAGGAGGGAAGGTTGTTAGGAAGGCTCTGCCAGGCGGAGGGAGGGGGTTGGCTTCTGCAAAATGGGCCTCTTTCCCGCCTGGTGGGCTTTGCTCACTCTTGCCTCCTCGCTGCTTCTCTCTCCTCATGGACACGCCCAGTTTCCTCCGATTGCACAAAGCCTCTTTGATGAATGATGCCACAAAGAGGCTGCTTCAGGGGACCCAGGGTTTGGCCCACTCTTTGGGCCTTCCCACCCAATCTGTGAAATGGCCAATTGTGAGTATATGAATATACTCAGCTCTGACAGGGAACCTTTCAGAGGAGCACCATGGTTAAGGAGCTCCCAAATGAGGGCATGGGCCCATAGCAGCCCAGGTGGCCCCATTCCTACCCTGAGTGGAGGGGTAGGGACCCTTAATTTCTGTAACACAAGTCAGAGACACTCAAAGCAGGAAGAAGTCTGGTCAACCATATGTTTCAGGTGCCTTGAAAGTCTCAATATTTGTTGAATGGGCGAATGAATAAAGTTCAGCTTAAGACTTTTTTTTTTTTTTGAGACAGAGTCTCACTCTGTCACCCAGACTGGAGTGCAGTGGCGCGATCTCGGCTCGCTGCAACCTCCACCTCCTGGGTTTAAGCGATTCTCCTGCCTCAACCTCCAGAGTAGCTGGGACTATAGGCACACGCCACCATGCCCTGCTAATTTTTGTATTTTTGGTAGAGACGGGGGTTTCACCATGTTGGCCAGGCTGGTCTCGAACTCCTGACCTCAGGTGATCCACCTGCCTCAGCCTCCCAAAGTGCTGGGATTACAGGTGTGAGCCACCATGCCTGGCCAAGACTATTTTAAAGAAAGATGCCACTGCTGAACAGTAAAATCAAAGACCTCATTTAACAGCCCTCATCTGACAGAAGAGAAACATGCCCGGTGAAGGGCCCTTCTTGCTGACATTTCCAAGTAACACAAGGGACCAGGCAGGCGTCCCAAGCCCAGGTGTCTGATGGCTGCTCTTCTGCTGAGTGAGAGTCCCCCAGGACCCCGCTCCAGGGCCTGGGCTCACTACTCCATAAGCAGCCCCACTGCTTGCCGGCAGATCTGCAGCTTCCGCAGACACTTCCAGCTTTCAGTTCCTTGAACATTCCTGTCATTCCTTGGGCAAACCCACTCTACTCCACATTTCTTTGAACTTCCCCGACTTCCCTGACCCTCTGCGACTAGCTGTGTGACCCTGGGCAAGTTGCTCAACTTCTGCAAGCTTGAGCCTCCACATCATGAAAGCGAGAGAAGCATTACTGACCCCGAAGGGCTGCTGTGAGGCCCACAGCTCCAGCTGAGAAAGTGCATGATAAAGTCAACATGATGGGACCTTCACTCTGTGCCAGACATGTGCAAGACAGGGTTATGTCCTGCACAAAGCAGTGTAGGGGTTAAGCACAGATTAGATTCACAGGTGGGGCCAACCTGAGTTAGAATTCTAGCCCTACCACTGACTCACTGTGTAAACCTGGGCGAGTCCCCTTAGCCTTTCTAGGACTCTCTTTTCTTGTCTGTAAAATGGAGACAATAATACCTACTGTTGCTTAAAGGATGAAAAGGGAACCCCATAAACGAAGTGCCCTGCCCAATGCCCAGCATACAGCAGGTGCTCAGTGAAGGGCCACCTCCACGCACCTCCTTCTCCATGAAGTCCCCAGCAGGCTGGTCCTGCAGGTCCCCCAGTGATCTAGAGTCCCAAGTGTGAGCACTGGCCCCTGCTGCTTTGTAAGTCCTCTGCCCAAAGCTGTGGAGTCCTACTTGGGTCTAACTGGGAACACCAAAGTAAAGAGGAATGAGGGGGCCCCAGGATGGAGAGTTTGGAGTGGGGCTGCTGTGTAGGATGGCAGCCAGCAGGCCTGGCCCTGAACCCCAGGGCCACCACCTTTTTAAATCAGATCCTTCCCTCCAAGCAAGCAAACAATCTGGCTCTGGCGGAGGCCCTGGTCAAGCACAGCAGAACCTTTGTGAGCTCTTGACTCTCCCCCTGCCTCCCCACTTCATCCTTGTCATCGCCTGCAGGGAGCTCTGGGGGTGGTGCTTTGGGCAGGGGAGCAGCTGGTAGGCTGCTGGCTTAGCCTGATGTTAAAGGCCTGAGGGGCTGGTCTCACCCTCTAGCCACATCTCCCTCCAGCCCCCTCCTCCCCTCCCAGGCTGCCGCTTGGTCTTTGCAGGCATAGTTGTCTCTCCCTTTGATACTCTGGAGAGGTAGAACTGAAGTGGAGGCTAGGGCTGTGGAAGGGCAGGGAGAGGTCTTCGTTGCAAGAGAGGCCAGACTTGTCCTCACGCCCTTTGCTGTTCCTGGTGCGGAGCAATGCTTCACCTCCGCCCTGGCCAATTCTAAACCCTCAGACCCTAGTTTAAGTCTGTTGGCAGGGTAGCTGCAGCCCTGAGAGGTACTTTGCTCCTCCATACAAAGAGGTGAAACTCTCTAGACCCTCACAGGGCAGCTTTCTGTGCACCTCAGAGACTTGACGAGACTCCTGGGACTCCTGTCCTTGCCTTTCATGTGTGGCCATACCAGGTGCTTCATCACCACTCAGTAGAGCTTAGGCTCCAAGAACCTGCACTCTGAAACCTCTGTCTCTCCAAGATCTAACCTTGTACGAGTTATTGCTCAGAATCCTCCCGCTGCAGCCCGGACCCCTGGGTAGTCCCTCTTCATTCTTCAGGTCCAGCTGGGGAGGTGTCCCTGTAACACCTGCGCTTAGTACTGCCCTGCTTACCCATCACTGCCATGATGGCAGAGCCTCCGCCCGCCTCACTCACCGCTGGACCCCAGTGCCTGGGACAGGGCTGGGAACAAGGTAGGGGATCCAGAAACAAGTATTGTCTGCCTGGCCAAGGTCCCCCATCCCCTTCACTGTCAGCACCTGGACCCACCTTCCCTTCACTGACAAGGTGAGCATTATTACATGAAAAAAAAAAAAAAAAAAAGTCAGTCAAGTAACAAATGGAGAAAACATTTGGATGCAAGACACAAAATGCTAATTCCCCCTTGTTTTTGTAAAGCAATAAGAAAAATACTTTTGCTCATATTTTTTGTTTTTTTTGGAGACAGGGTCTCACTCTGTTGCTCAGGCTGGAGTGCAGTGGCATGATCACAGTTCATTGCAGCTTCAACCTTCCAGGCTCAGGTGATCCTCCCACCTCAGCCTCCTGAGTAGCCAGGACTACAGGCACGCACCACCACACCTGGCTAATTTTTTTTTTTTTTTTTTTTTGAGACAGAGTCTGTCGCCCAGGCTGGAGTGCAGTGTTGCGATCTCGGCTCACTGCAAGCTCCGCCTCCTGGGTTCACACCATTCTCCTGCCTCAGCCTCCCAAGTAGCTGGGACTACAGGCTCCCGCCACCATGCCCCGCTAATTTTTTGTATTTTTAGCAGAGACGGGGTTTCACCGTGTTAGCCAGGATGGTCTCGATCTCCTGGCCTTGTGATCCACCCACCTCAGCCTCCCAAAGTGCTGAGATTACAGGTGTGAGCCACCGCACCCAGCCATGCCTGGCTAATTTTTAAACTTTTTGTAGAGATAGGATCTCGCTATGTTGCCCAGGCTTATCTCGAACTTCTGGGCTCAAGTGATCCACCCACCGTGGCCTCCCAAAGTGCTGGGTTTACAGGCGTGAGCCGCCACACCTGGCCCATATTCTTTATCAAATTGAAAAAAACATTTTACAGAAAAGAGGAAACACACACATGATATATATATATACACACACATATAAATATATGTATATAATTTTTTTTTTGAGACAGGGTCTCACTTTGTCACCCAGGCTGGAGTGCAGTGGAACAATCATGACTAATTGAAGCTTTGACTTTCCAGATTCAAGCAATCCTCCTGCCTCAGCCTCCCTAGTAGCTGGGACTACAGGCATGTGCTACCACACCGGGTAGTTATTTTATTTTATTTTATTTTATTTTTGAGATGGAGTTTCGCTCTTGTCACTCAGGCTAGAGTGCAGTGACACAATCTCGGCTCACTGAAACCTCCACCTCCTGGGTTCAAGCGATTCTCCTGCCTCAGCCTCCTGAGTTGCTGGGATTACAGGTGCCCGCCACTACATCTGGCTAATTTTTGTATTTTTAGTAGGGACGGAGTTTTGCCATGTTGGCCAGGCTGGTCTTGAACTCCTGACCTCAAGTGATCCTCCTGCCTCCGCCTCCCAGAATGCTGGGATTACAGGCGTGAGCCACCACACCCCGCCTGGGTAGTAGTTTTAGTAGAGATAGCAGTCTCACCATGTTACCCAGCTGGTCTTGAACTCCTGGGCTCAAATTATCCTCCTGTCTCAGCCTCCTAAATTGCTGGGATTACAAGTGTGAGCCACCACACATGGCCCAACACTTTTATGTGTTTAAAAAGATGCTTAGTTAACTTCACTTATAATAAAAGAAAAATTAACTAAAATCGGTGAAATGTGCTTTTTGAGCTATGTCTCTCAGATTGGCTTAGACCAAATGGGCTATTTATGAGAGATCTACTTACATGTTTGCAGTAATGGGGAAAGATATTTGTTGCAGCATTGTTTAAAGCAGAGGTCAGCAACCTTTTTCTGTAAAGGATAGACAGTAACTATTTTAGGCTTGAGGACTATACAGTCTCTTGAACTCCTGGGCTCAAGTGATCTACCTGCCTCAGCCTCCCAAAGTGCTGGAATTACAGGCGTTGAGCCACCATACCCAGACTATATGGTCTCATTGTAGCTAATCCACAATGCTGCTGCAGCTCAAACGCAGTCATAAACAAACGTAAACGGATGGGTATGCCTGTGTTCCAATAAAATCTTATTTACAAATGTTGAAACTTAAATTTTGTATACTTTTCATGTGTCACAAAATATTATTTTTTCAAAATCATTTACAGGCTGCTTGTGGTGGCTCATGCCTATAATCCCAGCACTTTGGGATGCTGAGGCAGGAGGATCACTTGAGGCCAGCAGTTTGAGACCAGCCTGGCCAACATGGTGGAACCCCGTCTATACCAAAAATACAAAACTTAACTGGGTTTGGTGGCACATGCCTGTAGTCCCAGCTACTCGGGAGGCTGAGGCATGATAATCACTTGAACCTGGGAAGTGGAGGTTGCAGTGAGCTGAGATTGTGCCACCGTATTCCAGCCTGGGCAACAGAGCCAAATTGTCTCAAACAAATAAACAAACAAACAAAAAAACCCATTTATAAACATAAAAAATTCATAGCTTAAGGTACATAAAAAACAAGAGCTGAGCTGGATCTGGTCAGGAATCCATAGATTGCCAACCCTGGTTTAGATTAACAGAAGACTAGAAACTATCTCAATGCCCCTCACTGGAAGAATGGCTAAATGCACTATGATATATCCTTAGGACCCCTGGATAGTTCCTCCTCATTCCTCAGGTCCAGCCAAAGGAGGTGTCCCCATGACACCATTGCTGAACACTGCCTTGCACCTAAGCCCTTAAAATACCTGCAGTAGAGATGTGTTTATCAGCTGCCTCCACCTGCATTTTGAAAAGAAAACACACCCATACATCCTTGTGTAGCCTGGAACTTGGGAGGATACAGAAGGGAGACAAATGACCACCTTTGGAGAAGGAAACTGGAGACTGAAGGAGCCAAGGGTGGGAGGAAAACGCTTCAAAGTGCACCCTAGTGCACTGTTTGGAATATATTAATACCATAAGCCCATGGTAGCTTTTTCAAAAAACAGTCAATCAGCTGGGCACGGTGGCTCACACCTGTAATCCCAGCACTTTGGGAAGCCGAGGCGGGCAGATCACCTGAGGTCAGGAGTTCAAGACCAGCCTGGCCAACATGGCCAAATCCCGTCTCTACTAAAAATACAAAAATTAGCCAGGTGTGGCGGCACGCTACTCGGGAGGCTGAGGCAGGGGAATTGGCTGAACCTGGGAGGTAAAGGTTGCAGTGAGCCGAGATCGTGCTACTGCACTCCAGCCTAGGCAACAGGGTAAGGCTCTGTCTCAAACAAACAACCAGTCAATTCCCCACTCCCTCAAATAAAGACGTTCCATGACACAAAAGGATTTTTGGTGAAATAAGTTTGGTACATGCAGGGTTAAGTGATGTTCAAGTGTCTTTGCTGCATAGGTTTGGGGTGGGGTGGCCTTTAACATGCTGCTGGGTCTGGTGAACCCATCTGAGGCCTGGTGCTCTCTACGCTTGCTGCTGGGACCATTTTTCCAGTCCATCTGATGTGGTTTGGCTCTGTGTCCCCACCCAAATCTCATGCTGAATTGTAATCCCCAGTGCTGGAGGAGGGGCCTAGTGGGAGGTGATTGAATCACGGGGGTGGTGGTTGTGAACAAAATGCTGATAGTGATATGGACAATGAAGTCCAGGCTAAAGAGGTCTCAGATGGAGATGAGAAACTTATTGGGAACTGGTGTAAACGTCACTCTTGCTATGCTTTAGCAAAGAGACTGGCAGCATTATGCCCCTGTGCTCTAGGGATTTCTTGAACTTTGAACTTGAGAGAGATGATCTGGGGTATCTGGTGGAAGAAATTTCTAAGCAGCAAAGCATTCATGATGTGGCCTCACTGCTTCTAAAAGCCTACACTCACCTGCATAAACAAAGAAATGACTTGAAATTGGAACTTATATTTAAAAGGGAAGCAAAGCACAAAGATGTGGACAATTTGCAGCCTGGCCATGTGGTAGAAAAGGAAAACACATTTTCGGGGAAGGAATTCAAGCTGGCTTCAGAAATTTGCATAAGAGGAGCTTTACTTATTAAATACTTAATTACATTAAAGCATGTTAATAGCCAAGGCAATGGGGAAAATGCGTCCATAGCATTGCAGAGATCTTTGCGGCAGCCCTTCCCATCACAGGCCTGGAGGCCTAGGAGGGAAGAATGGTTTCACTGGCTGGGCCCAGGGCCCTGCTGTCTTGCGCAACCTTGGGACACTGCTCCCTGCGTCCCAGCCATGCCTAACAGGGGCCAAGCTGTATCTCAGGCTACTGTTCAAAAAGTGCAAGCAAGTCTTGGCAGCTTCCTGTGGGTGCACAGAGAGCAAGAGCTGAGGCTTGGGAGCCTCCACCTAGATTTCAGAGGATATATGAAAACACCTGGATGTCCAGGCAGAAGTCTGCTGCAGGGGTGGAGCCCTCATGGAGAACCTGTACTAGGGCACTGTGGAGGAGAAATGTGGGGCTGGAGCCCCCACACAGTCTCCACTGGGGCACTGCCTAGTGGAGCTGTGGGAAGACGGCCACCATCCTCCAGATGGCAGAATGGTAGATCCATCAACAGCTTGCACCCTGTAGCTGGAAAAGCCACAGGCACTCAACACCAGACCATGAAAGCAGCCAAGGGGTCTATATCCTGCAGAGCCACAGGGGTGGAGCTGCCCAGGACTTTGGGAGCCCACCCCTTGCATCAATGTGGCCTGAATATGAGATATGGAGTCTTAAGAGATTATTTTGGAACTTTGAGATTTAATGACTGCCCTGCTGGATTTTGGACTTGCATGGGCCTGTAGCCTCTTTGTTTTGGCCAATTTCTCCCTTTTGGAATGGCAGCATTTACCCAATGCCTATACCCACACTGTATCTTAGAAGTAACTAACTTGCCTCTGATTTTATAGGCTCATAGGTGAAAGGGATTTGCCTTGTCTCAGATGAGAATTTGGATTGTGGACTTTTGAGTTAAAACTTAGGGAACTATTGAGAAGTAATTATTGTGTTTTTAAGTGTGAGGACATGAGATTTGGGAGGGGCCAGGGGTGGAATGATACAGTTTGGCTCTGTGTCTCCACCCAGATCTCAGGTTGAATTATAATCCAGTGTTGGAGGGGAAGGCTTGTGGGAGTTGACTGAATCATGGGGGTGGTTTCTAATGATTTAGGCACATCCTCCAGTGCTGTCTTGTGACAGAGTTGTCATGAGATCTGGTTTTTTGAAAGTGCATAGCACCTCCCCCTTTCCTCTCTCTCTTCCTCCTGCTACAGCCATGTAAGATGTGCCTACTTCCTCTTTGCCTTCCACTGTGGTTGTAAGTTTCCTAAGGCCTCCCAGCCATGCTTCCTGTACAGCATGTGGAACCATGAGCTGATTAAACCACTTTTCTTTATAAATTACCCAGTCTCAGGTAGTTCTCTACAGCAATGCAAGAATAGACTAATACAGCATCCCTGAGGACTAGTATTCTGTGTATTAGATGTTGGGGATCACCACCTCCAGAAGCAAGTACAAATGCCCTCACCTTCCTGTACACACACACACACACACACACACACACACACACACACACCTCCCAGCTTTTCCTGAAGTGCATTCCTCAGGCCACTGATCTGAGATTCTCCATGGTCAAACATTCCTGGGAAACACTGCTCTGTCAAAGTAAATGACAAAGTAAATGACAAATGATCACCAACATTTCTCCGAGACTTTAATACTTCTCTGCCTTAGCTCCCACCATTCTTTCCATCGGGACTGCTTTTGTTTTAACTCGTTTCTCTCTGCCAAAGTTCTATGTCATCTGTCAAGGGTTGAATCTCATGCTTTTTGCACCATGATGAAGGCTTCTTGGATCCTAACAAAGTGCTTGAGGTGCCTGACGGGTGTCCCCACTCATTGAAAGAAATAAATTACTGAGTGCAATAGGGGAATGACTGAAAGGAGGGAGGAGGAAGTGATAGGTGGATGGGGAAGTGGAGAATTAGATCATTGGGAGTGATTGTGACCGGGTTAATGAGTGGTGGCATGCAGTAGTTTGCTATTCCTGTCCACAATTCTACTCATTGTGGGTGGTTTAGGCAGGATCTTGAGCTCTACAGGTTGGACTGAGGTTCCCACAGTAGCCTGTTGGTGGCTCTTGGGCAGCCCCCAGAAACAGGTGAAAGGTCCCTCTCCTCAGCCTTCCCCTTGGTCTCTCATTCTTTTCTGAGAATGAGAACACTGCCACCAAGTCTCTGCCACCACTGGACAGTGATCTAGGAGTGTCTTGCTGCATTGCCTGTTCTTGTCCTTTAGACCATCCCCATGGGCACTCCAGAGGAGAGGGCACCTGAATTAGTTTGACCAGAGAAACTGGTAGGGCTCTGTGGAAACTGGGCTGTACTCACTTCCCACCCAGATTCTGCAGCTCACTGGACACCCCTATACTGCCCCTCTCAGGGGCCATAGGAGGGTGGACCTCCAAAAGGACCCAAAATGGGGAGGCCTATTGACCTGCTTATCCTCATTTATTTTTTATTTATTTTTATTTTTTGAGACAGGGTCTCACTGTCACCCAGGCTGGAGAGCAGTGGCACAATCATGGCTCACCACAACCTGGACCTCCTGGGCTCAGGTGATCCTCCCACCTCAGCCTCCCTAGTAGCTGGGACCACACAAGTGCACCACCATGCCTAGGTAATTAAAAAAAAAAAAAATTAATGGAGACAAGGTCTCACCATGTTGCCCAGGCTGGTCTCAAACTGCTGGGCTCAAGTGATCAGCCTACCTCAACCTCCCAAAGTACTGGGATTACAGGCATGAGCCACAGCACCTGGCCTGACCTACTTATCCTTATAAGCAATTTCCTCTGGAACCGTCACATCAGCAAATTGTCTACCCTCTTTGAACCTCATTTCCTCCTAACTCTACAATGGGTCTATCTATCTCACAGGCTAGTTTTAAGTTAAAGTAGATTAAAGTGCCTGGCCTATAGTAGGTCCCTAGCAGCAGTTACTTTCCTCCTTTTCCCCAGTCCTGATTCTGAGCTGCTAGACAGAGACTATTTTTCAGTTTTCCATCATGTGGTGTCAGGACACTGAATGTAGGATAAGTTGGGATGATGGGAGGGGGCAGCTGTGGCCCAGTCCATGTCAAATACAGGTGTGCAAATTTTAAAAGAAGCCTCACTGCACCTCTGCCTGCCCCCCTCCTCCCACTCCAGGGAAGGCTTTCCTGAGCCTTTCCCCTTCAAGGATTGCTTTTATTGTGCCATCTTGTAACTAGCCGGTTTTCTCATCAGTCTCCCACTCACTCCCACCCACCTCCCACAGATATGAACTTCCCTCAAATCAAGTGTCAGGGATGACTCAGGTCTGTGTCCTCAAGCCCACTCAGGGCTTGGCACAGAGCAGCCTCACCAAATAGAATAGTGAGAAGGACGGTTCTCTATAGTTGTCACTGAAGGTCCCTAAGGACAGTTTTACTGGCTGGGAACAGTGGCTCACGCCTGTAAGCCTAGCACTTTGGGAGTCCAAGGCGGGCGGATCACCTGAGGTCAGGAGTTCAAAACCAGCCTGGCCAACATGGCAAAACCCCGTCTCTACTAAAAGTACAAAAATTAGCTGGGCATGGTGGCGGGTGTCTGTAGTCCTAGCTACTCAGGAGGCTAAGGCAGGAGAATCGCTTGAACCCGGGAGGCAGAGGTTGCAGTGAGCCGAGATCGTGCCACTGCACTCCAGCCTGGCGACAAAGCGAGACTCCAGCCCCCACCCCCCAAAAAACAGTTTTACTTGCTGCTGAGAGGGTGCAGAGCTCTTCCAAGAGTGAGTGGGCACTGGGAGCTGAGACAAGGAGAGGAGATGATGTGGTGAGAGACGGAGTGGACAGAGCTCAATGAGGAACAAACTACTTTGTGATTTCCCCTTGTATTCATTCATTAAACTCAATTAACAGTATTAAGTGCCTAGTGTTTGCCAAAATCTTTGCATGTTCTGGCTTGGGGTACTGCAGTGTGTTGGGTGAGTGATATGGATCTTGCTCTATGCATTCTGGGCAAGTTGCTCAGCGTCTCTGAGCCTCAGTGGTATCAACAATATGGCCATAATACCCAATGTTTCACGAGGTGCTTCTGAGACATAACTTAAAAAAATTTTTTTTAGTGACAAGGTCTCGCTTTGTTGGCCAGGCTGGTCTCGAACTCCTGGCCTCAAACAATCCTCCCACCTCAGCCTCCCAAAGTGCTGGGATTACAGGCATGAGCCACCACACCCCGCCAACACAACTTTATTTATGTAAACTGATAGACACAGTCCCTGCTATATAATTGTTCCCTATTAAAGATAATAAAAATCCTCACTCAGTTCTGTGTGGTTAGAACGAGGGCTCCAGTAGGCCTTGGAGTTCAGGCCAGCAATCTAGTTCCTTCATCCAAGAGCTCAGAAAACTGGGGCCAGAGAAGACAGAGGTGGAGCAGGAAGAGATCCCTGGCCAAAGGCTTATAGAGCACTCTCTTTCCATCTATGCTGTTGTTTTTCCCAGAGTTTAGAGTCTGCAGAGCAGGCGTGTATGCTGGTTTGCCAAGCGCTCCTTTGGGGAAAGTGGTATGTGAAGCTGGGGCGCAGTTTGCACATAACAGAGCAATAAAGGCGACTTCCTGGACTCACAGCTGAGGATGCACTTAAGGACTGGGCCTGCAACGTGCTGCTCTGAGCACTTCCTCTCTCTGGCTGTCCCTTCTGCTGAGTTACAGCCTGGCCCGGGAGAGTTTATTGCTTCACCCCAGAACATTCTCTTACTGGATAGAGTTTGAGGCAATAATAATGATACAAGTGTATCTGTAAGATTTTCCACTGTTTCCCTAGTGCTATCATATTCTTGATTTCATTTGATCCCCGAAACGTGTTTTTTTGTTGTTTTGTTTTTGTTTTTTTTACAGCTGGAGAAACTTTGGCTCATGGAGATAAGTATCTTATCTGAAGTCTTGGTTCTGATCACCAGGTAGTTTCACCAAGTCTAGTGCTCACTGAGTACTTGAAATAAGAGTTGACACTGAGTGCCTCCTGGATGCCAGCCTCTGCTTGAAATGCTCCACCTGCAGTAGGTCCTAGTAATCCACACAGCCACTGTATGTGGAAGACAGTTATTATTCCTTCCCCAGATGAAGATGCTGAAGGACAGAAGTGAAGCAACTGACCCAAGGATACACAGCTAGAGATGGCAGAACTAGGGTTCAAATCAAGGCAGTTAGGCTCCACAATCTATGTTCTTCATCTCAATGTCAGGGTTTCCTAACCTTTATGGGGATTTTGGGCCAGATGATCCTTGTTGTGGGGCTGTGGGATGCTCGGCAGCATCCCTGGCCTCTACTCACTAGAAGCCAGTACCACTTCCTTGCACCACGGTTGTGACAATCAAAAATGCCTCCAGATATTGCCGAATGTCACTAGGGGGTGGGGGTGGGGCAAAATCACCCCCAGTTGAGAACCGTTGGTCTGTGTTATGCTATTCTAAAAATGACAACATATAGTTATTCAATGGCAACCCATAATTTGACAAAATATGTTCCTGGAGACCTCTTCCCAAAATGAACCAATATTCAGACTCAAACAACCTTAACTGCTCGCCTCCTATGCCCAATTTATAGACCATTTAAAAATGCACTGATGCCTAAATAAATCAAGTGACTTGCCCAGAATAACAAAGCTAGTATGTGACAGAACAGAAACTTGAACATTGGTTCCAAAGTCCACATGACTTTTTTTGGTAGTATTCATTCTGATGTGAGATAACTGTATTTTTTCAATTCTAAGATACATTTTATCCCCACAGTTTAATGGTTTTGAAATTGAGATGCAACATAAAACTAGTGTATGTTTATAGCTGAAATATGTTTTATTCCCCTAAAAGCTATTATGTAATTGAAAATGTGTCTCCACCAATAGCCTCTTAGAATTGAGACTCACGGGCTTGAGCTGTGAGAGTGGAGGATGCTGATGGAGTCAGATGGAAGGAAAGAGACACAGCAGTAGCCCTCCTGTTCTGATAGGACACCGGGCCTCTGCCCTGGCCATCCACACCAGTTCTGCATCCTTACCTGCTGACCTATCCAGTCTTTGTGACCTAGTTCACACCACACTCCTCCAAGAAGCCTTTCTAGGTCCCTTGGCACATATCTCACCCTGTTCTAATTTCGTCTAGAAGCCTTTTTTCTGTCAGAGCATTTTAGTAACAATATTGTATATAGCTGATTAAATGCTTTCTCCTTCATCATGAGATATGTTAGCATCCTTGCTTTACAGATGAGGAGACAGGCCCAGAGAGGGGTGGCAATCTGCCCAACATCTCTCTCAAGGTCAGTGGAAGGGTGGGGAAAATAAGTGAGTCTCTGGGTTCTTCACACCAATATTTCATGCTTGTCGTGGGATAGTTAACCACAATCAGCTGGTGAGCAGTCGGGTTAGCCAGACCTTTCCTTGGAGAAAGTGGCATTCCAGGATGTGATGAGGTTTGCCCATAGACTCCACAATAAAAACTGTAATACATGAGCTCAGAGAGGTGAAGTGGTTTACCCAAGGCCCCACCACTTCAAAGTGACAGCATTTAGATGGGGTGTCCCGATACCCTCCTTGTTGCTTTCTCTGGTTCCTTGCTGCTGTTTTGTCCAACCCTGACCCTTTTCTCACTCTGATGCTTCCAGGTCCCGGCCACACTTCTCTCCACTTCCTTCAGCAGGAAAGGGACAACAGCCTCTTCTAGGCCCATGTCTCTGCTCTTATTGATGTCACACGGGCTGTGGCTCCTCCAGCATCTCCCACCAATGCTCTCTTCAAGAGCCAGATTCAAATCCCTCCACCCACCACAGTGACATGCACCAGGACCCTATGCACCAGACTCCAAATCAGAAAGCCACAGAGCTGGCCAGGCGCAGTGTCTCATGCCTGTAATCCCAGCACTTAAGGAGGCTGAGGCAGGTGGATCCTTTGAGTTCAGGAGTTCAAGACCAGCCTGGGCAACATGGCAAAACCTTCTCTCTACAAAAAATACAAAAATTAGCAGGGAGTGATGGTTTACATCTTTTGTCCCAGCAACTAGAGAGGCTGGGTGAGAGGATCGTTTGAGCCCAGAAGGCAGAAGCTGCAGTGAGCCGTGATCACATCACTGCACTCCAGTCTGGGTGACAGAGTGAGACTCTGTCTCAAAAACAAAAAACAAACAAGGAAGAAAGAGCTGGAGGAAAAGAGACATAAAGTCCATCCCAGCAGTGCTGCATTTTGGCAAGCCACCTGGGGATGACACTGCCATCTTATAGGCTGTTACGAGGACTGAAATGACAAGACATCTGTACAAACTCTTGGTGCACCTTCGAGTGCTGTGGGATTGAGGCTGGCTGTGTGGTGCAGTGCGAAGAGCACTGCCTCTGGCTTTGGGCAGACACGGACCTCAGGCAAATGATCCTGAAATTCAGTTCTCCCATGGGAATAATATATCAGCCTCATCAAATTGTGGGTCCACAGTGCCTGGCATACAGGAGGCACACAATAAATATTATATTCCTTCCTAAGTGTAAGCGTCATTATATGAAGCACAGCAGAATCAATCCTTTAATTCTATTATTTAAGCACATGGATAAATCTCATGCTATGGGTAGGGAATTTAACCTCAAATGAGCACTAAGACTGCTAATAATTTTAAGGCACAAGGATTTAGTCATCTGTCTTTCAAGGAGACTGTACGCTGGAAAAGAATGCAGTCCAGAAGAAGATGCCACTATGTATGGAGGGTGATTTAAAAATGCGCATCTCTTCATCCATACTGTTTCAGGTTGGCTCCCCTTCTGTATAAAAAGGCAGGAGCTGAGACACAAGCAGGTTCTAAAGAGGGCAATGAAAATTACATGGGTTGTGGTTTGAGCAGGGAAGGAAGAGAAGAAAAAATAAGGCATAAATTATTTCACTTGGAAAGGAAGGGGTAAGACGGGTGATAAATAGGAGGGTATTATATGGCAGCAGAGGGTGGTGAGTCGCATGCCAAGGTTGTTATTGTGGCAGGGGCCTGGGGGCCAAAGGGATCACGTCTCGAGACTTGGAACACATTGGAAGAAAGACTATACATATCACAGACGTTATTAATTATGATTAACAGTGGCCAATGTGAGGTTTGCTTTTTGATTGTCTTTTTTTTTTTTTTTGACAGTTTCGCTCTTGTTGCCCAGGCTGGAATGCAGTGGCATGATCTCGGCTCACTCCAACCATTGCCTCCCGGATTCAAGCGATTCTCCTGCCTCAGCCTCCTGAGTAGCTGGGATTACAGGTGCCTACCTACCATGCCCGGCTAATTTTTGTATTTCTAGTAGAGACGAGGTTTTACCATGTTGGCCAGGTTGGTCTCAAACTCCTGACCTCAGGTGATCTGCCTGCCTCAGCCTCCCAAAGTGCTGGGATCACAGGCGTGAGCCACTGCACCTGGTCTCTTCTCTCACTTTCTAAACACGCCCAGAAACTACAGGCTGTACTCTGCCATATGCATCTCACCTGCGAAGGGCACTGTTTCTATGACCAGGTCACATGAGTAGGGCCAACTCCTAAGCAGGGCTTCCTAGGTTTTCATGGATTGGCCCCTAAATCCCTTTCTATCCTCACTTTGGTTGCTTTCCTCCCCTCCAATCCTCTAGCCACTCTGAATTTCCCATTGGCCCTAGAACCCACCATTTGTTCAACAAGTATGGAGCAACTATTACATGCCAGGTCCTGTTTTACACATTTGGAATACAACCAGTAAATAGGACAAAGTCCCAGCCTTTGTAGAACTTATATACTAGTGTGGGAAGACCCATTATTTCCAGGAAAGGTAGGCTAGTTTTGAAAGGGTAGTCTGAGAAAACTTCTCCGTGGAGAATATTTCAGCAAAGACCTGAATGGTATAAAAAATGAGCTAGAAGCTAACTGGGTCAACAGCTTTCAAGGCACATCAAGTGTAAAGGCCTTGAACAAGCTTCTCTCAATGAGCTTGGCGAGTAGATGAAACCAAAAGACCACCATTAATAGCTGGGCAGAATGAAGGAGGTCCAGAAGTTGGCATAGACCAGCTCACATAGAGCCTTAAGAGTCATGGTCAGGAGCTTGGATTCTGGTCTAAGTGTGGGGGTCTGAGAAAAGGAGGTCCACGCGATCACTCTGCCTGTTGGGTGGAAAATAACCTTGTAGGGAACGATAAAGTGAGAGATGATGATGGTTTGGACTAGGCAGGTAACAGGAGAGGGGGTGAGAACTGAGGGCCAGACATAAGGGTACACTGGTTATAGGACACTTGAGCTGGGCCCTGAAGAATTAGCAGTCTAAGTTTGCCAACAGGGTCAACGTCTCATCTTTGCAGCCAAAACACCTAGCATAATACCTGGCATGACGTGTGTTAAATGGAACTGGAAAAGTAGTAACAAATATTCTGGAAGAAAAATGTTTTCATGAAGTAATCTTGAATTTTCTATTTCAGAATGCTATTTAATCTTTTTCAAGATGGCTATATATATAATAGAAAATTTGAAAAATTGTAATGTCAAAGACGGGAAGTTATAATTCCTCATAGTCCCACCGCCTGGAGACAAACTGGTATTTTGGTGTACTTTCCCCCTAGTCTTTCCATACTCATTTGTAAAAAGGTGGGTATTTCCTCTTTGAGGAGCAGCCTAGTCTACCAGAATCAAGTTGGTTAGGGTCTGAATCCCACTCTACCACTGAGTGGTTTTGGACAAGCCATTTGCTCTCTTGTCTATCCCCAAAATGGCGATAGTAACATCTGATTATTGTGACCTAAATGACTGATACAAAGTACCTAAAACGATGCTTGGTACATAGTAAGTGCTCAATATACAGCAGCTGCTATTAATAAAAGGAAGTCCAAATTCCACAAATCCAATTATAAAGAAAGCTTTCAACATCTCTTTTAGGAAATAAAGGCTTTGCAAATCTACAATCTAATCACATGTACTCTTCTAAAGAAAAACAATCATACCAAGAATAGGAATTTGCCAAAAAAGATGTAAGCAATACCAAATATTTTTAAAACCAAATTTTACGGTAACACAAAACAGAAATGGTGCCAAAAACCCCAGACCCTGGCCTGTTTAATAAATCTCTCTCCTATAAAGATGACATACTTATGGGATTACCATTTACACTAATAACAATTTAAAGGGCAGACACTGCTCACCTGCCAAGAAATGATTCTTTCAGGTTTTCCATCTTGAGTTGCGTCTGTGTGGTGTGACAGAGCACAGCACTGAGTGAGGGAGGACACTTCTGCTCACCCCCAGCCTCTGCCATCACCAAGCAGTGCGATTCTGAGCAAGCCGTCCTCTCCGGTACTCTGTCAAATGAGTTGTCTACAGTTTCCACAACTCCTTCCAGCTCTAAAACTCTACCACTATGAAGAATTTACAGTTCAATGTGTGTAATACTGGTGTGAGGAAGATGTATTACTTACATATCAGGTACCTTAACAACCTGAAATAGCATGCTGAATATCACAGTTGTTTTTTTTTGTGTGTGGTGGGGGGGACGGAGGATGAATCATACATTATATGGGTATACTTGTAATACTAAGATAAAAGCTACATTTTCACTGAGAAGGAAGTGTGAGACTAACCTAATACTTGGGGTCATAAAGTTGCACAGTACACACCATTTTCAAAGGTCCAACTACTGTTAGCAAATGCCAGTTTCTCAGTGGCTTCAAACATGTTTCAACTGGACCTATATTGGCAATGATGGTGGTGAATTTGGCTTAGTTTTATATACCATCATCACTCATTAACTTAATGAGGTAATATGTGGAGAAACAAATATTGCTGTTTTTATAGGTTTCTGCAAAGGCTGTTACCTACCTCTTTGACCTCCTATATTCAATGCTGTCTTTCTGCAAAGGCTGTTGCCTACCTCTTTGACCTCCTATATTCAATGCTGTCTACTACTCTGAGCTGCAAACTGAGAGACACCTCACAGCCACACAGGTTCTCACACAGCTTTCATCCAGTGGCAGAGCCGGGCAAACCTGGAAGCACATGTAAGGACCCCCCAACCCAGATTTCAGGGCTGAGGAAGCCCCTAGGGGAACTGGCATCTAGACTAAGGCCTGTAACGGTGACAACACACTACACATGCTGCACTCTGTTGATCCAGGGCATTGTCTCTGGTCAGTCAGGGTACTCTCCACTGTACTCCCCTCACACCGAGTTTACCTCTAACTATGGTGAACAAAAGTTGTGGCGCGCTGTAGACAGTCTGTTTTATCTGTTGTCTGGCATAACTATTAATAGTGCCCCCTTACATGCTCGAAAGTGCTTTGGTTAAGACCATCAATTATAGGGTTACCCTACCTTTAGACCTGATCCTGGCAGACTCCAGCTTGCTTGTTTGGCTCTCCCATGTGACTCAGCTTACTGGGGGCCGGGGGTCAATCTTATTCTCCTGTGTATCCATGGCATGGGCTGTATGTCATTCACATTTGTATCCATGACAGCCTTGTGCCTGATGCCAAACAGACTGAGCAACATAGGTTTTCAATATGATATTCAAAATTAGAATGAGAAGCAAATACAATTAACAACAAATTAGATCTGCAAATCATTATATCATGTTGGGATTCTGGATTTACCTTTCACTAGCTGTGCGACCTTCTGATTCTTAGGTTTTCACCTGTAAAATGGGGATAATAGTACCTTCTTCATAAAGTAGAGAAGTTTAAATGAGACACTATAGGTAAAGTGTTTTGCACATAGCTGGCATATATTGAGCACCGTTAACAGCAGCTGCCGCTGTGGACAATGATGACTGCTGCTGCCACAACCCTGTTTTGGTGTGAGAAAACTGACACCTAACAAGCATCCAGTAGAAACTCAGTAAGTGTGCACTAAAGGAATGCTTGGTCTCATGCTAGGTGCTGGCTTCACATCAGAATCTTGGGTTACGAGATGCATTAATCAAAATTACAATTTAGAAGTCAAAAGTTTTGACTCCTCTAAGTCCAGCTTTCATAACAATTCAAAAAAACCTCCTCATATCCATAAGAAGCATAGAACACAGCAGCACTATCTGGCTGCATCCTTAGATGTGTACCAACATTTAAACTTCACCTTTGTTATAACTATACTCTTACTCATATAAGAATGCCAACTTGGATATTTGGGTCCATCTCTTCTCTTTTTGAACTGTCAACCTCTCAAGTTGTATGTGATTAATGTATATAGAGAAAAGTAGAAAGGCCTCAGATTGAGTCAACAGTTTTCTTGATCCCTCAATTACAATATCCTCTTTAAAGTATATCCTTGTTGAACATTTGGAATGAATTAAGACTTTAAACTTCCAGATGTTTAAACTACTACTGTAAATTCAAACTCATTAAAAAGGAGCAGATTTACTACCTCTACATAGTTTTGAAGTCTGTTGTTCACCCTGTCCAAATAATTTATGAAACTAAATACAGTGGCAGGTAGTGTATTCTATTTACATAGTATTCATGGTGAGAAATAAGGGGCATTTTAAAAAGGTCTGGAAATTAACTGCCATTTGGCCAACCTATAGATCACACTTATTGTTACTTCTAAGCTAGGAATTGTTTCCTGAAACTGATCTTGTGGATATTTTTATGCTAATCTGTACTAAAAATTACTTTACTTTTTCTGGCCACAAAAAGCTGGCTACAGAGAAGCATTTGATTATGGCAAGACAGCTGCATCCACTCTCATGAAATAAATGGACCTGGATCTAGTCCTCTGTGGTAATGTCTTGGCAGCCAAACAAAGGTGGCAGCATTTCTACACCCAGTTTGTAAAGTCTCAGAAGTTTCAGGCTCCATTTTTTTTTTCTTTGCAAGAAACCCATGTCGACTATAATGAGTGCATTTTAGAGATGCTGTGCTGAAAGCTGGCAATGGATAAAGCAAGAACATAAAAGGAACCTATTCCTAAAGCAAATATTCCTTTTACAAACCTTAAGAATGAAGTGGCTTTCACAATCAATTTTAATATCGAAGCACTGGACTGAAGTACCTGCCTCTGGCACTTACTTGCCATTTAATTTGAGGCAATTAATTCATCTCTGTGAACATGATTTCTCAACTGATAAAAGGGGGTTAATACCTGTCTGAATTTTTCTGAGAACTTGAATGAGATCAAAGTGCTTTGTAAGCTCTAAAGTAACACTGCAAGTACAATTTTCCTGTTTTATGACTTACTTAAAATAGCACTTAAAAGTGGCTGCCCCTATCAAACAGAAATAAACCTGATCCAACTAAGTTACTGCAGAGGAACTGGTCTCAGAAGGAAGGCTCTTTCAACCCAACCAACTACTACTTACTTCGCAGGAATTATTCTAAGAATTAACTGAAAATTACATAGAATTATTAATAAAGTGTTTGTTCCCACTTACCTCACAGGTCACACATCCTACATCAGGCTTCAACTGTGTAACTTTTTTTTTCCAAAAAAAAGAGATATGTCAAAAGCAAAAATTCCTCTGATTAGATATGCTAAATCTTGAATGTCTTTCCTAGTACATTTGCAAACTATTTAGATATGATACAGATCTTATTTTTAAAAAACTGTACGAGGCTTTTGTGGATACTCTGTATGTTATTTTCCTTTCCTTTAATTTCAATAAATCGGATTTACTGAAGTCTATGAAGTTTGTGTGTGTGTAGTTATAAGTACGTACAATTGCATGTACTTATGGGCCAACTGTGGGCCAACTCTAGTCTGTAAGCTTGGTGAGTCAGAAAATGCACTGGGTATTGCCAGCACTTAGCCAAGGAGCCTGGCACACAGTAAGCATTCAACTTATATTTGTGGAATGGTCATGACACCTACCACTTTCTAAATTATCTCATCTTGCAAAAGACAACCTGTTTCATCAGTGCACTGATTCAACCTACCATCAAAGATCAGTTTGTTGAAAACATCTTTTAATAAATTAGGTTTTTAAGCTTTCAGTAGACTCCCAAATTAGAGAATATACATACATTATAAAAACAAATGATGGGCATCTTTAACTAATGCTTGTTGCATGAATGTTTTTGGATACATTATTGTGGCAGACTGAAAAGGGGGCCATTATTTTGTAGCTCCTCCCAACAAAAGGAGTCTATTTCCTCCTCCTTCGAATCTAGACTGGCCAAGTGACTTGCTTTGACTAAAAGAATGTGGTGAAAGTGATGCTCTGAATTACTGAGTCCAGGCTTTGAAGCCACTGCCTTTGCTTTCCTGGTACTCTTGAGACCACCATTACATAGCGCAAGATAAAAGACCACATGGAGAGGCCCAGTCATCATATTCAGTCCCCAGTCACCCTCCCAGCTGAATGCAGACAGCCCAGATGAGACTAGGAGAAGAACCACTCAACCAACCCACAGAACTGTGAGAAATGGTAAAGTATTTCTTTAAACCATTAAATTTGGGGGGAATGTTAAGCAGCAATAGGTCACCGATGATAAATTAATTAACCCTCATAGCACAACCTTAAGGTAGGTTGTACAGCTGAGGAAACTGACCCAGGTTAAGTAATCTGTCAAGGTCACACCACTCTTTTTTTCCGCCCCACACCACTCTTAAGCTCCCTAAGAACAGGATGAATGTATTGAAACACCAGCTTTGTGTTTCCTTCATTGTCATCCTGCCATCATGAACTTGATCAGTTCTTTCTGCCAAGGACAGAGACATCTCTTAGAGCCCTGGCTATAAGATAAACTCTTGTTATCTTTTTGATAAGCCGCATGCATAATGTGTCCTGATTTGACACATCTGTGGGCTTTCCTAGGACAGAGAAATGGACTGTGGGCTATCATTCTCAGCAGTTCAGCAAATACACACCACTCTGGTTTCTGAAGCTCAAGTAACACTTACTCCCAACATAAAATAATTCATTAACACCTCTGCATTCATTTTAGCCAGCAACAATAAGACAAACTCTGACAATTTACATCAGGGCCCACACAGTACATTTAAAAAAAAAAAAAAACCTAGTTGGGTGAATCTTACATTTAACACTTTCTTAATTGTTTTTTTTCTGTAACCCAAGTAGTAAACCACATACAAAAGACTCACCTTGAATTGTGAAGCTGTTTATCAAATGTTTAAGAGAATTTACACAAGAATGTTTTGACCCCACAAAAAATAATGTGCCTAAGCTTTAAACAAAATTCACATTTTATTTAGATTGAAATAAACTATACAAAATTGATTTTCTTCACCAAAAATAACAGCAATATTTTCCATATTTTTCTAGATAAACCACAACACTTATTTTGTAGGTTTTCCAGGTTTTGCTTATAAATCAAGATGAGGCAGTATATAAGAGTCATGGAAAAAGACAGAGAAAAAAAACAGACAAATCAGTTGTCAGTATCCATGGCCTCTGATTCTGTCTCAACCATGAAACAGAAGTGTTCAACATATACCTGCTAAAAAGCTTAGGAAGATGTAGGCTCCACAAAGGAATGTAAACAGCAACGAGATGTGGAACAACAGCAGGCTTTTCCATTCAAACTTTGTCATTTGTTTCTTTAAGTTCAAGAAAGACAAAATCTACACTGAAATCCTTGTTTGGTGAGCTCACAAGCTTTTCTCCGGTAATTTCTTGTAACTGTCCAGTATAGATTTTTAACATACTTAAAACTCCTATTAGTCAAAGGTCAATTGTGGGCTTCACTACAACATTTTATAAAATGTATTCCTTCCTCCCACACCTCTTCAAAATATATTTCTTCAAAGAATTCATAACACCCAACAAGTAGAGATCCACAGTGATAATAAATGCTATGTCTAAAATGACTTAACTGAAACAATTCCAGAGTGCCATCAACAGAGATCACGCAAAAGGAAACATGGCACTTTCAACGTTCTCTTCTGGAAGAACAGGTAGGTCTTCAAAGCTTGAGAGTTCAAACAGGGGCCATTTAAACAGGTAGATTATCAATGGCTAATGTATTCAATGGAGTCCTATAGGCAAAGATATTTAGTGATTAAGTGGTCTACATACACCTTACGGCTTTTTCTTCCAAATATCAAATATAAGAAAGCCTATTTTTAAAAGTCTCTTAGGTATTTTCCACAGTTTCGGAATTATCTGTAGGAAGCTCTGACTTACTTGTATAGAGTTTAATATATGTGTCCACCATTAAATCCAGGTCGTGTTTTATATCAAAATTTATGTTAAGCAAAGCCAAGTTACTTGACCTTTGGTCTGTCAAAGTGTTCCTCAAATATGCTTTAAGACGCTTTCGTCCATTTTCATACCGCTCATTCTCAACCTTCATCACAGGAAGAATACACAGGACCTTCAGCAATGCATACACATTAGGAAAAAACTTGATGTCAGGCAGGTGGAGGGCTTCATAGATGGTGGACGGAAGCTCTATATCTTTCCCCCTGTGTTTCCATTTGATTCTCCAACAATGAAGCTCAGCTGACAGCGTGTCAGGATTGGGTAAGTCACTTCTATACATGTCAGCATGGTGTTCCTCCGACGTATTGAATTTGAGTTGTCCCATGACTGAGGGTACCAGAGATAAGCATTTAAGAGCTTTGAGGTGCTGTTCTGAGAATATATCTTTAAGTTCCTGAATAATGTGCTCCACTGTTGGGACACTTAGGGTTTCTTTATAGTAACTCTCAGAGGTTAGCTGAGATTCCAAGTTACCCTGGTGAGCTCTGCGGAATTTCCCAGGGAGTTTCATTTGAATATCAAGTTTGGTTGCCAAATTTGTGGCTTCCTCAAACCAAAATTCATGATAAACTTCAATATTTTCCATCACTTCGTTGAGTGAATGCAGTACTGCAGTCAAGCTACCGGCCGCAAAGAAGACATCAGAGGTTTGCCCCTGGAGGTTTTTCCCAAAGGCTCTTGTAAAAGATAGGACATTTTTAAGAACAACAATAGTAACAATGAAATCAAAATCTGACACTGCACTGCAGAGTACAAATGCTCGGCCAGCTATATAGTTATTCCATCTAATATTTGTGTCACTATTTATACCATCTAAACATAAAACAAGTGCTTGCAGGAGTTCCACTAAAATTTCAAAAGCATCATGCCTGCCTGTCCACTGAGAATGGCAGATTTCCTTCAGTTCTTTACCCCTTTCTTTACTGTTCTGAAAAAGAACAGAAATTACGTTGTCAAGTTCTAAAAGCAGTTGTGGTGATCGATGGAAAAAAGAACAAACTTCCTCAATTGTTCCTAATGCAACAGATACTCCCATAACAGGTACTGATTTTGCCAACCACATATTTAAGGCACAGGAAGAGCAGAGTGTGTAGATAGCTTGGGGATATTTCTCTAAAAGTCTAGAAGCAACAACTTTCATTTTGGAAGAAAATCCACTAGAGACAATGTAAGCCTGGCCACGACAATACTCCATATTTAATCCCCACTTCTCAGTTATCATAGTGTGAAATTTCACAGCCAAAATTTCTGCATCGGCTTCATAAGGCAGGAAGCCTATAAATTCCTCTCTTAGGTTATGAGATTCATCAACAAACCTCACCAACACAGGTAGGTGCTCTTCCCCTGCTATGTCCACTACATCGTCAGTGATAATGGAAAAGAAGTGTGAGTCTCTCACTTCCCTGAGAGTTTCTTCTCGAATACAGCTCTCACAGATCTCTAGCATCTGCCTCTGCTGTGTTTTTGAACAAAACAACGTGTTAACTGCTGTTGTCTCAAACCGCTTTCTCAGAACCTCTTCACCAGAATTTATCCGACACTCCAGCAGTGCCTGAAAGTTATCTGGAGTAAAGAGACCTTCTGGGATTTCATCAGCCTCATGTCCATCCAGAGGTATGTTTTGCTTTCCCATCAGAATCAAGATTTCAAATAGAGATTTTAGGTATTCTTTGTTTTCCTTCTCTTCAAGGGTTAGAGGTAAAATGTCCTCATCTTGCCCTTCACCCTCTTCTTCGCTGGGGTTCTGAGCATTGCTATTGTTGGTTTCTTTATGTTTTTGTTCCTGCTCAGAAGTTTCATCAACTGGAAAACAAAGAATTAATTTTACAAACAGGCTCATGAAAAACCATACACAACAAAAAATATTACATCTTTGGTTAAATATTTAAAATCCACAAACTCATTCATTCAATATTCATAGGGTATTTACTAGACCACAGACTAGGACAGAGATTAAAATAAGACACTAAGATAAGACACATCCTAGTGGGAGAGACAAACAGTGTAAAGAGATATATTTTAATCCTAGATGTAAATGCTGTTACAAGATAGGAATAATTTTTTTTTTTTAAGAAGTAGAGCGGGGAGTCTCACTATGTTGCCCAGGCTGGTCTTGAACTCCTGGCCTCAAGTGATCCTCCCACCTCAGCTCCAAAGTACAAGGATTAAAGGTGTGAGATACCACATCCGGCCTAATTTTTAAAATACACTTAACAAGACTTTCCACATATGTAATGAATGACAGTCCATGCCCTCAGAAAAACAAAGTGGGACAGAACTAATTACTAAGGTACTGTGCTTAGTATTTTATATGCATCACATTACTCTCTGTTCAGGCAGGTGGTATCGGCCCCACTTGACAAACAAGGACACTAAGTAACTTGCCCAAGATCACAAATACAGTTAGAAGAATGGAAGTAAAGTTGAAATCCAAGTGCGTCTGGCTCCAAGATCCATGCTGATGCTGTTTTTATCAAACCATTATGCCACACATTTATATGGGAGATGGGACAGCTGTACAAACCAGTATAATATAAAGGAGATTAATGTAACTCTTAGGGCTAGTATTAGAATATCACACATCTTAGCCTAATCTCTTCACAGGGGATAGGAAAACTGAGGCCCTACAGGCTAAATGCCCTGCCCATAGTCATACAGGTCAGTGGTGTCTGCAGGAAAATAATCCAAATCTGAGGAGGCACAGTTAAAACCTAGTTCTTAGAACATAAGACTAGGGCCGGGGGTGCAGTGGCTTACGCCTGTAATCCCAGCACTTTGGGAGGCTGAGGTGGGTGGATCACGAGGTCAGGAGTTTGAGACCAGCCTGGCCAATATGGTGAAACCCCATCTCTACTAAAAATACAAAAATTAGCTGGGCGTGGTGGCACATGCCTGTAGTCCCAGCTACTCGGGAGGCTGAGGCAGGACAATTGCCTGAACCCAGGAGGCAGAGGTTATAGTTAGCCGAGATCGTGCCACTGCACTCCAGCCTGGGCAACAGAGTGAGACTCCGTCTCAAAAAGAAAAAAGACTATGGAGGGCGGTGGGGAGAAACAAAAATTCAGAAGTTGCATTTGATGACAAGGATAAATAAGGGGGACATGAACAAGGAGGGCATTTCAGTTGGTGAGAATTATTCTAGCACAAGCACTAAGGTAGAAGAGGGAAGCAGGCTGCCCAAGTACAAAGGGAAATCTAGTCTGACCGGAGCCTGTGTGAGCCATGCTTCAGAGCTTCATAAGGGTTCAGAAAAATGCAGGGAGCATCCTTCCTTCACCCCTCCTCAAATCAGATGACACTGCTATTCATTATATGTGACACAGCAGTGGTTCTATACTAGGGAGGCTTCCCAAGCCAGAAAGCAAGAGGTTATCCTGGACGCCTGCCTGTCTGGCTCCCTCCCTCTCTCCTCCATTATTTCTCCACTTCCAATTAACAAGTACTAATTCTCTTGCTTTTATTTTTTTCAAAAAGAAGTTCATTAAAGAGCAAAGAGTTCAAACTGAAAAGTCAAGTCCCTCTTCTTTTGGACATCTTTTTAGGTGTCATAGGTATACAAATTTCTTAAGTTCCTTGAATCTATTCCCTTTACTCTCTCTACCATTGCCTTAATTCAAGGCCTTTCAACTTTTATTTGGTCAGTTGACAGTCTAACTAGCCTCCATGCCTCCAGTGTTACCTTTTCTAATCCAACAGAGTACTCTATGTACCATGGAAATCAGGTCCCTGTTATCACCTACTTATAAACCCCTCAGTGGTTCCCTATTGCTAATAGCCCACAAGTCTGCAAGTTCTGGCCTCTGGGGTCCTCTCTAGGCTATTTTCTAACCATAATGGGTTATCACAAACTTTAACAACACTAAAATGAGTGTAGTTCCCCAAAACAGCACCCTGTTTCGTGCACAGAATACCTTTCCCTCTCTTTGCCC
This sequence comes from Homo sapiens, assembly GCF_000001405.40. Lineage (NCBI taxonomy): Eukaryota > Metazoa > Chordata > Mammalia > Primates > Hominidae > Homo > Homo sapiens. Next base: position 76,354,921 of record NC_000011.10, read on the forward strand.
AAGTCCATATCTCCTCATCCATAAAGAGGGAAATAACAGTACTTATCTCACGGCTATTGTGAGAATTAAATTAATTAATACAAGTAAAGCACTTAGAACAATGATTTGGCATCAGTAAGCACTCAATAAAATGCTACGTTAATAATAACAGCAATAGGAGGAAGAAACAGAGGAGGAGGAGTAACTAATAACTGACAAGAAGAAAAACAGCTTCTAGCCCTCGTCCTTTGGTGACATAATTCGGACATCAGCACCTCCAGAAAGGCTGTTGTGACCACTACTCACAATGGCACTATGTGCCCCCACAGCATTTAGTCCTTAAACATTTACAAAGAATTTATTACATACCACAACTGGGTGGACAGAAAAAGAGATTCAGTGCATGCCTCTACTGTTGCCCTTCCTTCCCTACAATGGAGCACTGTGTGCCTGCCACCCCTACCACACTGAGAGAGGAGGCGTCACCTCCATGAGGCCTGCATATAGCATAGTGTGTGGCATTGCAGCACTCAATAAAGACAAACTAAAATTAGACTTTAGTCTCATAGATAATTCCAAAACACAGGACAAAATTGAGCACACTCCTACATTCATTCTCAAGGTAGGTTTTCAACACAGAACATATTTATTTGTCCTTACCAGGTCAAGGCCTTTTTAAAAGGCATTCAGAAGTTGAGTCATTAACACTATCACTTACTTTTTTTCTGTTTCAGTGTCCTGATTTCATCTTCACTCTAAATGTCAAGAAAAAAAAAGAAAAAAACAAATCATCTTTAAAAAACTGACCTCTAGTGTATCATCTTAGACTCACAAATACAAATGCCTATTCTGAGTCAATTTAATTCTTTCAAGAGCATAAATTCTTTATATAGTACACATTCTTCAAACAAACAGACAATGAGAAAACCAGAATAAGCTGTTAATGACTCCAAGGTTATAACAAAGTCTTAGGGAAAAAAGAATACATCATTTTGCTTATTTTCTACCTAAATCATCGTAACTTTGGGTTATAAGTGTTTACTGGCTAATGAAAGGCACAAAAATACACCATGGCACTTGGAGTTAAATTCAAGAGGACACAAATCATCTTACTTCCCAATTTAACCCTGGAGATGTCCCATAAGAAGGAGGTTGCTGAATCTCAGGACTCAACACAAAAGTGATGAGAAATCCCTGAGAAGCAGAAGGTGAAAGTACCAGCATGGAAGAGATACACAGAGCATACACAGAGCATAGTAGGCCAAGTGGCACCAATAGGGTTAGACAAAGGAAGAACTTTCCAGCTGCATCCTTTACTTTCCTTCCAACCCTCTACAATGCTTAAATCATGAGCCACCTGTTACTTTCTGTGGCAGAAAAGCAGCAATGCCAGTGACAGCTGAAGACAGCAGGATGCCTGTTGGGCAGCACTGGACATGGTGCTGATAACAAGAAACATCAGCAGGCTGGTCAACCTGGACATCCCCTCCTTATCCTACGGACTGCACGTTTATAAGGATGGTGGGTCAGGAAGAGTATGCCTGCTGTGAGATATGTGAGGCTCTCTGAGGGACAGACTACAGGGAAATGATAGCTACAGGACAGCAAGTGATTGAGCTCCTCATCCTGATACATATTACACTTCATATCTATGGATTTAACCAACCATGCATTGAAAATGCTGGGGAAAAAATGGATGGTTGTATCTATCTTGAACATGTACAGACTTTTTTTCTCATTCTTCCCCTACATAACGTAGCATAACTATTTACATAGCATTTACATTGTAGTAGGTGTTACAAACACATAAATGTATTAAGTATCATAAATAATCTAGGTATTATTTGAAAATGGATGGTTGTGCCGGGCATGGTGGCTCACGTCTGTAATCCCAGCACTTTGGGAAGCTGAGGCGGGAGGATCACCTGAGGTCGGGAGTTCAAGACCAGCCTGACCAACATGGAGAACCCTCGTCTCTACTAAAAATACAAAAAGAGCCGGGCGTGGTGGCACATGCCTGTGATCCCAGCTACTCGGGGGGCTGAGGCAGGAGAATTGCTTGAACCCGGGAGGCGGAGGTTGCGGTGAGCTGAGATCGCACCCTTGCACTCCAGCCTGGGCAACAAGAGCGAGACTCTGTCTCAAAAAAAAAAAAAAGAAAAGGATGGTTGTGTCTATACTGAACACACAGATTTTTGTTCTTGTCATTATTCTCTAAACAATGTAACAGAACAACTATTTACATAGCACTACATTGTATTAGGTATTATAAATGATTTAAAGTCACGGGAGGATGTGTGTAAGTTATATGCAAATACTACACCACTGTATATAAGGGAATCAAGTATCTGTGGATTTTGCTCTCTGAGGGAAGCTCCTGGAATCAGTCCTCCATGGACACCAAGAAGAAAGCTGATATGGAGGACTGTAATGTAAGTGTCAGTATTCATCTAAGTCCCAGGAAAATAGAAATAAACAAATAGAGGGGAAAATGCATAAAGAAAAATAAAAACTAAGGATTTCTCAGAATTTAAGGTGTAAGTCCTCAGTTGTAAGATGACAAATTAAGGTACATAAAAAAAAAACTCACATCTAGATACAGGTTAGCAAATTTTAAAATGTCAAATATAAAGAAACCTTCTAAAAAGCTTTGAGGGAGAAAAGAAGATTACCTAAAAAGGAACAAGAATCAGGCTGGCACAGACTTGAATAGCAATAATGGATGCAAAAAAATCAGAAAGAATCAACATCACATAGACTATATGTATCCTCTACGTATCTCTTAATAACATTTAAAATTTAAAATATCATATAGCAATTAAAAATAATTCCACATCTGGAAACTAAGAAAAACAATCCTATGTTAACAAAATAGAGAAATTACAAAATACCTACAGCCAGACATGACAACACTATATGTCTAAAGTTGTAGGGTATAGCTAAAATGGACCTAAGAGAGACTTTTATAGCTTTGAATACACATAAATATGAGCTAAACATTCAAGAAGCTAGAAAAAGAGTCAAAAAATAAATCACCCTAATCAAAGAAAAACCAATAAAATAGTTCATAAGTACAACAATCACTGACAAAACTACTGGTTCTTTGAAAAGATTATTAAAGTTTCATAAACTTTTAGAAACATTAACAAAACACAAGAAAGAAAGAAAACCAATAAAGATAGCAGAATGGCAATCAAAACTTTCCCTCATCCACCGCAAGCCATCTAATGGTTTTACCAAGTTCTACCTTACTTTCAAGAGCAGATAACATCTACCTACACAAATTTTTCTAGGAGAAAAAAAAAAAAAAGATACCCAACTTATTTTATGAGGCCAATAGAACCTTGATATTATAACTGGGTAATAAGAGTACATGAAAAGAAGGCTACAGACCAAGATTCACAAATGTAAAATCCTAAATAAAATATTGACCAATTGAATCCAATGGTATATAAAAGCAAATAGACATATTGCAGTCAACTAGAGTTCATTACAGAAATGCAGATGGTTCACAGAAAATCCATTAGTATTACTTATTGCATTAAAGAATGAAAAAAATGAACTTGTCTATTAAATACATGCAATGAAAGCATGTGATAAGTTAAATATAAAAACAGAATATAGGTCAGGCGTGGTGGCTCACTATTGTAATCCCAGCACTTTGGGGAGCTGAGGTAAGAGGACTGCTTGAGCCCAGGAGTTTGAGACCAAACTGGGCAACATGGCATGACTCCATCTATAAAAAAAAATACAAAAAAATAAGCCAGGCATGGTGGCACACACCTGTGGTCCCAGCTACTTGGGAGGCTGAGGTAAGAGGATTGCTTCAGCCCAGGAGGTGGAGGCTGCAGTGAGCAGTGTCTGCCCCACTGCACTCTGGCTTGGGTGACAGAGTGAGACCCCATCTTAAAAAAAAACAACAAAACTCTGAATATGGGAGTAGAAGGGAATTTCCTTAACTTGATAAAAACTATCTAACAATACCAACAGCAAACATTATACTTAATGGGGCAAGGCAAGTATGACATTACTAGAATTGTTCAACATAGTACCAGGGATCTTGACTAAACAAGACAGGCAACAGAAAAAATTAAAATAATAAGAACTGAAAGAGACAAATTTCTCCTTATTTGCAGATGATACAATCAGTAACAGAGGAAAAACTCAGAAGACTTACTAGGATTAACTTAAAAAGAAGTTCTTCAAAAGTGCTGGAAACAATTTCAACCAGAATATATCATCTATACCAGTAAGAACCATAATGTATTTAAGAAGTGATCTAAGAATGCATACATTCTCATTTAAACAACTGTAACAAAAGCTCTCAAAATTTTTCGTTTTCTGTACTCCTAAAAGTATTCTAATATTCTTTTCAAAAAACTAGTATTTAGTTTTGTCAATGATTGCTGTTATTTGATAGGTATTTTATGGGATTTTTTTTCTCTTCATGGATAGAACTAGTTAATACTTTACAATAGTTTATACTGTAACAGTAAACTAGTAATATTCGTTTACTAACAGTAATACTAAACTAGTAATAAATTTACAATAGCTAATATTGTAAAGATGTCAATTCAAAGCAATTATAATGAAAATCCCAAAAGAAGTTCTAGGAGAACTTGACAAAAGGACTTTCAAATTCATATGGAGGAGGCCGGTGGCTCACGTCTATAATCCCAGCACTTTGGGAGGCCGAGGTGGGCGGATCACTTGAGGTCAGGAGTTGGAGACCAGCCTGGCTGACATGGCAAAACCGCGTCTCTACTAAAAATACAAAATTAGTCAGGCGTGGTGGTGAGCGCCTGTAGTCTCAGCTACTTGGAAGGCTGAGGCAGGAGAATTGCTGGAAACCGGGAGGTGGAGGTTGCAGTGAGCCAAGATCATGCCACTGCACTCCAGCCTGGGTGAGAGTGAGACTCTGTCTCGGGGGGGAAAAAAAAAATCCATAGGGAAGAATAAAGGTCCACAAATAGTTAAGAAAAAGAAGAGTTAAACAATCACCTTATTTGAAAGTAAGATATATTACAATGCCATGGTAATAAAACAGTGTGGTATAGTTGCAAACAAATAATACAGTGAAATGGAACAGAACTCCCCAAAACAGCCTCATGTAAACTTGTTATATAACAGAGGTGGCATTTTATACCAGTGGACGAAAGGAAGAACTAACAGACCATGTTGGGAAAACAGTTTCTCTATAAGGAGAAAAAGTTATTATAGATCCCTACTGTACATCATACATACTAACTCCAAATGGATAAAATATCTAAATAGAAAGGTAAGCATAGAATAAGGAAAATTAGATAAATGCTATCTTTAAAAAGCACACAGTAGGTGGACTGATAGGACATATATTAAATACACTAGCATGGACACCAACTGGTAGGGAAAGGAATGGTAATGGTAATAGTGGGTGAAGAAGGAAAAATAATAAAGCAAAATAAGGGCCTTGCTAGTGGCAATGATGACAAAAAGCCATGGACTAAGGAGTTACTGTACTTCTGTTCACCTAAGGTCAACAAAATACAGATAGGTGTCAATCCTCAGAACTGAAGGATATCCAAGGAACATAAGAATATGTGTAAATTATGCCATATACAGAAATTTCAGTGTTTTTTTCTAAACCCTGTACATATTTAATAGTGATAGAAACCTTATCTTTAAAACATTCCATGTCTCCACTTTTACACTTTCCCTTTCTTTATTCCTTTGTGCTGAACTCTGGAAACACCTCAGCTCTATTTTCCTTACTATGAAAGAAAAGGTAGCTTTTTCCTTCTTCTCCAGAAGGGAATGAGCTAGTGGCCTGTAATTAACAGCACACTCTGGACCAAGTCAACAAGTATCAACTGGCTAACTCTGAGGGAGATTTTCCAATTTAAATACTAAAACTCATCATCTCACATCTAGGCTATTTAACAACCATAACATTTATTTCCCGTTACATTACCTCTGAAATAGAGAGTAATTTGGATTAATTTTAACATAAATGCATCTGTATTTGATTTCATAGTATTATGGGGGAAGGTGGGAAAGCTGAAAGTACATAGACATACCAGTTCTTTTATTCGTTTTCTGTGTCTACTATGTGGGTTGTTCAAATGACTGGTAAGATCAAATATTGTTGGTATTGCATTATCTCGAAGAACTGTCCTATAAGGACTCTGAAAAAGAAAATTGTGTTAATTCAGAGATGGTCCTTATAAATATATTACACATCAATAAAATTCTATGTTAATGACCTCCACAATATTCCTTCAACTCCAGCTCTAAAGTATAGAGACTTACAGAATTTGATGTCAGTTCAGGTCAGTCTACTATTTCCAACTGTGCCTGCATTTGCCCTTCTGGCAATCTATTATAAATTAAGAAACTGAATTGAAGGTAGGCATAAAATATAAAATGTACTTGCATTTTGCATATCTGTTTCTAATTCAGCATCCCAGCTACTTTATCTGTACTGTCCTTCCATGAGCCCACCAAATCTACAGGAGGTACAAGTCTCCCAAAATAATCTGCACTCTTGTATGTTCCATAATAATGCATCCCTATTTTACCTAATGTTCCACTTTTGCTAATATTACTGAGAAGCATCAAGGCACAGTGAAAATATTGGACTGGGACCCAGGAGACCTAGGAACTAGTCCAAACTCTACCAGTGAGTGACTCACTAAGACACCCTGGCTAAATTACTTTCCCTTTTTGGGCCCCAGTTTCTTTTTCTGAATAAAATTCTGGTATTGAACTAGATCAACATTTCCTAAAATGAAATTATTCACATACTAATGATCACAATGCTTGCCATTTCAGTTATATTACCATCTGTATTTTTACACAATCTACTCATTTTTTAGTTAACACTGTCTTAAGTAATAAAACTGTAGGAAGAATGATCTGATGTTATCTTATGTTTTTAAAAAAGTTTTTAAACATGTTTTTAACACATACTACAAAACTTCTAAAATAAAAATTGATTCATCTGCCACATGAAACCAACTCTCACGCCACAAGTGATACTGATATACATAATCACATTTTTGCAAATGCTAATCTAGGTATTTCTGTATCTCTTTCAAGTCCTAATCATCTTATGAAAGAATGATCATACTCTACCCTACTTCCTGTTAATTTCATCCAACTTGGCTAGAAGCTGGATGCATACTTAGATGGTAACGGTCCTACTGCCAGCCCTGAGGAGGCTGAGTAAAAGACAAGAAGCTTATTAAGAGGGACAGTAATAAATAACTGCTATTACACTCCCCTCAGACAGTCCAAAGAATAGTGCCTTTAATTTCTTCCTGAATTTGGAATGATAAAGATAAGACATACTTCATTTAAATAAGCTTTCTTTGAAGCAGTGATTATTTCAAAATATCTAAGCATGCTCAAAGAACATGCCAAACAAAAATAACAACTTCTAAATTTGTTCACCCAAGGAAGGGAGGTTGGGAAGACATGAAGGGAAAACATGTATCTAAATGGAACACACTATCTTGGGTTGTACCCAAAGAGTTGTTAAACACATTTGGGATGAATTTCTATTCAGAGTCAATATTTTCTAGTTCAATTCCATGCCATAATAGAAAACACAAAGATGATTCTCTGACTTCCTAGTAACACTCAACTTCTAGTGCTGGGCTCGTGATCCTGAGTCTACTAGGGAGGCTGAATGAGGAATTGGTTAGGGACACAATCACTGAAGGGAGTACAAGTTATTATATTCAAAGCTCCCCCATCTTTCACACCGAGCAAATGTCCCCAAAATAAGCAAAAACACATACACAGTCAATTCTTGATATCTTACTAATTATTAAATAAGGAGGGGAGGAATAAAACATTTTAACAAATTTTTAAAAGTCAAATCAAATTGATTTTCTATTTGCAAATAAAGCAAAGATATTATAGATCAGAAAACAGAATGTATGAATGAAAAAAATGACATTTTACAAATATTTATTTTGGCCAGGAATGTTGGCTCACACCTGTAATTCCAACACTTTGGGAGGCCTTGGCCGGGTAGACGGCTTGACCCCAGGAGTTCAAGACCAGCTTAGGTAACACGGCAAAACTCCATCTCTACAAAAAATACAAAAATTAGCGAGGTATGGTGGCATGTGCCTGTAGTTCCAGCTACTTGGGAGGCTCAGCGGGGAGGATTGCTTGAGCCTGGGAGGTCGGGGCTGCAGTGAGCCATGGCTGCGCCACTGCACCCCAGCTTAGGCAACAGAGTGAGACCCTATTTCAAAAAAAAATAATAATAATAAAAAATATAAATATCTATAAGGACACATGCCAAAAAAGACAATATTCAAATACTACGTATGATACCAAGTATCTCAGTATCAAGATTTAATCTTTAACTGCTGAATTAAGGTTTGAGCATAAAAGAATAATCTTACTCTAGCATCAAAATAATAAAATATTTGGCTCCGGCCAAATTCAGTAGTCATGAATGTTTACTGATGAAATCTTTTTTTTTTTGTCTGTTTAAAGACAGGGTCTCACCACCATGTTGCCCAGGCTGGCTCTGAATTCCTAGGCTCAAGCAATCCTTCAGCCTTGGACTCCTGAGTAGCTGGGACTACAGACACGTGCCACTGTGCCTTGCTACTGATGAGATCTTCAATGCCAAACTAATAAAGCCAAAACTCTTAAACATTTAGATACAGATATCAGAAAATCCAGGGGTTTTTGTTTGTTTGTTTTTGAGACACAGTCTCACTCTGTCACCAAGGCTGAAGTGCAGTGGCACAATCTTGGCTCACTGCAACCTCGGCCTCCTTGGTTCAAGCGATTCTCCTGTTTCAGCCTCCTGAGCAGCTGGGATTACACGTGTGCACCGCCATGCCCAGCAAAATTTTTTTTGTTTTGTTTTGTTTGGTATTTTTAGTAGAGAAGGGGTTTCCCCGTTGGCCAGGCTGGTCTCAAACTCCTGACCGCAAATGATCTGCCCGCCTCAGCCTCCCAAAGTGCTGGGATTACAGGTGTGAGCTACCATATCCAGCCCAGAAATCCAGTTTTTAATAACAACATCTCCTAGACGTATAGAAAGAACATTTTCTCACATTTGCGTTCATTTATTCAAGATTGAAGAATCATTTAGAAATTAAAAAAGCAAACCTGGCTCATCTTTCTGTTCTATTCTCTAACTAAAGAATGTAAGAATGAACTATCCTTTAAATTTCTCACAATCTGGTTAGAATTATCTAATTAAGAGACCATATTTATTACTAAAATAAAAATGCAAAAATGCATATGGCAAATGTATTTAAAATAATTTGGGATATTTTTACTTCATGTCAAGAACATAAAAGTAGTTTGCCTTTTAAACATATGAAACCTTTTATTTTGGTTGATCATTATTACCCTTTTAACAAATCAAGGCAAAAATATTCCTCAAATATTTGTGATTAAACTGTTGAACCGGAATTGGCTCACCTCCCAATGACTTCACAAGTATCTGCTTCAATTAATTTTGAGAAATAAAATAACCCAATCATTCTTTAGTTTTCTGATGCCTCTGCAAAATGTATCTGAAAAAAATATCAAAATAAATTGCTGCATAACAACATATAGTGTACCTTTGAATCAAGTTTATGTCTATCCCAATATCTGAGGTGTTACATTAGTTACACTGAAACAAGTCTGCTTCATTTCAATCAAATTTGCCTTATTTGTGCCTTTTATAAATCACAGCAAGAGAATCACAGAGGGTTAAAAATCTTAGAACTCAGGAATTACCTGGCCTAATCTCCTTATTAGGAACTGGGGCCCAAAGAGGGGAAGTGACTTGGCCAAGCTCACACAGTTAACAGTAGGTCCTGATATGAAATTACATATTATTGATGAAAATGTTTTTCCACATTACCTGGATAATTTGTTTACCATTATATCTACCACATAAAAATTAAAAGTTGGTTCTAATAGTACATACAAAAACATGAAAACAAGAGCTCCATTCCGAGATGAAAATTTTACTCATAAAAAAGCTCTAAAGAGCTCCAAATAAAAACACCAACTTTACCTTAAATAAACATATACTTTTATAATCATCTAAAATTTTCCTGAAGACTAAATAATATTTAAAAGTGGTTACCTCAGCCGGGTGTGGAGGCTCATACATGTAATCCCAGCACTTTGGGAGGCCGAGGTGGGCGGGTCACTTGAGGTCAGGAGATTGAGACTAGCCTGGCCAACATGGAGAAATCCCACCTCTACTAAAAGTACAAAAATTAGCTGGGCGTGGTGGCACAATGCCTGTAATCTCAGCTACTTGGGAGGCTGAGGAGAGAGAATCGCTTGAGCCCAGGAGGTGGGGGAGGTGGCAGAAGTTGCAGTGAGCTAAGATAGCGCCACTGCACTCCAGCCTGGGTGACAGAGCAAGACTGTCTTTAAAAAAAAAAAAAAAAAAAGTAGTTACCTTGGGTGAGTAGAAATGGGGCACCAGGAACCGAAGAGTTTTGTTTTGTTTTGTTTTGTTTTAATCATTTTGAGTTTTTTTTCCAGACAAGCGCTCACTCTGTCGCCCAGAGTGGAGTGTAGTGGCATGAACACAACTCTCTGCAGCCCCGACGTCATGGGCTCAAGTATCCTCCCATCTCAGCTTCCCAAGTAGCTGGGACTACAGGCATACGTCACCACACCTCGCTAGTTTTTTTGGTATTTTCTGTAGCGACGGCATCTGGCCATGTTGCCCAGGCTGGTCTCAAACTCCTGAGCTCAAGTGGTCTTCCTGCCTCGGCCTCCCAAAGTGCTGGGATTATAGGCCCCCGGCAAAATCAGGATTTTAAGAACAAAACAGATACTTTTCAGCTCCAAATCTGTCTTCATCTTAAAGTGGCAGGATATAGGAATACCTTCCAACATTGGTAAATACTTACATTTCCAACCAGACACAGTGAGAGAGAGAAATCAAGTCAAACAGAGAGACACCAAGCTCTTCTATTACTCACAGTTCTACAGATCATAGAGGTCTCAAAATGTTTGGCACATAATCGATAATGTTTATTTAGCTGATCAGGTGTTTTATCTTCTAAGTCTGCTCTCCTACAGTTCTCCACCCACTTCTGGCATCTATAAATAAAACCAAAATACAATTATGAAAATGAGCTCAGCATTTAAATTTCAGCCTTCAGTTTTAAGGCAAACATACATTAATAACAACGGATTCCTGCTCCCCTCCCTGAGAACATAATTTGGAGAATTTGATTAATAACAAAATAACAGTTGGAAAAAACCTTAGAAGTCATTTAGTACCAACATTTCAATTACAGACAAGGTTAAGAAGTAACTTGTTTGGAGGGAAGTACAAAATCATCAGCAGAACTAGAACTGAAACCTGCATCTTCCAACTCCCAAAACATCAGAGAAGATTCAACCATCAGCAGAACAAGCAGAAAGCTGCATGCACAGCCACAAGGCTCACAGCTTAACATTCCCTTCAGGATTTCAACTTCAACAAGCATACAAAACAACACTGTCACTGTAGAAAATCAGCAATTAGGCCGGGCGTGTTGTCACGCCTGTAATCCCAGCACTTTGGGAGGCCAAGGCAGGCAGATCAGGAGGTCAGGAGATCGAGACCATCCTGGCTAACCCGGTGAAACCCCGTCTCTACTAAAAATACAAAAAATTAGCTGGGCGAAGCGGCGAGCGCCTGTAGTCCCAGCTACTCGGGAGGCTGAGGCAGGAGAATGGCGTGAACCCGGGAGGCGGAGCTTGCAGTGAGCCGAGATTGCGCCACTGCACTCCAGCCTGGGTGACAGAGCCAGACTCCGTCTCGGAAAAAAAAAAAAAAATCAGCAACTAGATGTTCTTTAAATAACTAGTTTCTAAGGGAAGCATAAAGGCTGTATTCGTTTATCTTCCTATGAACACAAATTATTATCTACAGTAATACGTGCTGACTAGATTGCAAGCTCCATGAATGCAGGGACTGTGACTACACAATCTAGTACACAAAAAGTGTTGAAGACAGAGAACAAGACAAAGTCCATGCCCTCTCGGTGCTTAAATATTTTCAGAAAAGCTAATAATAAGCACTTATTATGAGCCAGACACGTTCTAAGTCCTTTCCAAAGATGGGTACTATTAATATCCCCCTTGTGCAGATGAAGGCACAGAAATATTAAGTAACTTGCTAAAGTCACAACTAGATCTTTCCTCAAATTTCTTTTCTTTTCTTTTTTTTTTTTGAGACAGAGTTTTGCTCTTGTTGCCCAGGTTGGAGTGCAATGCCATGATCTTGGCTCACTGCAACCTCTGCTTCCCGGGTTCAAGCGATTCTCCTGTCTCAGCCTCCCAAGTAGCTAGGATTACAGGCATGCGTTACCACGCCTGGCTAATTTTGTATTTTTAGTAGAGACTGGGTTTCTCCATGTTGGTCAGGCTGGTCTCGAACTCCCGACCTCAGGTGATCTGCCCGCCTCGGCCTCCCAAAGTGCTGGGATTACAGGCGTGAGCCACCGCGCCCGGCCCATTCCTCAAATTTCTAAGAATAAAAGTTCTGCCGTGGATAAACAGTATCACAAATTATTTTTTTGAGATGGTGTCTTGCTCTTTAGCCCAGGGTGGAGTGCAGTGGTGTGATCTCAGCTCACTGCAACCTCTGCCTCCCAGGTTCAAGCAATTCTCCTGCCTCAGCCACCCAAGGAGCTGAGATTATAGGCGTGCACCACGACACTCAGCTAAGTTTTGTATTTATAGTACAGATGGGGTTTCAGCACGTTGGCTAGCTTGGTCTCGAACTCCAGATCGCAGGTGATCTGCCCACCTTGGCCTCCCAAAGTGCTAGGATTACAGGCGCGAGCCACTGCGCCCGGCCCAACATATTCCTTTATAATTAAATCACAGTATTTTTTTTTTATGTTTTAACACTATTGTCCACCTCCCCCCAACATACATGCCCCTGACACTTAATTCTCTCTACTCTAAAAATGTCAAATCAAGGTAAAATGCTATGATTTTTAAAAAACTACACCTAAATTGTACAGCATTTCATTTGACCAACAAGTATTACTGCTCACAGTAACGATGCCTAAGATGTTCACAATTTAATCACACTTTTACACAGTTGTACATTATGATTATAAACATTTCATGTTTCAAAATCCAAATATTAAGTATAAAAACGATCTCACTATAAAATAATTTGCCATACTGCTACAGTTGTTTGTTTTTTAAATTCTTAAATCTCTGGAGACCTTCCACACAGAGCAATACTGTACATATTACCTCCGAACTAAGTTGAAACAGCTTTCTGATATCAACAGCAACTCTTATTCAGACAATCAAGAACAGAATGGGCATCAGGCAGAGAGCCTAATCAAATACACCTGACTTTCTATATGAACTACTTAAGAATAAATCTAGTGAAAGAAGTGCAAGACCTCTAATAATCTTTTTAAAGCAAACTTAAATAAATACACAAGTTTATGAACTGGCACACTAAATTCCAAAGATGTCAATTCTCCCCAAACCCATTTACTAATTCAATATAATCACAAGCCCAGTAAGTTTGTGAGAGAGAGCAAGAGAAAGAAATGACAAATTATTCTAAAACTTTTTATACACAACATTAAAGAACCAGGGATAACCAAGATAATCTTGAGAGAGAGAGAGGAAAAAGGAGGTTGAAAGAATTACACTACCAGATATTAAGACTTACTGTAAAGCTTATTAAGACAAGTACTGGCAGAAGGACAGAACAGTGAAACAAAATAGAGCACTGCAGATACTTAAAGGTAGCTCTGAACAGCAGCAAATATGGATTTTTCTTTTCCAATAAATAGGGCCGAGTCAGCTGAATATCTACATGAAAAAAATAAATCTTAACTCCTACTTGTACACCATACACAAAAATAAGTTCCAAGTGATTGGAGATCTAAATATGAAAGGTAAAACAATAAAGCCACTAAAAGATAACACAGGAGATTATCTTCATGACCTTGGAATAAAGATCTCTTAAGGCAACAGCACAAATGCTAGAGGAAAAGATATATAAATTAGGCTACTTTAAAGTTAATAACTTTTCTTCATTAAAAGAAGCCATTTAAGAGTGAAATGGCAGACCACAAAATGTCAGATATTTGCAATACATATATCTAACAATGGACTCACATTCAAAATATATATGAAGAACTCCTACAAATAAATAACCCAACATAAAAATAGGCAAGGGGCCTTGAACAGGCACTTTATAATAAAAAGGTTATAAAAATGGCAATACATAGATGAAAAAAAAATGCTCGATCTCATTTGCCATCAGGGAAATGCTAATTAAAGCCAAAACAAATTACTACATACCCACAAGAATGACTACAATGTAAAAGAGGTAATACCAAATATTGGGGAGAAGGTGAAGTAACTTTGCCCATCAACAGCAGGATGGATAAATTGTGGTATATTCATTCAATGGAATACTACTTGGCTATGAAATGAACAAACTATCTACAATCTCACAAACGTAATGTTAAGCAGAAGAAGCCAGGAGTACATACTACATGATTCCTTTGATATGAAATTCTAGAACAGGCAAAACTCATTCATAGTGATTGTTCAGAAAAAGAGTTAACACAGCAGACCTCAGGCTGCTGTCCTTAGAAAGGCCTGTTTGTTAAGGACCTTGGGCTGGTATCCGGGAACTTGGTTGGTAAACAGTTCCATACACAGAAATAAAATTTTTCCTAACTGATAATGCAGCTCAATGTGCCTAGACTGCTTGTGCAAACAAGCACACCTGCTGAACACCTGCCATCCCTTCTGGGAATTTGGAATTTTATTATATGCCAGGCAGAGGCTGCCTATGTGATCAGGACCCAGTAAAAACCTCGGACACTACGTCTCTAACGGTCTTCTCTCCACAGAAACACGGCACGTGTTGCCACATTTCCACCACTGGGGAAAAACGGGCTCTGGGTGACCCCCTCATGGGAAAGACGGAGCATAGGGAAGCCTATACATGGATTCCTTCAGACTGTGCCTGTCTTTTTCCCTCATGATCCAGATGTGTATCCTTACTACAATGCAATAAATCTTCACTGTGAGTACAACCATATACTGAGTCCTGCAAGCCCTTCTAGTGAATCTTTAAATATGGGGTGGTCTGGCTCCGCCTCAACACAGTGATGGAATAGCAGATACATTTGGGGAGGGTAACAACTGGGAGTGGGCACAAAAGAGGCTACTGAGGTGCTGCTAATGTTCTATATCTCAAACAATAATAAAGCTTCCATTCATTCTCCCTCTTCCCCCCAAAACCTAACTAATCCAAGGTATGTGAAGTCACAGTGGCTACCACTGGGGAGAATGGGATAATGGCTGGGAGAACCATGAAGCAGAGGAAGTTTGGGACGCTAGTGATACTCTATTTTTTAAAAATCCCGGTGAAATTTTCATGGATATGTTACTCTGAAAATCCAACATGATGTACAGTTATCATTTGTGATCTTCTGTGCATATGTTTTTTGGGGTTTTTTTTTGAGAGAGAGGATCTCACTCTGTTGCACAGGCTGGAGTGCAGTGGTGCAATCTCGGCTCACTGCAGCCTCCATCTCCTGGGTTCAAGCGATTCTCCCACCTCAGTCTCCCATGTAGCTGGGACTACAGGCACACGCCACCATGCCTGGCTAACTTTTTGTATTTTTTGTAGAGACGGGGTTTCACCATGTTCCCCAGGTTAGTCTGAAACGCCTGGGTGAAGTGATCGTCCTGCCTCGGCCTCCCAAGGTGCTAGGATTACAGGCATGAGCCACCGCACGTAGCTCTTCTATGTATACGTTTTTACATGAATAAAATTATAAAAATTATATATGACCGGGAGGCTGAGGTAGGAGAATCACTTGAATCCGGGAGGTGGAGGTTGCAGTAGGCCAAGATCGCACCACTGCACTCCAGCCTGGCAAGAGAGCGAGACTCCGTCTCAAAAAAAAAGAAAAAAAAAAAAAATATATATATATATGACCACAATAAGTGTTTTCACATGTGTATTCATATGTGTATTATGAATATGTATATATATTTATATACATACATACCCACTTACATACTCGTCTCAAATTTTTACCAATGCCTCCCCTTTCCCAGCTCTCCCTGTCATTGTTCTGTTCCCTGTACTCCAGATTTTGTAGACTTTTCCCTTAGCACAGTGGAATGACTCCCCAAATCCATCTGCTTCTCTCCATCAATAACACCCTGGTCCAAGCTACCATAATTTTTTACCTGGTCTACTAGTATCTCTTCCAAACTGGTCATCTGCCCTTCTCTAACCCCTTCTCCGTGCTGCAGAGCATTTTTTAAAGCCAATTTGAGAATGTCTCTCCCATGCTTAAGCTTTTAGTGGCTTCTCATTACTCTCAGGATAAACAACTGTGTTCACTTCTATCCTGGGGCCTTCCCTGCGCTGTTTACTCAGCCTACTACACTCTTCTTGCTGCTTTTTATACACTTCCTATGCACAGTTAACTATGACTCAGCCTTCAGATCTTAGCGCAAATGTCATTTCTTGAGGGAAAGTTTTCCTGACTCACATGTGTACATATATGTGGGTGTATGTGTATGAATATGTATGCACACAGAAAACTCCAGGCATTTAAGACTTTCCACCTCTCCATGTATAATATCTCAACTCCCTACATTTATCTTACTATATTATTCCCACAGTGTAAACATGCCCTAATGTCTCCCATCTTTAAAACTCTCTTAATCCTGATCCTCTTTATAGCAAAACTTGTTAAAGCATCCATTTGGACTGCATCCACTTATCTTGTTGTACTGTCTCCTTAATCAATGCCAAGGAGGCTCCTACTCTATCCCTTTTCCACTGAAACTGCTCAAGAAAATTACTAACGACCCTATCCTGCCAAATCCAACGGTCACTTTCCTGTACAGATTTTATTTCATTTTTAACTTTTCTTTTTTTTTTTTTTTTTTTTTGGTGGAGTCTTGCTCTTGTCGCTCAGGCTGGAGTGCAGTGGCACAATCTTGGCTCCCTGCAACCTCTGCCTCCTGGGTTCAAGCTACTCTACTGCCTCAGCCTCCTGAGTAGCTGGGATTACAGGCACCCCCCACCATGCCCGGTTAATTTTTGTACTTTTAGTAGAGATGGGGTTTCGCTATGTTGGCCAGGCTGGTCTCGAACCCCTGACCAGGTGATCCACCCGCCTCGGCCTCCCAAAGTGCTGGGATTACAGGCGTGAGCCATCGTGCCTGGCCTATCTTTTATTTCATTTTTAAAGTAATGAGAAGAGGTGTCATTATGTTGCCCAGGTGGGTCTCAAACTCCCGGGCTCAAGCGATCCTCCCGCCTAAACCTCACAAAGTGCTGGGATTACAGGCGTGAGCCACTGCGTGCAGCCACTTTCTGTACACACCTTAAACACCTTCAGCACTAGTCAACCATCACTGATTACTTCTTTGTTTTGTTTTTGATGTTTTTCCCTCATTGGTTTCTTACTAATGCAGCATTTCTAAAAGTGTATTCCAAGGAATCCTGTTCAAAGAATTGCTTCTAAAAAAAAAAAAGAGAGAGAGAGACAGGGCCTCAATCTGTCGCCCAGGCTGTAGCACACTGGTGCAATCATAGCTCATTCTAAGTTCAAACTCCTGGGTTTAAGCCATCCTCCTGCCTCAGCCTCTCAAAGTGCTGGGATTACAGGCCTGAGTGACTATGCCCAGTCAGAACTGTTACATTTAAAAAAAAAAAAAAAAAAGGGACCGGGCATGGTGGCTCATAATACCAGCACTTTGAGAGGCCAAGGCAAGAGGATCACTTGAGGCTAGGAGTTCAAGACCAGCCTGGACAATATAGGGAGACCTTGTCTCTATAAAAAATTAAAAAATTAGTCAAGTGTGGTGGCGTGCGCCTATGGTCCCCAGCTACTTGGGAGGCAGAGATGGGAGGATTGTTTGAGCCTGGGAGATGGAGACTGCAGTGAGCAATGATTGTGCTCCTGCACTCCAGCCTGGGTGACAGAATAAGAACCTGTCTCCAAAAAAAAAACAGGGTTCCACGGTCAAAAAAGTTCGGGTAATACCTATTTTATCCTGTCCTACCTGCTCTTAAGGTTTTAGACATTTCTGCAGGGCCTTTAAAAAAGTTAGCTAACCTCTCTGTACCTACTTTGGTCATCTGTAAAGCAAGGACTACCTCAAAATTTACTGCAAGGGTAACATGAAATAATGTATATATAACAGAGAAGTATATAACAGAGCAGTGCCTGTCACAAAGAATACACTACGTAAGTACTGTTCCAGCCTGGGCAACATGGCGAAACCCTGTCTCTACAAAAAATATAAAAATTAGCCAGGCATGGTGGTATGTACCTGCAGTCCCAGCTACTTGGGAGGATAAGGCAGGAGAATTACTTGAGCGCAGGAGGCAGAGGTTGCAATGACTGGAGATCGTGTCATTGCACTTTAGCCTGGGTGACAGTGAGACACTGTCTCAAAAAAAAAAAAAAAAGGAAAAAGAAGTACTATTATTACAACTCACCCCATTGTTTGGAAGATTAAATGAGTTGATATGAAAGTACTTCAGGCTGGGCGTGGTGTCTCACATCTGCAATCCTAAGACTTTGGGAGGCTGAACAAGGGGGGAATGCTTCAGCTCAGGAGTCCAAGACCAGCCTGGGCAACATGGTGAGACCCTGTCTCTAAAAAAAATTTTTTTCAAAAATTAGCCGGGGGTTGTGATGGGCACCTATAGTCCCAGGTATTTGGGTGGCTGAGGCTGGAAGATTGCTTGAGCCCAGGTGGTTGAGGCTGCAGTGAGCCATGCTCCTGCCACTGCACTCCAGCCTGAGTGACAGAGTAAGACCCCTCAAAAAAAAAAAAAGTTTGAAATTTGCTGCTCACATTTTAGAGCAGCAATTCTCAAACTTCATAGTCCCAGGATTCCTTTGCACTATTACATTATTGAGGACTCCAAAGATCTTTTATGTGGATTTTACCTAACAACATTTATCAGAAAAATTTTAAAAATATTTATTAATTCATTAAAATACCAACCTTATGTTAACACAAATAACGTTTTAATAAAAAATTGCATTTTCCAAAACAAAAATATTTAGTGAGAAAAATGACACTTCTTCATTTTTGCAAATCTCTTTAACGTCCAGCTTAACAGAAGACAGCTAGATTCTCACATCTGCTTCTGTATTTAATCTATTGCTATATGTTGTTTTGGTTGAAATATATGAAGAAAATCTAGCCTCATAACGATATGCAGTTAAAAAGGTTATTACAATACTCCTCTTTTTTCCATATAATTGTGAATTCTCCACAAGTGGTAGTTTCTTCAAGATTAGTTGAAATGTGACATCTGAGACCAGACCAATGAGCTTTTTCATGCCCTAGTACATAAAAAATCCCATAGTCTATCTTGCACTTTTATCCATGTATGTCTCTGTAAAACCATAAATTGGTCATTTGGAAAATATTAGTTCAGTGAGTTATACATACCATATAAATGTTAATGCAATTCATTATACAAAAAAAAAAAAAAACACATCAGTATCATCAGTGATCTCACCAGAAAAGTCTTTAAGTATTAGAGAGCTGTCAAGCTCACAGTGGCACATAAATTTTCCAAAATTCTAATTTTCAACTTGAATGCTCAAATTATCAGTTGTTCTCCTTGAAGTGGCAGGCTTGTTTATTTCTGAGAAAATGTCTACTGAACACTCAGATCTGAATAATATTTAGAAAATTCTAGAAAACACAACACAAAATTTATCAAAGCAATGATGCCATCATGTTATGTAGCAACCCAAAAATTCCACTGTCCACTCCTGAGAGACCAAATATGAAAAATGCAAATAATATCAGTGTTATTATGAAAATAGTTCTGACATTGTGGACTCCCTGAAAGGATCTTGGGGATTGCTATGGTCTGAATGTCTGCATCCCCTCAAAATTCATATTGAAACAATCCCCAGTGCAGTGGTGTTGGGAGGTGGGGCATCTGGGAGATGACTTAGGTCATGACGGGGAAGCCTTATTTGCCCCTTCCGCCATGTGAGAACACAACAAGAAGGCACCATCTAAGAAGCCAAGAGTGAGCCCTCACCAGATGCCAAATCTGCTGGTGACTTTATCTTGGACTTCCCAGCTTCCAGAACTATGAGAAATAAATTTCTGTTGTTTAAAAATCACCTAGTCTAAGGTATTTTGTTATAACAGCCCAAACAGGCACCCTCACGAGTCCCCAGAAAACCACTGTTTTACATTTCACAAAGTAGAGCACACCAGCTCTCAATCAGCCTTCATTAAATTGCCAGAAGAACCTTGGAAGCCCTCACCCATCTTGGGTGAGTTAGTACTAGCTGCCTGAGGAGGAAGAAGAGAGCTTCAACGCCCATCTCACTCTAATCAGAGCAATTCATTAGCTCTACCTGTACCATCTCCTGGTTTAGGAAGAGCTCCACTGTGAGCTGCCTCACAGTGGCAAGCCTTGGCATTAGGCAAGCCACCCTGGGGCAATCAAGACTTAGGCTTTTTTTTTTTTTTTTTACTTAAACCGTGTCACTGACCTAAGCTGGGTTGATTATTTCACTTTTTTAAAAAAGAAGCATATTAATGCCACGTTTTCTAAAACAATAAGAACTATTATGGTATGTGATTCCACACCATACACTTTATTAATTACACTCTTGAAGTTTAAATTATTTCTAAATAGCTGTTTCTAAAAGCATGCATGGAATTTATAACTGATGACTGGGAAATGTACTGTTTTAATAGCATTAAATATATTCATCTTTATTGTTTGTTAACAATGTTAGCATTTGAAGACTAGACTGGCAATGTCACCTTTTATCAACCTTCCCTACAACCTGTTTATAGAAGAAAAGGTGGGGGGGGGGTGGGTTAGAACTAATAACCCTAAAAATACTGTTATTAATTCAATAACACCTCTGGAAACTACTTCTTTGTTATAAATAACACTGGGCACAGTGAAATGGAAACTATCAAATACAGTAGAACTTAAAATCATGTAGTACGAGGAGGTTTGATTTGGATAAAAAGACCTTGAACATATTAAGTTAAACAAGCCAGACATAAAAGGAGAAATATTGTATGATTCCACCAATATGAGGAATCTAGAACAGGCAAATTTATAAAGACCGAAAGTGGATTCGAGGTTACCAAAGGCTGGAAGGGCAGGGGAATGGGAGGTTATTGCCTAATGGTTACAGTTTTTGTTTGGGATAAATGAAAAAGTTTTGAAAATAGTGGAGAAGGTTGCACAACACTGTGAATGTAATTAACGCCACTGAATTGCACACTTAAAGGTTAAATTAGCAAATTCTGTTGTATTTTACCAAAATTTTAAAAATTAATGTATATACCCCAAATCGTACACTTTACATGGGTGAATTATATGTGAATTGCATCTCAATAAACATCTTTTTAAAAAGAAATTCATGATTTGGTCTTGAAGCATTCAAAGGAGTCTAACGTTGAAAAGGGCAGAGACTTCGTGTGATCCTGGGAACAAAACTAGGACCTCCAAGGCCTCAATTACAGGAGGCAGATGTCCACTCAATACAAGGAAGAAACAACAGCCAAAGCGTCCAGAATCATCACGTGTCTTCTCACAAAGGGGAGGACTATCATTAGAGGTGTTTTAGCAAGGGCAAAGATGCCCATCTGTCAGGAATGCACAGGGCCTATAAAGGCCCATAAACATCTTTGTCTTCGAATGCTAAATTGTGTCTATGTTTTTTTTGTTTTTTTTTTTTTTTCAGGTAAGAGTCCTTATGCTAGATTCTCAAAAGGGATAATAACCCTAAAAATGATAAAAGTCACTATTATTGAGAAAATTCCAGTATTTCAAGTGAGATTTCACTAGATCTAAACACTTCTTTCAAATCTGAAACTGTAAACCCCTATAGACTATACTCCCCTTAAGGAGTGTAGTCAAAACAGGATTCACTACATATTAATACAAATGACCTGTGGTCCAGAACTGACTAGGGGTGCCCTCATTATGGAAGTGAAATAAACCTGTAAGAATGTCTTTGGGCTAAAATTTGGGTAAAAGGAAGATAACGCATAATGGGGCAA
The DNA here is from genome assembly GCF_000001405.40 of Homo sapiens. Lineage (NCBI taxonomy): Eukaryota > Metazoa > Chordata > Mammalia > Primates > Hominidae > Homo > Homo sapiens. The sequence continues at coordinate 76,376,962 of NC_000011.10, forward strand.
GGCCAAGTCAGACTAAGATGCTCCTCTCCTCTGTTCCCAACTGCTACTCCTCACTGTACTGAGCGAGTTCTTTCCCATGTCTCGGAACTTAAAACACTGGGAATGCCCCAGGACTCAATCCTCAGATCTGTTCTTTGCTCACTCCTTAGATAACCTTAACCCGTACCACGGTTTTAAATACCCTCTATAAACTGAGAACACCCATATTTACAATTTCCGGTTTGAAAGTCTCTGAATTTCAGACTTGTATATCCTATTCTCTCTTCAAGACATCTATTTTCTTTGAGGTGAAATTCTCATAACATAAAACTAACCATTTTAAAGTAAAAAACTAATGGCAATTAACACATTCATCATGTTCTGCAACCATCACCACTACCTAATTCTAAAACATTTTCATCACCTCAAAAGGAAACCTTGTAACCATTAATCAGTTGCTCCCCACTCTCCCTTTCGCCCAGCCCCAGGCAACCACTGATATGCTTTCTATCTCTATGGATTTACTTATTCTGGATATTTAATATAATAGAATCATACAACATATAAGCTTTTGTATCTGACTTCTTTCACTTAGCATAATGTTTCTGAGGTTCACCCATACTGTAGTATGTACTGGCACTTCATTCCTTTTCATGGCTAATATTTCATTGTATTGATATACATTTTGTTTATCCATTCAAGCACTGATAAACGTGGCTTGTTTCTACCTTTTGACTATTGCGAATAGTGCTGCTATGAATGTGTGTACATTTGGTTTTTTTGAATATCAGTTTGCAATTCTTTGGATATACGCCTAGGAATGGAATTGCTGGGACACACAGTAATTCTACATCTAACTGCCACTTGTGGTTTTGATTTGAACTTCTCTAATAACGAGTGATGCTCAGCATCTTTTCATGTGCTTTTTAGCCATTTATATCTTCTGTTTAAAGAAAGAAGTCCTTTGCCTATTTTAAAATTGGGTTGTCTTTTTGTTGCTGAATTGTAAGAGTTCTTTATATATTCTGGATACTGGACCCAGATCAAATGTATTATTTGCAAGTACCTTCTTCCATTCTTTTCACTTTCTTGGTAATGTTCTTTGATACACAAAAGTTTAATTTTGATGAAGTCCAATTAGTCTATTTTTCTTTTTACTGCATGTATTTTGGTGTCATATCTAAGAATGTGGTGCCAGCCAAGCACGGTGGCTTACACCTGTAATCCCAGCACTTTGGGAGGCCAAGGCGGGCAGATCACCTGAGATCAGGAGTTCGAGACCAGCCTGGCCAACATGGCGAAACCCCGTCTTGACTAAAAAAAAATACAAAAATTAGCCAGGCATGGTGGCGGATGCCTGCAATCCCAGCTACCTGGGAGGCTGAGTGAGTAGAATAGTTTGTGAACATCGGTGGCAGAGGTTGCAGTGAGCTGAGACTGTGCCACTGCACTGCAGCCTGGGCAACAGAGTGAGACTCTCAAAAAAAACAAAAAACAAACAAGAATGTGCTGCCAAATCTAAAGTCATGAAGATTTATCTGTATTTTTTTCCTAAAAGTTTAATGACATAGCTCTTATATTTAGGCCTTTGATCTCAATAAAAGTATAGGCCATTTGGAGTTCATTTCTGTATATGGTATGAAGAAAGACATCTATTCTTTTTTTTTTTTCATCTATTCTTTCTTTCTTGAGACGGAGTCTTGTTCTGTCACCCTGACTGGAGTGCAGTGGCACGATCTCGGCTCACTGCAACCTCTGCCTCCTGGGTTCAAGCGATTCTCACGTCTTGGCCTCCTGAGTAGCTGGACAGGCACGCACCACTGGGCTCAGCTAATTTTTGTATTTTTTAATAGAGACAGGGTTTCCCTATGTTGGCCAGGCTGGTCTCGAACTCCTGACCTCAAGTGATCCGCCTGCTTAGGCCTCCCAAAGTGCTGGGATTACAGGTGTGAGCCACCATGCCCGGCCTAGACATCTATTCTTGAATGTCTATCAGGTCTCTCAAACCCAAACTTCTAGTATTCCTCTACCAAACCTGCTCTTCCCAGTCTTCCCTATCTCAGCAAATGCTCACGTTAAAAATCTTGAAGTCGGCTGGGCGCGGTGGCTCAGAGCCTGTTCTAGCACTTTGGGAGACCGACACAGGAGGACTGCTTGAAGCCAGGAGTTCAAGACCAACCTGGCCAACATAGATTTTTAAAATCTTGAAGTCGTCCTTAAGTTCTCTTTTTCTTTTACAATCTACCTCCAAACCATTAGCAAATGATGTTGGCTTCACCTTCAAACCATATCTCAAATTTACCATCTCCTCCTCTATTAATCTGGATTATTACAACAGCCTTTTAACTGGTCTTCCGGCTTTCACCTTTGCCTCCCCACAATCTAATGAGCAGCCACTGATCCTGTTAAAATTTAAGTCTCTGCTCTAAACCCTTCAATGACTTCCTATTTCACTCATAATAAAAACCATAGTGCCTTCCAAGACCTACAAGGTCCTACCTAAAGAATTTGCCCCTACCATACACACACCTTTCTGGTCTCATCTCACCTCTCTCCCAGTCCCTCTCCCTGGACTCCTGGTTGCCCTGTCTTTGCCTTCTTTGGAATGCTGCTGCCCAAGGTATCTCCATGGCTGGCCCCTTCACCTGGTCTTTGCTCAAATTCACCTTCTTAGTGAGGCCTTCTCTAATCACTGTATTTAAAATAGCAATTGTGCGTCCCTTGATACTACTTATTCCCCTACCCTCTAACCTTTGTTTATTTTTCTCCACAGTATTTATCATCATCCGACACACTACGTATTTTACTTGTTTATTCCCCCCCCATTAGAATGTAATCTTCATGAAAGCAAGGACTTCGATTTGTTCATCTGTAACCCCCACTGCTCACAACAATGCCAACACAAGTAGACCTTCAATAATTAATTGAACTAATTAATAAATAACATAAATTATAGTCGCCCGTTGCTGCACCTGTTCCCTTACTGGACTGAGAGCTTTCTGCAAGCAGTGACACCCTTATTCACCCATGAACTCCCAGCACCTAACATTTGCGCTCGGCACATAGTAGGCATTGATTTTAAATGAATGAACCAACAAGACAGGCCTATGAAACATCTCAGCCTTTCAAACACAGTCCCTATGCTATCATTCCCTAAATATGTCAGTGTGTGGGGGTTATCCGAAGGAAGAGGTTCCAATACCAATTTCCACGCCCTCACGCGTACACCCTCTGTTATCCCTACAATACCCAAGCGAGAAAATGAGTAACGGTGACAGCCAGAAAATGAATCCTGAACCGTGCAATGACAAGTCCGAAGGAGAAAGCAGTTGCGATGAGATGAAAGAAGGTAGCGGGACTCAAAACAGAAACACTGTCCCGGGGGTGGTGGCAAGGAGAGGGAAAGGCCCCAGTGGCCACAACCATAGAGTCCTGCTCTCTTTTGACAGCTAAGGAAACTAACGCCCAGAGAGGAAAGCGACTCCCCCGAGGTCACACAGCAAGTGAGCCACGGCGAGAACCCACAGCATCCCGCGTCCGCGCGCCGCCCCAGCTCCCTCGCGTTTGGGGTGGTGTCCTCCGCGCAGAGCCCCCACCAGCGCACGTGCTCCGAGGTCCCCGGACGCCCGCCCGCCCACGGCTCGGGGCCGGCTCCCCATCTCGGTCCAACGCTGGGGTCGACGGCAGTGCGCTGCGCCCGCCTCCTGCGCCCCTCTCAGCCAGCCCGGGAGCCCGCCAGGGGCCGGCGGCTGGCAGCGCTCACCGCGAAGGTGGGCCCGGGCCGCCCGCTCTGCGCCCGCCGCTTACCTGGCAGGGTCCCGCGGGAACCTGAAGAAGGCCAAGTCGGACTGCGTGCTCTTCCGCGTGCAGTTGGGGGCAGCGCAGAAGTTCGGCATCGTCGCCCGCCCGCCGGCCGGCCCAGCCCTCCCCTCCCCGCCTCCTCAGGGCAGTCCGCCCGCCCGTCGGGGCCGGGGAGGGGAGCCAGGCCGGCCGGCCGGCTCGGCAGGGCCGACGCGCGGGGGAGGGGCGGGCGGGCTAGAAGCCGCGAGGGCCAGGAGGGGTGCCGCGGTCCGAGGCCGGGCTGGGGACGCGGCTCCACAGTGCTGTGAGCGGCCGGGAGGATTTACCGCCGCCGCCGCCGCTGGTGCACCTCCCGCCCGCCCGAGACGCTGCCGCCTCCTTCCCACAATGCACCCTGACGCCCGGGGGTGCCCTCTCTTCCCTCAGCCTTCCTCCCCCGCCCCTCCTTTCCGCCTTCTCAGCAGGCGGGCACGCGCAAGGAAGCGCGCCTGCCGGGGTGTGGCGAGGCGGAGGCGGGACCTGGCGCGCGCCGCCGCAGTGCGACTGCGCACAGTCTAATCCGCGGGGAGAGAGAATTGCGCATGCGCGCCTGTCTCCCGGGACGCTAGAGCAGGCGGTTCCTGGGCTGCTCCGGTAGGTTTGGCGTGCGCGGGTTTCTGCAGATCTAGGGCGAGCTTGCACGTTACATCACCGATGCATCTCTTCTTGCTTGCTTAATTTGCCACCACTTAGGCCTTTCTTGCAGAATTCGCCATATACTCCTTAAGGGCCGCGGAATCGGAGCGACCTTGGTGACTGGCAAACTCTCGGCAGATGTGCGTGCACTGGTTTGATGCAGACGTGGTTGTAGGCGATTTAATTTTTCCCAGCTTTGCAGCGACTGTTGGCTTCCCAGAACGGATCTCCCCAGCCTCGACTGGAAGCTGAGGGACAAAAATTCATAAAAGCAATTACTCTTTCCCGGCGAGGCTTCTAGAAGAGCAAGAAGAGCGATATGATTACACCTGCAGCCCTATAAAGATTGATCTGTCCGTCTTTCCCTTACAGTCGTGGCCTGTTAAACGTTCCTGTGTTGTTCAGTGCCAGAATGAGTGACCGCTATTTAGAACAAAGGATTAGTATCAAATTTTGCGTGAAATTGAACAAGTCTGCAAGTGAGACCCACCATCTTTTAAAAGAAGCTTATGGGGATGAAGTCATGTCAAGGGCCAGAGTTTTTGACTGGCACAAAAGGTTTAAAGAAGGACGGGAAGATGTTCGAGATGATGCCCGAAGTGGGCGTCCAGTCACCCACCGAACAGATGACAATATCCAGAAGGTCAAGGACTTGGTTTGTTCAAACAGGCAGTTAACCGTGAGGATGATGGCTGAAGAGTTAAATTTAGACAAAGAAACTGTTAGGCTCATTTTGAAAGAAAACTTGAACATGAGGAAGATTTCTGCAAAAGTTATTTCGGGTGTTTTGAAGGGTGAGCCTAAACCACGAAAACTTGACTTTCGGTCCGATCTTTCAAAGGAAACTAGGAAAAATAGCTCATGTTTGAGGAAAAAGGTAACAGGTTCTGAAACATGGAGTTATCTCCAGGGTGAAGCTGGTGGGGAAATGCCCCTGCCGGTATCCCATCCCAGAGTCCACTACTCTGCCAGTCAGCTTCTGCAGGCGTCATCTTCAACAAGCCTTCCCCCCAGGGTAGCTGAGAATTGGTTCACCCCATGGTGAGAGGAATGTGAGTTAGCTGAACCAGAACTAGGATGCTGCCTCACTGTTAGGCACCTTCTTTGGCTGCTCACGTATTTTTCAGTCTTCACCACTCCTCCCTATGTGCCATGGCCCTCCTCATTACTCTTTGCTGGACTCTTGGACCATTTTCCTTGCTGTTCTCCATAACTTTGAAAAACTTTTGGCTGTTCCCTTCTGGTATTTGCTTGTTCTTGATTTCTTTTGCTCAACAAGTTTGGATTTCTTCTCTGCCCAGACCTTAGCTTGTTGTGGCTGTCCTGTTCCTTTGTTCTCAACCTTCTGCCTCAGAGGATCATGCCAGTGAGAAGAGAGGAACAGGATCTCCTGGAATCTGTATCTCTGTGCCCAGGGAAGCATGCTTTTCTGGGAGGACCCCAAAAGAAGGCTTACAGTTTCAGCCTGCTTTGCAGTCAGGGCCTGAGGTATGGTACAGAAGGTAGTAGCATGCTGGTATTACTGAACAGTGCTGGGCCTAGGGGCTGATCTGGCCCAGATGACTCAGTAGGCACCCTTAGGAATCAGGGGTTGGCCACCAATACTGATCTTCTCACAGGCCTACACCTCACAGAAGAGCTGGGTTTGTTTCATTCTAGTCCTATGCTTTGGACCTCCACTCATTTGGGTATCACCCCTGTTGGAAGAGGAGGATCTGGTGCTAGAAAATATAAACCCGGGGACCCAGGCAAGGCTGTGTTGTGTGGGGAGGAAGACCAGGTGGCTCTCTAGTCCCTGAATTAAGGGAGCCTGCTGCCTATGTGCGGATTCCCACACAGCAGCCTGTTTTTAGTAACTAATGCCTATAGTTTTGAGAACTTGCTGTTTTTAGGACACTGCTGGGCATTGACAATGTGGAGGTTATGAACAAGATCTCCAAGGGCTGATGGGCTTCATGGATGAGATGGTTCTTGAACTGGATCCATGAGGATGGGTGAGACAGGGCTGTGAAATTAGGGAAAGCTTCCGGGGCAGGTGGAACAGCATGAGGCTTCCAACCTGCATCAGTAGAAAATGACACTGGCCAGGTGTGGTGAATCACGCCTGTAATCCCAGCACTTTGGGAGACTGAGGTGGGTGGATCACAAGGTCAAGAGATCGAGACCATCCTGGCCAACATGGTGAAACCCCGTCTCTACTAAAAATACAAAAATTAGCTGGGCGTGGTGGTGCACACCTGTAGTCCCAACTACTCAGGAGGCTGAGGCAGGAGAATCTGTTGAACCCGGAAGGCAGAGGTTGCAGTGAGTGGAGATTGCGCCACTGTACTCCAACCTGGCGACAGAGCTAGACTCTGTCCCAAAAAAAAAAAAAAGGAATTAGAAAATGATGACACTATTGGCTAAAATAACAAAGTTTAAAGAGGAAGATAATGGTGTTGCAGCAGATGAACAATTTGGGATAATTTGCTTTCTCTCCTAAGCCTCCAACTCTATGCCACTTGTTGTTAAATTGCTTCCCCTGAGTCTGTGAATAGGTTTGTAACAACCAATTTGATATCTGATTTTCCATTTGGACCCCGACAAGCAGTTTCTGCAAGTTCAAACTCTGTCTCTTCTCTTCCTGCCTCTGCCAGGATTTATGGAATGGAACTTTTCCCAAGTGGGTTCCAAGTAATACCACATAGACTGGAAACATTCAGGGGGCAGGGGTTTGGTAATAGCATTTCACAGAATTGGCCAGTCTTTGTTTTACTCAAGGATTTTTAGATATAACAGCTCCTCTTAAACAATATTGCTTGATAGTAGAGGCACAACACTCATTCATCACAGTTACTTTTAGTGCTGTTCTTTCACTTTCTCTACTCACCTCCAAAAATTACAAGTTCCTCATTAACACCTGTTTTTGTTTTGTTTTGTTTTTTGAGATGGAGTCTTGCTCTGCTGCCCAGGCTGGAGTGCAGTGGCACGATCTCAGCTCACTACAACCTCCGCCTCCCAGGTTCAAGTGTTTCTCCTGACTCAGCCTCCTGAGTAGCTGGGATTACAGGTGCATGCTGCTACACCCGGCTATTTTTTGTATTTTTAGTAGAGGCGGGGTTTCACCATGTTGGCCAGGCTGGTCTTGAACTTCTGACCTCAGGTGATCCACCCACCTCGGCGTCCCAAAGTGCTGGGATTACAGGCGTGAGCCACCACGCCGGGTCAACACCTGTTAGTTTTGAGACACCTTGAAAGCTAGACGTTGTCCCACAAAGAGAAGATACTGTGTAAGAAAACTCTTAAACCAAACAACAGCTTATAGACCTCCAGCTCCTTAACAGTTTCTAGACATTCCATTTCAGGACAATGAAGTCTTCCTACATCAGATGCGGCTCTAGGTTGCCCACAAGCACTTGGCACCAGGGACACTGCACTTTAGGAACAAAGTCCCCACCACTAGTTCTTGCAGCTTTGTTGCTGAACCTCATAGTAATCCTTGCTAAGGCCTACCCAGTGGTAATTGTTGCAGATTTATATGCTCCTGGTCCCAGGCCAGGATCCCACAACCATACCTACAGGAGTTGTTTCTAACCTGTTATTAAACAGAGGTCCTGAGACAACTTACTTCTGGATTTTATTCCAGTCCTATGAACAGGGCTGGTATGTCCCTGCCAGTGATGCTGGACCAAGACCCATGGTGGAGTGTAGAGTACCAGAAGCTATGTTGGTCCAGACATGGTTTAGACACAGCAACCAGAAGCAGGTAATTAGGAGTGTGAATTCAAATGGTTCCAATTGGCTATAATGAAAAGGACTTATCCAGAGCAAACCATTCACATTTGGCTGCTCAGAATTTCTAAACCCAAGGGTAGAGCATGATCTGGGCATCTCCAAATAGGAAAGTTCTTATATGAGTACTCCTAATGTGTCCACCCACCAAATCTATTTTATTGCTGATGCACGTTTTGCCCTGGCCTGCACCTTGCTGCCTAGGCCTCTTGAGCTCCTGGTCCCGTAGTCTCACACATCCAGCTATGTGTCCGTCACACCCCAGGCTCTTGTCCTTGACTATCTTCAGACACCTCTCAGTTTATTCTTCACAGTTTGCTCTTACTCCTCTCTTTCCTTGTTGCTTTGTTTTCTGGTCCTGGGTCACATCTTCAGTAGCTGCTTTTGGTCACTTTGGTGTGCTGATCCTTGTATTGACCTTTGGGTCATGGTTTTCCACTTAACTTACAACTCTTCTCTGATTTTTTGGATCCTTCTTTCAGCTCCCCGCTTCAGCTGCTGAGTAAGGAAATTGTCTGCTCCAGCCCTGGCCCCAGGTTGCCTTCCTATCTTAAAGAAGCAGGGTGGGGTGACATGGGGGAATTATGTGTTGATTTTGTTTTTTCTAAGGGACATGGGCACCTTAGCCACCCTCAGTTGCACTCCCCAGAGGCACCCAGTGTCACCAGTTTCTCAAGGAGGCAATATGGTTACCTCTAGTAGCAAGAGTCATGAAACTTCTTCAGAGTTATAACATCCAAAGCCCATTCTCCTAGCAACTGTATTTTCCCTGGCAGGAGAAACTCCACCTAACCACAATAGATCAAGCCTGGCTTTCTGTGGGATGTCAGTAGGAGAGCTGGCCATCTGCAAACTTTCTCAAGCTTAACACCATCGGTCAATGACTCCGTTTGGCTTTCAGGTTGATCTTTGTCCCCGCCCCCACGCTCATTCTAATTCAAAGTCCACATGGAATGTTTTATGCCACAGCTGAGCGTCTAAGAGGAATACATGCCTTCTGGGGCAGATCATCCTAACACTGATTTTATGCAATTCTCCCCTTCCATCACCCCACCCTACCTTGCTTCATTTGCCCCACTAGTAATGATCAAAAAGAGAAAGAATAAAATGTTCACCAAATCTGTGACTTAGAAAAACATGTGGAGGGTTCTGCCATCTTCTGAATTCTGATCCTCACTGAGTCCTCATTGAAATGTTATTTGGGGAAGAATGTTTACCTGGGGCCTCCTTCCCAGAAACTTTTTTTCAGATGAATTTCTAGTCAAAGACTAAGACTTGCCTTTGGAAATGCCTGGATAAATCTGGATGCTAAATGACTTGAGGACACCTAATAAAGGAATGGGGTACTATTGGGGAATTGTCTGTCATTGCATTACAAATGCTGCTCAGTCTCCCTGCTATTTGCAGACATCATCACCAGAGAGTTTCACTAGGCTCGTTGGGATTGGGTCTCAGCAAGGTCCCATGTGACTCAATAAGAGCCCACCTTTGCTGCTAAATTGTGTATGTTACTGTGCATTCTCCAATTACTTCTTCTTCAGTCAGCCCACCCAGATTTTACCAGGCGTTTATATCTTTTCTGAGGTAACCATCATGTATTTATGTTCTACAGTGTCTCCCTTATCAGATCCTTGCAAATACTGTCCTAGTTGAATCACCCCTTTCCCAGTATTAATATCCGGAAACAAAAAATCTATAGTGGGGAGCTCCAGTGGGTCCCCTCCAAGGACTCACTTGGGCATAGTCCAGTGGTCAACAGACTTCTATAAAGGAGTCTTTATGGGCCATATGGTCTCTTTTGCCACTAAACATTTTAGTGCAAAAGTAGACATAGTTAATATAGAAACAGATGAGCACAGCTGTGTTCCAATAAAACTTTATAAATGGATACTAGAATTTGAATTTTATATAGTTTTTACAAAATACTATTTTGATTTTTTTAAACCATTGAAAAATGTTAAAAAGAGGCCGGGCACGGTGGCTCAGACCTGTAATCCCAGCACTTTGGGAGGCCGAGGCGGGTGGATCACCTGAGGTCAGGAGTTCGAGACCAGCTTGGCTAACATGGTAAAACCTCATCTCTACTAAAAATATAAAAATTAGCCGGGCGTGGTGGTGTGTGTCTGTAATCCCAGCTACCCGAGAGGCTGAGGCAGGAGAATTGCTTGAACCCTGGAGGCTGCAGTGATCCAAGATCTTGCCACTACTCCAGCCTGGGCAACAGAGGGAGACTCCATCTCAAAAAAAGAAAGTTAGACATTCTTAGCTTTTAGGCCATAGAAAAACAGATGGCAGGACAGATTTGGCCCATCGGCTATAGTTTGATATAACCCCCAGTCTAGTGTATATGAAGTGTGTATATAAAAATGACAGATGATTATTTTCCATCAATAACATTATTAATGCCACATTGATCTGGCAGTGTCTGACAATTTATTTGTGGAAATTGTGGGCCAGGCACGATGGCTCATGTCTGTAATCCTAGCACTTTGGGAGGCTGAGGCGGGCAGATTGCTTGAGGCCAGAAGTTAGAGACCAACCTGGGCCAACATGGTGAAACCCCATCTCTACAAAAAAATACAAAAATTAGCCTGGCATGGTGGCACGTGGCTGTAGTCCCAGCTACTTGCAGGGTTGAGGCAGGAGGATCACTTGAGCCCAGGAGGTCCAGGCTGCAGTGAGCCATGATCGTGCTACTGCACTACAGCCTAGGCGACAGAGTGAGACCCTGTCTCAAACAAAAAAAAGAAATTGTGGAATATTGGAGGGACTCTGTGGAGCCAGGAGAGTAAACTAAAGCTGAATGATTGGCTATTTTACCTTGAAATATTCTGGTTCACAAAATAAATTTTGTGCTGTTTTTGACTAAAAATGATATTATAAAACCACCTATATTATTCCCATGTAAAATATCAAAACCAGTGTTGGCAACACTAAAACTGATGCCAAGCTGCAACCAACAATAATAGAATGAACTGAAGGTAGTCCCAAAAATGATTTGACCATGGGTAGCATTTGAATAAGCTTATGTTATCACCTATTAAAGTGTGTACTATGGAGATGACAAAACTCACTGAAATGTATTTTTTGCATGCTTGCAAATATATATATGTATTACAGATACATATGTGTATTTGCACCTTGCAACTGGTGCTGAGATCTGTCCTTTTAGGTAAGTGTATTTGTCTTTTCCCCTAGAGAGCTCTTTATTGTGTCACCTTTATTTAAACTGATTTTCCAAAGTTGTAGTAGAATCTCAGCATTGAACAGTCCATTACAAAATTGTCTGATCCAGTCAGTCATGTTTCCTATGAGTTCAGGAGTAACTAAACCCTACAGCTGCTGAAAGATTGCATCTGAAAGAAGATTCTGTGTTAATTCACTCAACAATTTTTTATTGAGTGGCTGTATGGGCCAGATGCTATCTTGTGTGCCGAGATACAGCAGTGTACAAAATAGACACAGGCCTTGGATTAGATGGTCTGAAATCTAATTATATTACTCTTCACTCTTGCAAATTTTCTGTTCCGTGTGTGCACACTAACCCATTGTTAACTGCATACCTGGAAATAGGTATGACTGTTGCCACATGCCTTTGTGCTCTGGTCTTGATGCCTCTCCAGCTGCATTAATAATTAGAGGACTGCGTGTTTCATTTAAATTTTATTATCCTTTAGACAGATCTATATTGGCAGAAAAACACACTGGCAATGTTAGAAGTGTAGACTGGCAATGGTTTTCTGAAAAGCAATTTGGCAATATCTATCAGGAGCTTTAAAAATGTTTAGATCCTCTGATCCTCCAATTCCACTTCTGGGAATTTGTCCTAAAGAAATAGTCTAAAATGTGGGCAAAATCAAGGCTTGACAATCTTAAAGTCCAACAGTAGAAAATTGGTTAAGTAAATTACAGTATGACTATCCAGTAGACTGTTGTGCCATCATTATAATTTATGTTTCTGAAGAGTATTTGACAGCATGGCAAAGTGCTTATAGTGTTAAGTGAAAAGAGTGATATACAAAATTGTATGTATAAATCCAAAAAATGACTTTTAAAAAGATGGAAAGGATATGCAAACTCTGGGTAGTTGGATTATGGGTTTTCCTGGTTTTATGCTTTAAAAAATTTTCTCCAGTATATTACTACTTATATTATCAGTAAAAATCAATAGCATCTAGAGCTGGCAGTGGAGAGATTGAGGCCAGATCACTAGTTTGGTCCATGAACAATTAACTGGCTGGGTGGACACAGAGGCTATATGATCTTGTGTTGGCAGCAAGGCTGGGACAGAAGGGAAAAGGACCTGCCCAGGAGGAGAAGGGACCGTGTGACTATGTGACCATAATCCCTACAAAAAAACACAAAGTGTTAAGGGAAGACACTGTGGCTGGCATGCTCTTGTGATGTAGTCGTAGGTCGGTAAAAGACCACTTATGAATCAAGTATATTCTGACAAGTGGAAAAGGATATGAATGCTCTCCTGGGTAAAATTAACCTCCTTTGCATTTCATTCTCACATTCTCGCACAAAATGAATTATCAAGATGGATTTTATAATAGCTGATTCTCTGAAGAATCCCTGAGACTTTGTATGATTCTTTAGTATAGCAGTGGCTTTCGATGTGCCAAGTCTACCTCCTCCCATACTGGGACACTCAAGCAACACAGATGTACACGGGAATTTTGGGTATTCTATACTGAGAATACTGCACACATATCGTTAGTCATCTTAATGTTGTAACTTACCAAACTCTTAAGGTTTGCAAATGTGATTTTGTTGGCATCTAGAACCAGTGTATTTTTTATTTATGTCTGAAAAATAATCATTGTGGGGTTTTAAAATGAAAAATCATGTAGCTAATGCCTATCCATAGATGAAATTGTTATGTTGGGAAAATGTGTACTTAATCTTTGCTTTAGTAAAATGATTATTATAAAAATGTTAAAGGTCTCCTCAGTGAAATTTTAAACCTCCAAATGAGTACACAAGGTAAATACATATTTTATAGGCCTATAGCTCATATAATCGCCAAGCTGAAAGAGTTCTTTAAGATCTAAGTATAAGTCCTCTGGTCTATAGAATGAATGAGTGAGGCTTGGGTTTCAGTTCTGGCTTCTTAACTAGCTATGTGACTTTGGGCAGTTCATTTGTACCCTCTAAGGTTGTCAGTTAATTCATCTGTAAAAGGGAAGTAATGCCATCTATCTCATGGAGTTGTTCATTTTGTTCATTTCAACAATATTTATTGAGTGCTTATCTGTGTATGATGCTGTTCTAGACACAATAAACAAGACCCCAAGAAATGTTCCTCCTCGTGAGCACACATTTCAGTGAGGGAGACAGACAAGAAATAAGATAAATTAGTAGGCTGGGCACGGTGGCTCACGCCTGTAATCCCAGCACTTTGGGAGGCCGAGGCGGGTGGATCACGAGGTCAGGAGATCGAGACCACGGTGAAACCCCGTCTCTACTAAAAAAATACGAAAAAAATTAGCCGGGCGCGGTGGCGGGCGCCTGTAGTCCCAGCTACTCAGGAGGCTGAGGCAGGAGAATGGCGTGAACCCGGGAGGCGGAGCTTGCAGTGGGCTGAGATTGCGCCACTGCACTCCAGCCTGGGTGACAGAGCAAGACTCCGTCTTAAAAAAAAAAAAAAAAGATAAATTAGTAAAAATATCTATGTTAGATAGTGATTATTAGATGTGAGGCTTACATTAAACAGTGTATACGAGGCACACAGCACAACACCTGGCATGGAGTACGTGCTCAATAGAGAATAATTTCTTCTGTGTATACGAGGCACACAGCACAACACCTGGCATGGAGTACGTGCCCAATAGAGAATAATTTCTTCTGTTTCTTGAGGCTTCCTAACAGCTCCGGAATTACCCTACAACGTGGTGGTAGTCGGCAAGAAGCCTGACTGGTTGCTTTCTATCTCTTGCCAGTTAAGGCCTAAACCTGTTTCTGCTTAAGAAGACAAAAGAATTCTTACAGTGGTGTTTTGTACTTCCTATATGGCAGATTAATCAAGGTGGTGCCTAAACACGGTTGATAAATGACCTTTTCTGGAGCCAGTTGGCAGGAGTCCTTGCCTGGGGCAGGATGGCAGGTGTTAAGTCCACAAAGACAAATGCATAGTGTCATTGCTATTTAAGCAAAACAGACTAGAAGACCGAAACGGCTGTTTCTCTTAAAGAAAAGATGTGTGCCCTATGTCCTGGGCCAAATGCTGGAGCACTGAGCAAAGTTTGCAGTATTAGAAGGAAACTGCCTACTGCATTATTTATGGGAGACCAGGGCATTGACAGAAAGCCAGGAAAAGGAGAGTTTAATGGTTTGCGGTTTTGATATTTTTGTCCATTGTAGAAAATTTGGAAAGTTTAGAAATGTTTAAAGAAGCAGCCAGAAGTCCACTCCTAGAGTTCGGGTCTGTCATCAGACCCATCTCCTTGCCTCAGCTTCCTCCTTCAAAAACATCCAGCCAGGCTGGGTGCGGTGGCTCATACCTGTAATCTCAGCACTTTGGGAGGCTGAGGTGGGCAGATCACATGAGGTAAGGAGTTCGAGACCAACCTGGCCAACATGGTAAAACCCCGTCTCTACTAAAAATACAAAAATTAGCCGGGTGTGGTGGTGCATGCCTGTAATCCCAGCTACTCAGGAGGCTGAGGCAGGAGAATCACTTGGACCTGGGAGGTGGAGGTTGCAGTGAGCTGAGATCGTGCCATTGCACTCCAGCCCGGGCGACAGAGTGAGACTCTGTCTCAAAAAAACAAACAAAAAAAAATCAGTGAACGGTCATTTACTGAATTCCTTCTTCGAGCCTGGGCCTGCACTAGGCACAGAGTACAGCCCTTGTCCTTGGGCAGTGCCCAGCTTTGTGGGTTAGGGAAAGGGCCAGAGGTGGAGAGGAGCACCAAGAAAGGGTTCCTACCTTAGACTGTCAATTTTTCCCAGAGGACAGAGCTAAGGAACAAACTTTTGTAAAGAATTGGAACAAACAGTTGTAATCATCAACTAAGGGTGATTGTGAAAAAGAGACAGTGGACTGTAAAGAAGCAAAACACAGAATGATGGTAACTGTAGCTCTTCTTATGTAAGAGAGCCTGGAGCTCTGTACACAAGGATTTAGTGTGTAATATTACCTCTCAGAAGAAACTGGACTTGAGGCTGTGGGCCAGTACCCCTGTACCTTGCATTAAGAACCTAATAAGTGAAAATTCAGAATTACAACCCAAACTCGATGAGGGAATTGGCCCAGGGAGGTTGAGTGATTTTCTTGAATCGCACATTTAGTTGGTGGCAGAGCCAGGATAATAATGAAGGACCTTGAACTTCGCTCAGTCCGTGAGTTTTTTTCTATTACTCCATCGGTAATTATTTCCTTTACTAAAATGTACATTCTTATGATATCTTTAAAATCATGCTCACCCTTGTATTTAACAAATGATTTACTAACAGTTGATTTACATACAATTTTTAAGGAACATATTTATAGCATAGAAAGTGGTGCAGAGGGTTTTACCAAATTTCTCTGGGGTGTCCAGGTCCCCTGGTCCTTCCAGAGGTGCGTATTCATAAGTAAATGTTGGCATTCTGTCATCCATTTTTTCCAGATGTTCTTCCCAAGTAGTGTGTTATGTTTTGTGTTTTTAATATTTCTCATACACGTTTTTAAAAATCTGGGCACATAAATCCTAATAAAACTCTCAACTATCTCCTCTGTGCTGTCTCAAATTTCTGAGTATGCTTATATTCATGACACAGTGTCTGAAGTCATGAATGCTATCACATAATAAGGACTTATATCCCTAAACCCCAGTCTTATGTTTCTAGATGTTCTGAAAATTCTTCACACTTCACTTATAAATGCCGCTATACTGTACCATGACATTTCCATGGTAACATATATTTCAAACATGAAAACAAGAAGCCCAAGGAAAAGGGAAGTTGGTTTCCAATGCATAAATTAAAAAATTAAAAATTGTAGAATACATAAAATGAGGTGATGGGTGTAGTATAAGGGGATACAATTAGGGGACTGTATATTTTATTCTACTTTGACCTCTCCTGAACAGAATGTTCCTGTAGGCTCACCTTAGGGATGGGCAGTATCTACCACCCACCCAGTGGCCCAATCTTGGAATCATGTTTTCTTTGACCCTGACATCCTGGCAGGTCCATGTGATTTCCCTAACATCTCTTACTGTCACCTACTGCAACTGGACAGGGGTGGTCACCCACCTCTCACCTCACTGTCTGAAGACCATCCCCTACACTGCTCCTGTGCTATTTGGCTTGGAGTTTGCTGAAAACTGGAGACTTTTGGACACCAACTTTTTGAGCTAGCTCAATCATGCCCCACTTTGTGCCTGGAATCCCTCTCTGCTGCCATCCACCTGGGAAACTCCCCTTTTGGACTCAAGCCTCAGCCTCACCATTGCTGTTCTCCCCCACCACCCACCAACCCACTCAGTGAAGCAGCCACCCTCCCCTACCACCATGTAAAATGCACATTCTTTAATTTTTTTTTTTAGCTTTAGCTTTTGTGGATACATAGCAGGTATATATATATTTATGGAGTATATTGAATATTTTAATACAGGCATACAATGTATAGCAATCACATCAGGGTAAATGGGGTATCCATCACCTCAAGCATTCATCCTTTGTGTTACAAACAATCCAGTTATACTCTTAGTTATTATTATTATTATTATTATTATTTTTGAGAGGAGTCTTGCTCTGTCACCCAGGCTGGAGTGCAGTGGCACCATCTTGGCTCACTGCAGCCTCCACCTCCTGGGTTCAAGCGATTTTCGTGCTTCAGCCTCCCGAGTAGCTGGCATTACAGGTGCACGCCACCACACCTGGCCAATTTTTGTGTTTTTAGTAGAGACAAGGTTTCACCATGTTGACCAGGCTGGTTTTGAACTTGTGACCTCAGGTGATCTGCCTGCCTTGGCCTCCCAAAGTGTGATTATAGGCGTGAGCCACCACGCCCAGCCTTCCTTTAGTTATTTTTAGATGTACAATTACATTATTATGACTACAGTCACCCTGCTGTGCTATCAAATATTAGATCTTGTCCATTCTTTCTAACTATTTTTTGGTACCCATTAACCATCCCCTTTTCCCCCCACCCCACCCTCCACTATCCTTCCCAGCCTCTGGTAACCATCATTCTACTCTCTGTCTCCATAAGTTCATTTATTTTAATTGTAGCTCCCACAAATAAGTGAGAACATGAGAGGTTTGTCTTTCTGTGCTTGGCTTATTTCACTTAACATAATGACCTTCAGTTCTATCCATGATGTTGCAAATGACAGGATCTCATTCTTTTTTATGACTGAATAGCACTCCATTGTGTATATCTGCCACATTTTCTTTATCTATTCATCTGTTGACAGACACTTGGGTTGCTTCCAAATCTTGGCTATTGTGAATGGTGCTGCAAAAAACATGGGAGTGCAGGTATCTCTTTGATATACTGATTTGCTTTCTTTTGGGTATATACCTAACAATGGGATTGCTAGATTATATGGTAGCTCTATTTTTCATTTTTTGCAGAACCTTCAAACTGTTCTCTGTAGTGGATGTACTAATTTACATTCCCATCAACAGTGTATGAGGGTTCCCTTTTCTCTGCATCCTTGCCAACATTTGTTATTGCCTGTCTTTTGGATAAAAGCCATTTTAACTGGGGTGAGATGATATCTTATTGTAGCAATGCACATTCTGATGTCAAGAAAACTGTAACACTTAACTGAACTTTGTTGTTTGCAGGATGTTTTTCTTCTCTACTAGCCCAGGACCTCCTAAAAGCCAAGCCCACATCTGATTGTTCCATGTTCCCTGCATCCAGAATAAACCTTGCGTGGAACTGCTCAATAAATGTTTGATAGATGAATGAAAGAAGGGATTTTATGGTAATTTTTTATTGTGGTAAAATTCATATGACAGAATTCACCATTTTAACCACTTTAAAGTGTACATCTCAGTTGCATTTAGTGCATTCACAATGCTGTGCAACCATCACCACTATCTAGTTCAGAACATCTTCATCACACTAAAAGGAAACCCTATACTCATTAAGCAGTCATTCTCCATTCTCTCTCATCCTTGGCCCCAGCAACCATGAATCAACTTTCTATCTCTATGGATATGTTTGGACTCATGTATGTTTGTTTTATATTTTGTGTAATAATCCCATACTGTGTTACTTATTTTGTTGCTCAAGTTGTTCCAGCTTTGGCCATTGGGTGTTTTTTCAGGTTGGCTTCTGTGTCTCTTTGATGTGCTTCCAACCTTTTGTTTTTTCTTAGCAGGTCCTTACCTTCTGGTACTACAATATGCTCCAAGATTATCTTGTTTTTTGCCTTCCACACCTGTGACCAGCCATTTCTCTATTCTCGATTTCTGTCTAGCCCTGGTTCCTTTTATTGGAGAATGGTGTTTAGAAAGCAAGATATGGGCAGTGAGTGTATTGCTACTGGAATTTGGGTCTTTTTGATATCTTCCATGTCTCTACTTAACAAGCTCAATTTTTTCTTTAGGTTATTGATCACATGGAATACAGTGATAATAGTTTTAATGACCTTATCTATCAATTTTACCTATCTCCCTCAGTTTCATTTGACTGATTTTTGGAAATAGCTTTTGGCTATTACTTTTAAGCTTTGTTAGATGAGACCAGAGTAATATTAGTCTAGGGCTAATTTTGCCCCAGTGTTGAGGGCACCCGAAACCTTATGAAATATGTCTTGCCACTCTAGATGTTAGGAATAGGAAGTGGACCTGTGTGATCTCCAAAAATGGTTCCTTCTAATCCTTTTAGGCAGTTCTTTCTCTGGCCTCTGGTAGTTTCCTTACATACATGCTGAAGACTTGAGGGGGCTTTGTATATTTGGAAGCAATGTTGCCAGGTGGTACTCAGAGGTTCTGGGATATATCTTCCTGGTGAACTTTTCCTTTTATCATTATCATTATCATATGATTCTTTATCCCTAGTAATTATTTTTGGCTTAAAAGCTGTCAATATTGCATTATTTTGCTTAGCATTTGCCTAGTATATTTTCCCATCGTTTTAACATTTCTGTGCTGCTATTATTATTATTATTATTTTATTATTATTATTATTTTTTGAGACAGGGTCTCACTCCTGTTGCCCAGGCTGGAGTACAGTGGCACAATCTCAGCTCACTGCAAACTACGCTTCCCGGGCTCAAGGGATCCTCCCACCACAGCCCCCGAAGTAGCTGGGACTGCAGGTGCCTGCCACCACACCCAGCTAATTTTGTATTTTTTTGTAGGGATAGAGTTTCATCACATTGCCCAGGCTGGTCTCGAACTCCTGGGGCCAAGCAGTCATCCCACCTTGGCCTCCTAAAGTGCTGAGATTACAGGCATGAGCCACCATGCCTGGGCTCAAATTAGATGTTTTAACAGCCAGTGTTTATTTAGATTTATAAACCTGCATACCGGCTTCGTTGCCTATCTTTCTCTCTTTTTACTGAAATATAATTCATATCCAATAAAATCGTTAGTATATTTACAAAATTGTAGAACCATCACCACTAATTTTAGAACAGATTACAGCATTCCACAAGGAAACCCCCTACCCATTAGCAGTTTCCTCATTTTCTTTAATCCCCTGGCAACCACTCATATACTTTCTGTTTCTATGGATTTGCCTATTTTGGAGATTTCATATAAATGGAATCATAATATGTAGCCTTTTATGTCTGGCTTCTTTCACTTAGCCTAATGTTTTTAAGGTTCATCCACGTTGGAGCATGGGTCAGTCATTTATTCCTTTTTTTTTTTTTTTTTTTTGAGATGGAGTTTCGCTCTTGTTGCCCATGCTAGAGTGCAATGGTGATCTCAGCTCACCACAACCTCCACCTCCAGGGTTCAAGTGATTCTCCTGCCTTAGCCTCCCGAGTAGCTGGGACTACAGGTGCGCACCACCACGCCCAGCTAATTTTTGTATTTTTAGTAGAGACGGGATTTCACCATGTTGGCCAGGATGGTCTCAATCTCTTGACCTCATGATCTGCCCACCTTGGCCTCCCAAAGTGCTGGGATTACAGGCATGAGCCACCACACTCAGCCCCTTCATTCCTTCTTATGGCTGAATAACATTCCATTGTGTGAATCTACCACATTCTATTTATTTATCAGTTGATGGACATTTAGGTTGTTTTCGGCTTTTGGCTATTATGCAGAATACTGCTATGAATGCTCATGTACAAGGTTTTTGTGAACATACGTTTTTAATTCCCTTAGGTATACACCTAGGAGCGGTATTCATAAGTAATTCATTATTTCTTGTATTCACTGGTATGCTGGTAAATATTTAACACCAGTTTTCACTTGGTAGGGTTGGGGATCTCTGATTTGTAACATTTGTTAATTTCTAGAGTGTAAATATTCAAATTACCAATGTGGCATCATTGAATGTAGAACTGGGAACAGATGCAGAGTAGTACACCATTCTATAGTATGTCTACTGTATAAACACAGGAGATACAAATAAAAGTTGCATGGTTGATAGCATAATGTGGTAAAATAATTAAGAAGGCATGCATTGTGAGGATTTTTGACCTTTATATTTAAAGTGATTCATTTAATTGTAAGTTTACATAATTTAATGTTTGAAAATGGGCCGGTTGCAGTGGCTTATGCCTGTAATTCCAGCACTTTGGGAGGCTGAGGCGGGTGGATCATCTGAGGTCAGGAGTTTTGAGACCAGCCTGGCCAACATGGTGAAACCCCATCTCTACAAAAGTATGAAAAGTAGCCTGGTGTGGTGGCCTGTGCCTGTAGTCTCAGCTACTCGGGAGGCTGAGGTACGAGAATCCCTTGAACCCAGGAGGCAGAGGTTGTAGTGAGCCAAGATGGCACCACTGCACTCTAGCCTGGGTAATAGACTGAGACTGTGTCTCAAAAAAAAAAAAAAAAGAAAGAAAAGAAAATGACTGTGTGTAACAACCAATTCTCAAAATTCCTGGAAGTTTTAGCAGTCTGCTATCTGGGCTGATCAGAGCTAGCTTTGGTGCCTCACTTGTATCCCACACCTTACATGTTACTTCTTTCTGGATTCGATTTTCTTTTTTCTTTCTTTTTCTTCTTTTGAGACAGTCTCACTTTGTAGCCCAAGCTGCCAAGCTAGAGTGCAGTGGCTCAATCTTAGCTCACTGCAACCTCTGCCTCCAGGGCTTAAGTGATTCTCATGCCTCAGCCTCCTGAGTATCTGGGACTACAGGTGCATGCCACCACGCCCAGCTAATTTTTTGTATTTTTAGTAGAGACGGGGTTTTACCATGTTGCCCAGGGTGATCTCGAACTCCTGAGCTCAGGTGATCCGCCTGCCATGGCCTCCCAAAGTGCTGGGATTACAGGTGTGAGCCACTGTGCCTGGCCTCAATTTTCTTTAAAAAACAATTGTTTTTTTATGGAGTTGGTCTTGCTATGTTGGCCAGGTTGGTCTTCAACACCTGGCCTCAAGCGATCCTCCCACCTCAGCCTCCTGAAGTGCTAGGATTATAGGTGTGAGCCACCATGCCCAGCCTGAATTCAATTTTCTTATAGACGTATATCTATTAATGTGTTAAAATACTTTCAGCAGGTTTCTGTGAGGTAAACTAACTGTCTTTGTTCATCAGAAAATGTCTGAAAGTTTGGCTCTCGCTTACTAATTTGTGTATAGGATTCTGGTTTGAGATTTATTTTTTGTGCACACTTTGAAGATATTATCCTACTGTCTCCTGGTTCTCATTGTTGCTGATGAGAAAGCTGATTTCATTGTAGTTAACATTCCTTTTGATAATCTGTCCCTTGTCACTGCAGACTTTTATATTTGCCTTGTGGTTTTGCAGTTTAATCAGTATGTGACTAGTCATGTAATTGTATTGTATTGTATTTTATTTTATTTTATTTCATTTTATTTTATTTTATTTTATTTACTTGAGACACGGTCTCACTCTGTCGCCCAGGCTGTAGTGCAGTGGCATGATCTCAGCTCACTGCAACCTCTACCTCCCAGGTTCAAGCGATTCTTCTGCCTCAGCCTCCCGAGTAACTGGGATTACAGGCGTGCATCACCCAATGCCTGGCTAATTTTTGTATTTTTAGTAGAGATGGGGTTTCACCATATTGGCCAGGCTGATCTCCAACTCCTGACCTCAAATGATCCACCCACCTCGGCCTCCCAAAGTGCTGGGATTACAGGCGTGAGCCACCATGCCTGAACTGTTTATTTGCTGTCTTCGTATGTTTCTCCAGTTTTGGAAAATTATCAATAATTCATGATGGTTAATTTTATTTGTCAATTTGTCTGGACCACGGGGTGCCCACATGTTTGGTCACACAATTATTCTGGGTGTGTCTGGGAGGGTGTTTCTGGATGCGTTAACATTGGAATCAATAGACTGAGTAAAGCAGACTGCCCTTTCTAATAATGCGAGCAGGCCTCATTCAGTTGTTGAAGGCTTGGATGGAACAAAAAGGCTGACTCTCCTGCAAGTAAGAGGAAACTCCTCCTGCCTGGCTGCTGGGACATCAGTCTTTTCCTGCCTCCAGACTCAAACTGAAACACCAGCTCTTTTTTTGGGTCTCAAGATTGCAGGATTTTGAACTGGAACTTACACCACTGGCTCTCCTTTTCCTCAGGCCTCTGGACTCAGGCTGGAAAGTCACTGTTGGCTCTCCTGGGTCTACAGCTTGCCAGGTACAGATCTTGGAACTTCTCAGCCTCCGTAATTGCCTCCATAATTGCATGAGCCAATTCCTTATAATAAATCTCTCTCTCTCTGTATACACACACACACACACACACACACACACACACACACACACACACGGATCTTGTTGGTTCTGTTTCCTGTTTCTCTAAAGAACCCCATAATGTTAAATCTTTCTTTCTTTTTTTTTTCTTTTTTGAGATGGAGTTTCGCTCTTGTCACCCAGGCTGGAGTCCATTGGCGTGATCTCTACTCACTGCCACCTCCGCCTCCCAGGTTCAAGCAATTCTCCTGTCTCAGCCTCCCAAGTAGCTGGGATTACGGGCGCCTGCCACCACACCCAGCTAATTTTTGTATTTTTTAGTAGAGACAGGGTTTCACCATGTTGGCCAGACTGGTCCTGAACTCCTGACCTCAGGTAATCCACCTGCCTCAGCCTCCCAAAGTGCTGGGATTACAGGTGTGAGTCACTCTGCCTGGCCCTTTTTTTGTTTGTTTGTTTTTTTGAGATGGAGTCTCACTTTTGTCGCCCAGGCTGGAGTGCAATGGCACAATCTCAGTTCACTGCAACCTCCGCCTCCTGGGTTCGAGCGATTCTCTTGCCTCAGCTTTCCGAGTAGCTGGGATTACAGGCTCACACCACCATGCCTGGCTAATTTTTGTATTTTTAGTAGAGCCGGAGTTTCACCATTTGGCCAGACTGGTCTTGAACTCCTGACCTCAGGTGATCCGCCCACCTCAGCCTCCCAAAGTGCTGGGATTACAGGCATAAGCCACTGCACCCGGCCCCTCTGTTAAATCTTTCTGGAACTCCTATGAGACATCTGTTTGGCTCTCTCTTTTTATTCTTCATTTCTCTTAAATTCTTGTTCGGGTTTTCTCTCTTTATCTCTCTTTACTCCATTTGGGGCATGTCCTCAAAATGTTTCTTCAGATTCCCTCTTCAGCTAGCTCGAATATGTAGGTTAACTCATCTTTGAGTCTTTAATTTTAGTAACTATGTTTTTATTTCTGGAAGTTCTATATGGTTCTTTTTCAAATTTCCCAACTCTTTCTCCTCCATACTATTCTGTTCCTTTATTATGGCTTCTATTTTTATATATATATATATTTTTTCTCTTTTTTGAGACAGGGTTTCACTATGTTGCCCAAGCTGCTCTTGAACTCCTGGGCTCAAGCAATCTGCCCACCTCAGCCTCCCAAAGTGCTATAATTACATGCATGAGCCACTGCGCCTGACCAGGCTTCTACACTTTCTTATCTCTCTATTTTAATCATCCTTACTTCATAGTCTCTTTCAGGTGTTTCCATTTTTACCCTTCATATCTCTAGTTTGTTTTGTTTGTTGACTCTCTATTTTGATCTTTTTTTTCCTCATGTGATTTGTTACTTTCTGAGAGTATTTTCCTCAGGATATTTTTTTTTCTAATAAATTTGTCAAGCATCCCTATCGAGGTATTTTGATTTGCTTCAGCCTAAAGCTAAGAGTTTTAATGGGTCTTGCTCCAGCCTAACCTATGAATTTTAATGATCTGGACCAATTTTTCTGTTAATTTATCTTGCCGGGCGTGGTGGCTCACGCCTGTAGTCCCAGCACTTTGGGAGTCTGAGGCAGGCGGATCACCTGAGGTCAGGAGTTTGAGACCAGCCTGGCCAAATGGTGAAACCTCGTCTCTACTAAAAATATAAAAATTAGCCAGGCATGGTGGCGCATGCCTGTAATCCCAGCTGCTCATGAGGCTGAGGCAGGAGAACCACTTGAACCTGGGAGGCGGAGGTTG
This sequence comes from Homo sapiens, assembly GCF_000001405.40. Lineage (NCBI taxonomy): Eukaryota > Metazoa > Chordata > Mammalia > Primates > Hominidae > Homo > Homo sapiens. The sequence goes on from NC_000011.10 coordinate 76,401,713, forward strand.
CAGTGAGCTGAGATTGCACCATTGCACTCCAGCCTGGGTGACAAAAGCGAAACTCTGTCTCAAAAAAAAAAAAAAAAAAGAAAGAAAGAAAAGAAAAGAAAGAATTTATCTCAATGGGTGCCTGCATCTAAAGGTAAAGTAAATTCAAACTCCCCATCTTGCATGTGGCAGAGACTGGGGTTTCTATTTCTTGTAAATGCTATTTATTACCCCACCCACAGCCTCTTCAAAGATCAATCTTTCTTGCAACTTCTCTAACGCCAGGATACAGCTTTTCCAGTCTCCTTTTCATGGAAGAAGCCCAGCTTCCAATCTCAGGGCTTTATCTCAGTTCCAACTTGCTCACCTGGCAGAAACTTAAGCCCTATCTCCTACTCCTTAGTGTGCAGTGAAACCCTAGCCCACAGCCCTCAGGATCTATATCTGAGTCTGAGGTCCCTGTGTGTTGCCTAGGCACTGGCTGTACCCTGTCCTGCCTTTGAGCTCCCTTTTCATTTCTGATGTCTAGAAATTTCTCTTTATATTTTTCAAATTCAGCGATAAAAAATAACATTTTTAGGCTGGGCATGGTGGCTAACGCCTGTAATCCCAGCACTTTGGGAGGCTGAGGTGGGTGGATCACGTGTGGTTAGGAGTTTGAGACCAGCCTGGACAACATGGTGAAGCCCTGTCTCTACTAAAAATACAAAAATTAGCTGGGTGTGGTGGTGCGTGCCTGTAATCCTAGCTACTCAGGAGGCTGAGCCAGGAGAATCACTTGAACCCAGGAGGCAGAGGTTGCAGTGAGTCCTGATTGTGCCCCTGCACTCCACCCTGGATGACAGAGCGAGACTCTGTCTCAAAAAAAAAAAAAAGATTTGCATTATAATTCATCCAGCACCTCCATGTGTCTATAGCAAGGAGTGCGATGTGAGACCCATCTTCATTAGTGTAGCTGATCATGTTTCTGGAAGTTGCCAGATGAGAAACAATAATTCTGTCAAGTATACACTTATTTTTCTTAATATAATTTAATTTTTTTTTTGAGAAAGGGTATCATTCTGTCACCCCAGCTGGAGTGCAGTGGTGCAATCACCCAGGCTCAATTGATCCTCCAGCCTCAGAACCTCCCCAGTAGTTGGGACTACAGGCACACACCACCACACCCGACTAATTTTTGTATTTTTTTGTAGAGATAGAATTTTGTCATGCTGCCTAGGCTGGAGGTAGACATTTATTAATTTGTTTGTTTGTTTATTTATTTATTTATTTTTGAGACAGAGTCTTACTCTGTCGCCCAGGCTGGAGTGCAGTGGCGCAATCTCGGCTCATTGCAACCTCTACCTCCCGGGTTCAAGCGATTCTCCTGCCTCAGCCTCCTGAGTAGCTGGGATTACAGGGGCACGCCACCACACCCGGCTAATTTTTGTATTTTTAGTAGAGACAGGGTTTCACCATGTTGGACAAGCTGGTCTGGAACTCCTGACCTCATGATCCGCCTGCCTCAGCCTCCCAAAGTGCTGGGATTACAGGCGTGAGCCACCACTCCCGGCCTTGGAGGTAGACATTATCTCCTGTATTAGTCAAGGTTCTCCAGAGAAACAGGACCAATAGGAGATGTATGTAAATAGATTTATTCTTTCGTATAATTTATTGTGATTATGGAGGCTGAGAAGTCCTAAGAACTGCCATTTGCAAGCTGGAGCCCAGGAAAGCCAATGGTGTCATTCTAGTCCAAGCCCAAAGACGAAGACCTGAGAACTAGAGTTTAGTGGGTTTTGTTGTTTGTTTGTTTAGAAACAGGATATTGTTCTGGCACCCATGCTGGAGTATAGTGGCACGATTTTAGCTCACTGCAGGCTTGCATTCCTGGGCTCAAGCAGTCCTCCCACCTCAGCCTCCTGAGTAGGTGGAACTACAAGCATGTGCCACCATGCCCAAATAATTTTTTATTTTTATTTTTTGTAGAGACGGAACCTCACTATGTTGCCCAGGCTGGTCTCGAACTCCTTGTCTCAAGGGATCCTCCCACCTTGGCCTCCCAAAGCTCTGGGATTATCAGCATGAGCCACCATGCCAAGCCAAAACCAGGAGTTCAATGGTGTAAATTCCAGTCTGAGTCCACAGGCCGAAGAGCGAGGAGTGCTGATGTACAAGGGCAGGAGAAGATGGATGTCACAGCTCAAGAAGCGAGAACAAATTTGCCCTTCTATCTTTTTGTTCTATTCAGGTCCTCAATGAATTGGATGATGTCCATGCACATTAGGGAGGGCTGCCTCTTCATTACTCGGTCTACCAATTCAAATGCTAATCTCTTCCGGAAACATCCCCACAGACACACCCAGAAATAATGTTTTCCCATCTATCTCAGTACCCCATGATCCAGTCAAGTGAACATATAAAATTGGCTGTCACATCTCCATTTTGTTTATTTATTTACTTATTTATTTTAGACTAGTTAAGTTCAGTAGTGAGAAAGAGGGAAGGAATAGAACGAGGAGTTCAATCTGTGACTGACAGTGAACAATTGATTGAGATAACTCACTACCTTTGGACCAGCCATCTCCATTTTATAAATAAGAAAACTGAAGCTCAGAAAGGTTGTCTAAACTGCCAAAGCCATAGAACTTTAAGTGCGGAAATAGGTTTTGTGTTCAATCTGCTTCTCTATAAAATCCCATACAGGACATCCAGGCATCTAAAAGGTAGCTCAGTATCTCTGCCTTCTCTCCATTGTTAGCCTTGATGGACAATTTTTGCTGGAGCAAATATTCTGAAAAAGATTCCTCCTGTTTCCTATGGGAGTAGACAGCAAGCAGGTGAAGCCGGGCTCTCTTGAGCCTGGGACCCCCCGGTAGGAGCATTTGGCTGGAAAGATGTGGAAGTCAATAAGCATTTCCTCCACCACCCAGAAGCATCTCCAAGCTCAGGCAGGAGGTGGGCAGTGAAGGGGAATACCAAGCATCCTGCACATCAGGTAGAAGGAGGAAGCCCAGGCCATGGCAGGACTTACCTGTTGAGTCCTGCTGGGTTTGGGCAATGTCTCAGCAGAGACTGGCATACTCTCAGGCTTTTCACTTCCTTCCTTAGACTGGGGGCGCCTCTTGCCCTGTGCATCTTGCACAAAGCCTGGTCCTGAGTAGGTGCCCTGCAAAGGTGCAGGGGATCAATGGGGGTGACTGAGTCTAACTGAAGAAAAAGAAGGCATTTCAAGTCTCTATAGGTTGGGGACTTTAATGAGTGTAAATAGCTACCCTTTATTGAGCATTGTTTATGTGTGGACACTTTTTATGCATGTATATTGGAATATTTTTAGCTGTAAGTAATGATAACTAACAGTGACTTAAATAAGTAGTTATTTTCTGGCATAATAAGAATTCCAAAGGTGCTCCTTTGGTCTTTCCATCTTGGTTACAAGATGGCTGTGACACCCTGCCCTCACCTCCAAGTTCAAGGCAGGCAGGGGTTGGGAGGTGCGGACAGTTCAGACTCAGCAGTCCTGTTTCATCAGGAAAGCAAAAGCTCTCCCAGTAACTCCCAGCAGAGTTCTACTAAATCTCATTGGCCCAAGGGAGCTGCAGTGGTAGGTAACAAGGAGCAAATGGCTTTTGGGTAGCCAGTCAACAGGGTCTGCCATGTGCATAGAAAGCACAGTATGTATTTGGCATGGAGTCGGTACTCAATAAGCATTAGCTATTTGGCGTGCCTGTGTGTGTTTGTGTGTCTGCGTGTGGTTATATGTATATTTTCCATTTTCCCAAACAGTCCTTGGAAGTAGCATCCTCCTTTACTAATGGGACCTAACACACAGCTGGCAAAAGGCACAGTTAGAGCCACACATCAGACTCATTTCTTTCTGACTGAAGTCTGAGGGCTCTTTCCATTGCCATGCTATGTTCCACCCTCCCCTTCAACTGCCCCTCTAAAGTCTTGTCTTGGAGTCACATGAGGTCCAAGTGGGCTTGATGAAGAAAGAATAGGGAAGGAGATCAGATCAGTACTGTTGTCCAGGCTGGAGCGCAGTTGATTGTAGCTCACTGCAGCCTCCAACTCCATGGCTCAAGTGATCCTCCTGCCTCAGCCTTCCAAGTAGCTAGGACAACAGGTGCGTGCTACCATGCATGGCTAATTAATTAAAAGAATTTTTTTTGGTAGAGACAGGGTCTCACTATGTTGCCCAGGCTGGTCTTGAACTCCTGGGCTCCAGTGATCCTCCCCCTTCAGCCTCCCAAAGTGCTAGAATTACAGGCATTAGCCACCATGCCTGGCCTGGAGATCAGTTCTTTTTTACTTTTTTTTGAGACAGGCTCTCCCTATGTCACCGAGGCTACAGTGCAGTGGTTCAATCGCAGCTCACTGTAGCCTCTATCTCCTGGGCTCAAGTGATCCTCCCACCTCAGCCTCCTGAGTAGCTGGGACTAGAGGCATGTATCACCATGCCCAGCTAATTTTTGCATTTTTTGTAGAGTCAGGGTTTCACCCTGTTGCCCACTCTGGTCTCAAACTCCTGGGCTCAACCAATCTGCCCACCTAGGCCTCCCAAAATGCTGGGACTATAGGTGTGAGCCACTGCACCTGGCCTGGAGCTCAGTTCTGAAATAAGTTGACACCTGTCCCTGGGGCTATCCACAGAGTAACGATGAAGTCATGAGAGGAGGTTCAATAACTGTGTGCTAGAGTCATACCTCCACCTGAGTGCAGCCACTTTGGAATGGTCAGGCTAGAAGGTTCAGCCTTTATTCTGATGATGCCACTACTGCCCAGAACTCCTCTGGGACTCTTTGCAAGTTGCAAAAGACCTCAATCTCATTACTGTAATATTGCACCTCATTTCTGACCCCAAACCCAGCTGCAGCTTCTCATCTCACGAATTTCAAGTGACTTTTGACTATTGCCAAAAATCAAAAATCATTCCCTGAAAACAGAATCTATTGTAATTTAGATGCAAAAGAATGTGTTGTCTGCTTTGCAGCCAATTTTCAAATAAAAAAGAAATGTTTAAAGCAGTGGAAGCACTGTTTAAATAAATATGCCGGGCCAGGCGTGGTGGCTCACGCCTGTAATCCCAGCACTTTAGGAGGCCAAGGCGGGTCGATCACGAAGTCAGGAGATCGAGACCAACCTGGCTAACACAGTGAAACCCCGTCTCTACCAAAAATACAAAAAATTAGCTGGGAGTGGTGGCGGGTGCCTGTAGTCCCAGCTATTTGGGAGGCTGAGGCAGGAGAATGGCAAGAACCTGGGAGGCGGAGCTTGCAGTGAGCCAAGGTCACACCACTGCACTCCAGCCTGGGCTACAGAGCGAGACTCTGTCTCAAAAAATAAATAAAATAAAATAAAATAAATAAATAAATAAATATGCCCTCCCAGGTTGACATCTTGGAAGAGGATAACTCTAAGTTTGGTTGTATAATTTCTGCTGTGTTTAAGAAAAATTACTTAACTTGTGAGACATTATGAAAAGGATGCTGGACTTGGTAAAGATACAAATGGGCTTATAATGTTGGTCAGGTGAGACATGTTGCATTGGTGAAATTATAAATTGATATTGTTTTCTCAGAGCAATTTCGCAATGAGCATCACGAAGCTTTAAAGAGTTTAAACCACACCGGTCACAGTGGTTCACGCCTGTAATCCCAATACTTTGGGAGGCCGAGGTGGGCAGATCACAAGTCAGGAGCTAGAGACCAGCCTGGTCAACATGGTGAAACCCCTTCTCTACTAAAAATACAAAAATTAGCTGGGTGTGGTGGTGCATGCCTGTAATCCCAGCTACTCGGGAGGCTGAGGCAGGAGCATCGCTTGAACCTGGGAGGTGGAGGTTGCAGTGAGCTGAGATCGCACCACTGCACTCCAGCCTGGGCGGCAGAGCAAGACTCCCTCTCAAAAAAAAAAAAAAAAAAAAAAAAAAAGAATTTAAGCCAGTTGACCTAGGAATCTTCTAGGACGATTTCTTAGGAATCTTTCTTAGGAAAACAGTCAGAGATGCAGACAAAGATTTATGTAACAGCCATTCATTGCAGACTTATTTGTAAAAGTAGTAAAAAGAAGGAAATAACCCAAATGTCCCACAATGGAGAAATTGTTAAGAAAATTACAGCATACTCATTAAGTGAAATAATGCAGCTATTTAAGATGATGTTTTTAAAGAACTGTCAATGATGTTTGAAGATGTTCACAATAAGATAGGTGATAAAACAGACTATAAAACCACATGCATTATATAGTCCCATTTTTACTTTCTGTATGCTAAAACAAACCCCTCAAGATAGATCCAAAACATTACCAGTGGTTTGATCTGGGTGATGAAATTATAAGTGATTTTAAACTTGCTTCATTATGCTTTTATATATATAATTTTTCTTATTATAACAATAAATATTACTTTTGTAGTTAGAAAATATGTATAATGAACATTAAAATTACTTGTTAAGAAAGAAAGAAATGTGTTTTACTGGGAGAAAAGAGATCTGCCCCCAGGGTTCTGAGGGTTTAGTGGAGGAAATGAGACACGTACACAGATACGCTTATTACAAGGCAGTAAGAGCTATCACGGAGGTTTTATCAAGTGTGGAGGAAAGGATTAGCTCTGCCTGGGAGAGTTGAAGGTTAGTGAAAAGAGGTAACATTTGTTCGGGCCTTGAAGGATGAATAGGGGTCCTCTAGGGCTTTGTAAACTGTGAAGCACTATCTAAGTGTAAGTTAGTCTTTGACTTTTATGATTACTGTCAAGGCTTACCTCATATAAAGCTCTCTTTCTTGTCTCTTTCCCATGCTCCCTGAAGCCCAGGATCCCTGGGACAGGAAGCAGCAGCAGTTAAACAGTCACACATCAGTGCTCCAGCAAGTGAACTGAGGTGCATCCAACTAAGGAGCAGATCCAGGACCAGAGGAAATAAAATTATCTGGGAGCAGGGCCAGGAAGGTGCTGGTGGGTAAACAGTTCCCCCTTATTTGCCACCCTGTGGTAAGGCTGGCTTTGCTTGAGGCCTCCACCCTGAGATTTGGGGCCATCTCCATCTGGGGGATGGTAAAACCTGCGAACGAGCATCACACAGCAGTCTATGATTTACATTGGCAGGAAATGGTGTGTCAGATGTCCTTACAGCCTCCAGACAGGGTGGAGTGGAAAGGAGGGGTGTGAGTGAGGGGATCAGGAAGGGTGACAAGAGATGATTTGTACGGGAGAAATTCTTAGAGAAGCTCAAGATTGGAAGGGACTTAAAAGTTCTGTGATTTAATCCTCCCAATCCCCTTCCTAGCATCTCTATCACATTGTCATTCTTCCCGGGTGCAGCTCAGAGGCCATCTCTTCTATTACCTTCCACTTCAGTTCCTCTGGCCTATGCTTCAGGCATTTCCCATTATTTAATTTTACGAAAGAAAATTCAGTGTCCGCTGCATGCCAGGCACTGTGCTTAGAATAGGTCCTCAATTGCAGTATGCCCTCCTGTGCCTCCTGTTGTTTATTTATTTATTTATGCAACGAATGTACACCGAATGCCTATTATATGCCAGGTAATGTTCTAGATGTTGTAACAGAGTGGAGGAAAATACAGCCAGGATCTCAGGCTCTCACGGACCTGTCATTCTAGTAGGAGAGATATAAAATAAACAAATGAAAAAATAAAATATTGGGTTATAAATGTCAAGAAGGAGCCAGCTTTGGAAAATTTAGGGGAAGAACTTTCTATACAAAGAGAACAGCTAGTTCCAAGATCCTATGGGGGTAACTCCTGTTTGCTCTAGGAACAAAAGGAAGGAAACTGTGGCCTTGTGCATGGAAAATGCTTTCTTCTTTATCTGTAAATGAAAATATTCTTATGTGTCAGGATGTAGTTCAAGCATTGCCTCTTTAGGGAAATCTATCCTGATTTCTCAGGTAGAAGTGACCACTATCTCCTTTCCTCCTCACCGCCCCTGAGTAGACTTCTGTGAGCACACCTGTGACACTTTGCCATTCTTACCACATTAAATCATTGTGACTTCCTAGTGGACCTCAGTCTCATTCAAGGGCAGGACTGAGCTTCCTAACTAAATCCCTAATGTTCAGGATAGAACCTGGCACAGAGTCTGTGATCAGTAATGGTTTGTTCCTAGAATACTGAACTGTCACCCAGCACCCTATCAGAGCCTCACTAGTGATGCTTATTTGGAATTGAAAACAATTTATTGATCAGTGCCAGGCCCTGTGCTGGGTACTTTCCACCCTGCTCATTCTTATAAGTCTCACAGTCAACATGTCCAGTAAGTATCACTATTTTATTCTATAACTAAAACTCAGGCCAGACTCAGTGGCTCATGCCTGTAATTCCAGCACTTTGGGAGGCTGAGGCAGGAGGATCACTTGAACCCAGGAGTTCAAGACCAGCCTGGGCAACAGAGTAAGACCCCATCTCTACAAAAAAATAAGAAAAACTGGGTATGGTAGTGCACACCTGTAGCCCTAGCTAGTCGGGAGGCTGAGATGGGAGGATCACTTGAGCCCAGGAAATGGAGGCTGCAGTAAGCTGTGATTACACCACTGCACTCCAGCCTCCCAAAGAGGGAGAAAGTTAGAGAATTAAAGTGATTATCTGAGGTGGCTCAGTAAGAAGAAACAGAACTAAGATTTGAACCCAAGTCCTCTTGATGTCAAATCCCAATGGTTCCTCTTCTATGTGATGTGACTCATGATGCATTAGTTCATCTGTCCTCTCTTTTCTCCTATATAATCATTTTCCTGGGAAAAGGGTCTGTTTTGTTTTTTTTTTTACTTCATTCTACTATATTCCTTATGACACCAGAACAGTGCTTTGTATTTAGTACACAGTCAATACATATGTCTTAAATCTCCAAGAGGTAGAAAAGAAAGAATGAATGTGTGAATGAATGCTTCACCCAAAGTGAATCAGTCTCTGATAACAGTTCATAGGATGGTGATGGGCTGGAGAGAGGCGTTTCTGAGGGGAGGCGCCTTCCCAGATACCTCCAGGTGTCGATTCCAGGAGGGCCTGGAGAGAGCTGAGGATGCTGTCTCTGTGCTAAAGCACTTGTTTCTTAGAAATCACACCTTTTGCTCAGCTGCACATCTCGGCAGGCAGGCAGGGCAGAGGGGAACATGCATGGCTTCCAATGAGTTGGGAAAATGAGGTTAGGTTTCAATTCAGATACTTATTTGTGTTTTCTAGGTCTGCACGGTCGATGCATTTTCAACGAGCAGTGATTCTGTTCCTCATCTTTCATTGCTTTATGGGACTTCAGGGAATGAAAGCATAACATCCTGCTTTCCCATAAGTTCTCTGGCTGCTACACTGGCACCAATTAAAGACATGTCTATGCAATTAATCAAAACCAATTTGGAAGCACTCTGGTGCTGCTCCTCTGATGTGCTGCCTGCTCCACATACAGTAGTTCCTCAGCTGCGGTGATGGAGCCAGGCACATAGGAGCTTTTGATGAACTGGCTGTACTGGCCCCAAGTGTTAACTATGTCATCTGACATGACTAATGAGGCTCCGGACTTGATCCGCGTGAGCGGAGCAGCCCTGCTGTCTGGAGGAGGCTCAGTTTCCACAGCCAGCCTGGGAAGAGGCTGCAACGTGCAGGGTACACACTGCATCATGTCAGCTGGAGTCCTAGAGGCCTCTAGCGTTGGAGCTGGGAGTCATCCATGGAGAGGGTGATGGAAACTGTGGGCCAGGCTCTGTGTTGGGCGCCAGTGTGAATGTGACCCAATTTAAACTTCTAGCTCAGCCTCCTCATTTTAGACCTGAAAATCAAGACCCAGCAAAAGTGTGAGGCTTGCCAAAGACCTGAACTTTGGAGAGAGAAATGATGGAGAAAGCAGGGTCTCTGCCCTAGATGAGAGGTAAATATGTATGAGGGTAACAACTGGGGCCTGGTGCAAGTATACTTCATCAAGGGTTAACCATAGGCTTCCTTTCTTCCTTCTGCAAACCTTTATCAAGGGGAAGGGTTGCTTGTGCCCTTGTCACCTCAGCAATTCCAAGAGCATGGAATTTGGAGTCAACAGATCTGTGTTTGAGTCCCAGCCCTACTTTGAGTTGATGTAATCTTGCAAATCACTTCATTTTTCTGAGCCTTGGTTTCCTCAGCTGTAACATTGGAATAGGCCATATACTGCCCAGCCAGCCTACCTCCATGAGCCCTTCTGTGACTCAACTGAGTTAATGGGTGTGAAAGTGTAAGTAAGAGCCTCTGCACGTGTTAGTTATTATTCCAGTTTTCATCCCCCTAAGGAGCACTGGCTGAAATCTCTGGAATATGGATCCACAGATAGCTTTAACTCTCTTCCTCTTCCTGCCTCTTTCAAATGGACATAAAAACCAATTGGTCATCCGCCTAAAATCTCAACAGCTTTCCCAGAGAGCCCATGCATAGAAAGAGGAAGAACTCAACCGTTGTAAATTAATGTCATTCCATACATTGATTGAGCACCTACCACATGCCAGACATTGTGTGAGGGATCGGAGTTGGATAAGACATGTTTCTTGGCCACCTTGAGAAGCTCACCATTTAGTAGGAGAAACAGAGCTGGGCATAAATAACTATAATGTACTGCAGACAAATGCAATTGCCATAGGAAAGATACAAATCAAGTGTTTTGGGAGCCAGAGGATGGAGTGATTCATTCCCCAAAAGGAGACTGGAAAAAGGTTCATCAACGAAGTGGTACTGAAGGATGGGCAGGGCTTAGCTCTGTCAGGAAGAACGAGGCAGGGCACTCCAGACAGAGAGACCAGCATAGGCAAATGTATGAAATCTGGAAAGGAATGGTGATCTAAAGGACAGAATAAAATCAAGTAAGGTATTGGGAGTGAGCATGAATCAAAGAAAAATCACTGCACCCCAACTCTGAAACTCAGGCATAAATGTTGCTGTTTCACTGTTCTCTTTGCTGGCTGAGGTCACCTTGGCCTCTGTCCCTCAGTCAGAGAAAATCCCACACTGGCCCTTCCTCCAGCAAAGCCAAACCCAAGCCCCAGCCAGCAGAAGCAAAAACAAATGAACAGGGATCAACAATACCATTAGATGCAAAAATTCTTGAGCTGGGAAGGCCAGGTCACAGCCATACCTCCCCAGCCAGGGTAACAGCTTGATCAGATGTGGCAATGACACCAACCCTGGAGCACGATGGCAAGGAACTTAACTTAAGCCTCTTGGCATGGGTCACAGGCTACATTTTTCTCCTTCCCCCCTCATCCAAAAGAAGCTAGCTTCTTCTTTATGAGTGCTGCTGTCAGAATGGCTTTGGAAAGCCTAGAGCTGCAGCTGAACTCAAGGCATGGCCATGGGCCACCCCAGGGACTTGTATTTTCTCAGTCTTTCTATCTTTCGTTGCGAATTTTTTTTATTGTGCAAATAATACAGTGTTAAGAACGGAAACTTCAAGAAGAGAAAGAGGAAAGAGAGCATCCACTCACATGTCATCTGTTTCCATTTCTCCTTGCCCTTTCCTGCTGTTGTCCATGAGCATAATTTTTTGGCCGCTTTTATTACTGATACAACTACGTATTCTGTTTTTATTGCTTAGCCTTGTATCATACAAGGCTACTTATTGCCAGCCCCTGGTGTCCACACTGGCTTGGCATTGTTCTCCCAAGACTGAAAAAATATGCCAGGTGTCATGTAAAGGGACTTTCCGCAGATAACATGATCGCCATTGACAACTGGCATCATGTGGCAGAGGAAAAGCTTCGACCGCTCTGCCATCATGTTGACTTGGGTTGGAATCTCAGCTCCTCTACTTCGAAGCTAGATGGCCCTGGGCAGATCATTCCATCTCTTTGAGCCACAGTTCCTCATCTATAAGATGGGGATGGCATTAGTACCATCTTATGATACTAATGGGATCACAGTGAGAATTAAGTGAGATACCAAAAGGGGAATGCTCAATAAAGAGCAGCTCTCCTTCCCAACCCTTGAGGGGCTGACCTAGACACCACTCTGCTTTTTCCTCTCTTGCCCACATTTGGCCACCTCCCCTCCCCTGGACCCAGCAGGCCCCCTGGGTGAGCCCACCTAAATTATGACAGGCATACCAGTCTGCATATTTATTATTCACTGGGTGAATTTGCTATCTTTTACTTAAGTATTTTCCTCTGATGAAACTTTTGTTTTTGTCCAGTTTTTCACTATTTCCAATAATGATGCAAAAAAAAATACCAGTGTGTGCCGCTCACCCTATGCTTTAAAAATTGTATTTTCTCAGAAACAATCCCCAGGAGTAGGATCACTGAGATAGAGGATAGAAACATTTTCAAGGTTTCTGATGTGTATTTCCAAATTGCTTTTCAGATTTGTACCTGTTATGCTGCCACCAATTTGAGGGAGGGAACCACTTAGGCTACATTGGAGGCCGCTGGGCCCTGGTCACAAACTTCTGTCTCTGCTTTATTTCTACCATTGTCTTCTCTTAACATGGCTCCTGAACTTCTCACTCTATGGGACAATTCATTGTTTGTCCCCAAAATGATGCTCCCATACTTTTGTGCCTTTGTACTTCCTATTAGTCTTCACCACCCTTGCCCAAGAATATTCTTCCTTTAAGATACCCTCTCACCTTAGAGCTCAACCTTTGTGGAACTGGGAACTTCTATACTCTCTTCAAGACCCAGTTCAAACACCCCTCTCTCCGTGAACCAGTTCCAATCCCCCCAAGCAGAGTTCGTCACTTTTGTTATAAGTGGTACCTGGAGGAACCCTTGGCATCCAAGTGTTCACCAAGAGTCAGCCATCCCCTAACCTCAGCTACAGGCCCCAGTTTTCGTGATTCTCTCTTCTCTTTTCCTCTCTCACTCTTTGCACCAGGCAATCTCACCAGGTTTTCCCAACTCATGTCCTAAATATTCTTAGATCCACTTATCTTTGCCTCATGGTCATTGCCAGAGCTATCACCTCTCCAGGATTCCTGCAATGGTCCCCACAAAAAAAAAAAAAAAAAAAGAGTAATATGTACATGGTTCAAAAGCCAAAATAGTCTCAAGGCTTATTATAAGAAACAGTAGATTCCTGCCCTAATCCTGCCTACCCCCAGCCTTACTCCTCAGAGACAACTAGCCACTTTCAGCTATTTCTTTTGGTATTTACTTCCATTTGCCAAATAAGATACCTATACTGCAGTTTCTTGATTTTAAGTTCAGGCATTATCTTTTTAAAATTTTTTTAAATTTTGTTTATTAGTTTTATTACAGACCTAGTCCTTTTTTTTTTCTTTTAAGGGTATTCCTGAAACACCAAGGTTCAGACATTATCTACTGACTTTGAACAATGGAATATTTCTCTAATAGCGCTTCTCTCCTCCGTTCTCTAATATAATTGTATCTACAATTATTTAACAATTTTTGGTTAATCATTTTGCAGTATTTACACATTATGACCAGAGAAGCCATTAAAAAATATTTATCTTCTGAGATATCAACATCTCTTCTGGGGCTGCTATCTCTCCTGGTGAGGTTTGAGCCTCCTGGGGGCAGGTGGAGCACTCAGGGACAGGGGCTGATATGCAGGAGATGGGGCTGGCTGGCTATTGGCTGGCAGCCAGGTGGCACCAGTCTCAGGATGGTTCTCATGCAGGGCTCCCTGGGCCAGGTAGGTATAGCAAGCAAGGTTCAGGTCAGCCTTTTGGGGGAGCCAAAGGCAGTGCCCAGGAGGGACTGGAGGCTGCTGACTGGCACAGAAACTGAGTGATCTGAACAAATGCTGGCCTCTTGAACAGGGTTCTGGGGCCCCTGGCTATATGTCAGGTACTGTCTTTTTAGTAGCTGGATCTGATGGATAGCCATAGTTAAGCCATCACAGTGCCTGGGATATAGCTGGACCTGACAGAGTTGGTCATCATACTGTTCTTTCAAAGAGTTTGAGAGAAGACTTAGTGATAGAGATACAGAAACTGAGCAAAATAAAACAAAAAGGCAATTATTTACGTAGGAGAACCTGAAATCTTAACAAGAATGGAAATATACTCACAGACCCCTACATGGCTTAATTATGAATAACATTTACATAGTCATAACCCTGGCCAACAGGACTGCATTAGGTACGTTCGACTGTATTGGTTATTAAAGTGTTGAAATATTTCTATACTGGCTAGTAAATAGTAGCCACCCTCAAGCTCCCTGGGTACCCTGTTGCCACTGTACCAGCCATCCCACCCACCCCCTCTCCCTGCCTCTTAGAATTCCCTGGAACTTCCCAGGATCCATCAGATTCAGCTACTAAAAAGACAGTACCTGGCATATAGCCAGGGGCCCCAGAACCCTGTTCAAGATATATAATTAATACTATATAACTTTGTTTAATTTTAATACTTAAATGTTAATAGCCACATGTGGTTAATGGCTACCGTGTTGGACAGCACAGATCTAGAATGATGTGTTTTCCTGACAGGACACTGCTAATATAATACTTGACATGAAAGCGGTCATGGGAAACTGACCCTCCATGATACGAATCTGGGATTGTAATATGACCTGAGTGGGCCTGAATTCAACGATGACTTCATTGCCAGTGGAAAATGGGATACTGTGTCAGGGAAGAGTTCCAACCTCATGGAAGATGGCAAGGAGTAACAGGACTCCAAATTGACTTGCCACAACTCTATGGGTGCTGAAAGTAGGCAAGACCCAGTGGATCAGAAAAAGACAGCATAGCAAACAAAAGGGCCAAGAGCATGGTAGAGCAAGTTTCCTTGCCCTCAAATCCCACTAGTCAATACAATGGCCCAGATGGCAGCTATGCGTGCCTTGGGCCTGTGATGTCACCAAGGAACCCTGGGCTAAGGGCAGAACCTTTTATAGCAAGCAGTTAACAAGCCAGTCTCCTTCCCCTGGAGAGTGAATTGCTGGACGTTGTGGTCACCTTGACCTACCCCTACCTACCTAACTGCTTTTGTGACTAATTATATAAACGATTCAGGGTCAGAAAATGGTTAGTCCTTGCAGTTTGGGACAAACAAGAATATACAAAGACATTTGGAGGTCGGCGAACTGCATCTCCCAAAACTGTCCACCGTAGTCCATGGCATGCAATAGCAAAAGTTACTTAAACTAGCATCTTGTGAATAACTGGGATGAAATGCCTTCAAAAGCAAGTCTTTGGAAGACCAAATGGCTGCTGAAATGCTCTACTAAGGCGAGAATTGTGACCAAGGATTTTAAGATGGATTAGTTGCTTCTGACGGTGCTGAAGTTCTTATTAAAAAAAAAATTCAAGCTCAGGATTCTAAACTCTCAGTTAGGCATGTTCAGAAAACCAAAGAGCTTCCATTGTAGCTTTAAAATATATATGTATTTATAACTAGTATACAAAACTATATTTATATATTAATGTTAATTATATTAATATATAACCTATTATAGCTATGGGACTAAGATAATTGAAAGTCAGACCCAAATTTTAATCCTGTGGGTGCAGAATTACAATGTTCGTAGAAATCACAGGTGCCCCAGGTTTCTTACAGGAAAGTCAGAGCGTTAAATGGGAAGAAATGGGATCCTGAAATATGGAATGGAAACATTTGGTTCACCTTGGAGAAATATGAGAATCTGGAATGCCTAAATCCTCCTGCACTCCAGAAAAAATAAAAAAAGAAGTTTAAGGGCCTGTTTTCTATCTAACTTATTGGAGAAGAATGGGAATGTGATCTTTTTTAAAAAATCCATCTCTGCCTATCAAAGTGCGTGTGCATGTATGTGTGTGCATGTTGTGAGAAAGAAACAAAAATCTAGGATGCACATGTGCATAAATGCACACGCATCCCCCTAAGACCATTGGGAAACTCTACGTTTGAAGACAGAATGTAAAAATTTAAAGCTCTTTCCAAGTCAAATGAATTTAGGTGTCCTGCTTCCTCCAAATCACTTTGGCTTTATGTCCCGCCCTGCGTGCTATTATACCGGAGGCAGGGAAGATCCATGAGGAAAAACAAACTTCTCAATAATAAATCTATCAGCTTTGGATGTATTCACAGCCTCTTGCCAAGTCTCATTTCAATCCTCCTCTTGGGGTCCCACATTTCCCTCTTCCATTTGTTCCACACTTATTATTTGTTTATTGAAATGCTCCACTTGCTAGGATAGGCTCCCAAGGAAGGAAATCATCTTGCTATTTGTTGTAGTTGAGATTCCAGGGATGAGAGGGGAGGGAGGTGCATGATTCCATGGTGCTACTGGGGCTCCAGGCAACACCCATAGAACTTCACTGGAACTGGAGCTCCCCTTCACTGACAACACTTCTTTGCAGTGATGACATTTCAACACTCTATATTTTTCTGAGGATAAAGCAATTAGTAAGTCCAGGGACCTTCCTCTTAATTTATGGTCTCACAACTTAGTGGTTAAGAAAGACAAGTAAAAGTTCCCATCCTGGGACAGCAATGTAATTATAGCAATACATGCAAGGTATCCCAGTTAAAATGGCTTTTATAGGCCAGGTGTGGTGTCTCCTGCCTATAGTCCGAGAACTTTGGGAAGCCAAGGCAGGTGGATCACTTGAGCTCAGAAGTTTGAGACCAGCATGGGCAACATTGTGAAACTCCGTCTCTACAAAATACACACAAAAACTTATCAGGGCATGGTGGCAGATGCCTATAGTCCCAGCTACTCAGGACTCTGAGATAGGAGGATTGCTTGAGCCTGGGAAGTCGAGGCTTCAGTGAACCATGATTGTGCCACTGCACTCTAGCATGGGCGACAGAGTGAGACTCTGTCTCAAAAAAAAAAAAAAAAAAAAAAAAAAAAAGGTCTTTATCAAAAAGACAGAAAATAATGGATGTTGGAAAGAATGTGGACAAAGGGTAACCCTTATACACTGTTGGTGAAAATATAAATTAGTACAGCCACTATGGAAAACTTTATGGAGGTTCCTCAAAAAACTAAAAATAGAACCACCATATGCTCCAGCAATTCCAGGACTGGGTATTTATCCAAAAGAAAAGAAACCAATATATCAAGGAGGTACCTGCATTCCTATGTTTATTGCAACACTATTCACAGTACTCAAAATACAGAATCTATTTAAGTGTCCATTAACAGATGAATGGATGAAGAATGTGTGGTACGTATACACAATGGAATATTATTCAGCCGTACAAAAGAATCAAATCCTGTCATTTGCAGCAAAATGTAAGGAACTGGAGGTCATTATGTTAAGTGAAATAAGCCAAGCACAGAAAGACAAATATCATATGTGGGAGCTTAAAAACTGGATCTCATGAAGATAGAGAGCAGATTGGTGGTTACCAGAGGACAGGAAGAGTAGGAGGGAAGGGAGATAAAGAGAGCTTGATTAATGGGTACAAATACGCAGTTTGATGGAAGAAATAAAACCTAGTGTTAGATAAATATGTAATACATTACAATAATGTATTATATATTTCAAAACAGAAGAAAATAATTTGAATATTTGTAGCATAAAGAAAAGACAAATATTTAATGTGACAAATATCCCAATTATACTGATTCAATCTTTACAAATTATATGAATGTATTAAATTCTCACATGTACCCCCAAAATATATACATCTATTATGTATCAATAAAAAAATTTAAAAACAATACTGATAAACTGTTAAAAGAACAAAAGAAGTAAGTCCAAGGTGCTTTAGGATCATTTGAGCTGTGGGCAGAAGGTGGAGAAAGAGGAAATGCTTTCCTGAACCCCATCCTGATTGGTGAGGATGAAATGGGGTTGGCATTGATTCTGGAAGGGAAAGTAACCTATAAAGGCTTGGAGGGGAAGATATTGTGGTCTGTTCAGGAACATCAGGTCATTCCAAGTGACCAGAGGACTGAGTTTGAGGGAAAGGTAGCAAAACATGAGGCTGAGCCCCATTTTACACGTCTGGCAGATGATATTCAAAGAGAGGTAAAGCGGCGGGGTACGACGGCTCACCCCTGTAATCCTAGCACTTTAGGAGGCCGAGGTGGGAGAATCACTTGGGGTCAGGAGTACAAGAGAAGCCTGACCAACATGGCGAAACCCAGTCTCTACTAAAAATACAAAAATTAGCCGGGCATTGTGGTGCATGCTTGTAATCCCAGCTACCCGGGAAGCCGAGGTGGGAGAATCGCTTGAACCTGGGAGGTGGAGGTTGCAGTGCACCGAGATTGGGCCACTGCACTCCAGCCTGGGCAACAGAGCAAGACTCTGTCAAACAAACAAACAAACAAACAAACAGAGGTTAAGTGCTTTGCCTAAGGTCACACTGCTCATAAGTGGCAGAGCTGGGATGGGAATCAGGGTCTGACACAGCTATAGCCCAGGGTGCTGTGGAGAATCAAGCTCCCATCCTGAGTTGAGGACTCAAAGCCCAAGAAGAGGGATCTTGGATCGATTGATGTTGGTGTTGGGCCATCAAATACATTAGGAGAGGCAGGATTGCCTTTAGTGCCCTCTAGGGGCAAGGGCAGGGGACCACCTAGCAGAAATCATTTTCTTACGGGATCTCCTTACATGAAGGGAGAACTACTGGGCATGGGCAACTGGATTAAGGTCTGGCAAATTAACACACAGAATCACAATTATAGAAAATTGAGTATGAACAGTTTCTAGTTCTCATGCTTTTGAGCTTTTCAGTCTCGTGCCAACTCCAGGAATCTTTGCTGGAGATGTCGGCCTGCTGCCCAAGTACTCTAGCAATAATTATATACAACTGTAAGTAGCTATCATTTACTAAGCTCCAAAGACTTTACACATGTCATCTTGTTTAACTTTATAACTATCCAACAAAGCTGATAATCCTACTCCTATTTTCAGAAAATTGGGGATCTATGAGATTTGTGACTTGAATAAGTTCATACAGCTAGTAAGAGTTAATAACAAGAGTTAAATGCTTAAATGCTTACCATGTGCCAGATTCCATGCTGTAACAGACTGTGTTGCTTGCCTACCCAGTAGCCATCCTGCCCCTTCGCTGCTAACAGAATTCTAATTTTACCCAGCAATCCATCCAGCAGGAAAAGAGGCTCTATCTCCAGTATAACTGGCCAAGCCAATCATAGTGATCCCATTCCTCCTTTGTCAGCAATTGGATTAAAGGCAGGCTTATTACCCAGCTCTGGCCAAAGATGTGGGGGAGAGTATCAGTGAGATGTTTCTGGGAAAGGTTTTCTTATTTTTAGAAAGACACAAAAGAAAGAGATGACCCTTTTCTGCTTTGTATATTGTAGTATCTGGATATAATGCTGGGAACTGTGGCACCCATCTTATGACCATGAGGGAAGCCAGCCTAGGAAAGTCTATATACCAAGGTTGGAAAAGCATTAAGATGAAAAGAAGAGTTTTTGATGAATTAACCAATCCTGAAACTTCCTTACTTCTAGACTTCCTGTTATATGAGATGATACATTTTCCTTGTGTATTCTGCCATGTTTCAGCCATTTAGAGTTTTGGTTTGTTACTTGGAGCTAAAGACATCGTAGCTGACACACATGTATTTTCTCATTTAATTTTCACCAAAAATCCATGAGGATAGTGTTATTATCCCTATTTTACATATTAGAAAATGAAGGCTCAGAGAAGGTGGGTAATTTTCCCAAAGTCATAGAGATAAGAAATGGCATAATAGCATTTGAACCTGGTTCTGCTTAATTCCAGAGTTCTTAACCACATCATACTAAGCAAAACAATGAAAATTAAACCTGTTCTGGCTGGCTCCAAAGGCCATGCTCTTTCCTTCATGTTTTATTGCCTCCTAATTTATGGGATGAAATTCCAAGAAACTTGAATCTATGATGTATGGTACTTAAAATATGATGTCTCCTCCCGTCCCTTCACTCCCCATGGGGATGAGGTAGGCTAGCTACACAATGCAGGGGAGGATGATTGCAAAGGACGCCTGAGTTGGCCTGGTCTTGGTTCCCTGTTACCAGTGGACTGGGCCTTTCTTACTACTGTGGCTTGAGAACATCTGGCAAAAAGGACAGCCTGGGCTAGGCACGGTGGCTTATGCCTGTAATCCCAGCACTTCGGGAGGCCAAGGTGGGTGGATCACTTGAGGCCAGGAGTTCAATACCAGCCTGATAAACATGGCGAAACTCTGTCTCTACTAAAAATACAAAAGTTAGCCAGGCATGGTGGCGGGCACCTGTAATCCCAGCTACTTGGAAGGCTGAGGCAGGAGGATCGCTTGAATCCAGGAGGCAGAGGTTGCAGTGAACCGAGATGGTGCCATTGCACTCCAGCCTGGGTGACAGAGCCAGTCTTTGTCTCAAAAAAAAAAAAAGGGACAGCCTGGCCCCCAGTGAGACACAATTAGACTAACTCTGATGCCTTTGTGTGTGAACTTTCTGTCTTGCCCAGGTATTTAGTCTCACCTGGATGGGTCTTACTACTTTTCCATCTGCTCTAGTGGGAAATTACTTGGCATCCTTCCTTGGCAGGGATGTCAGGAAGAGCTGCCTATCATCAAATGCAAGACTGGACAAAATGACAGTTAAGAGCCATTCCTTTGTGAAGAGTTGAGGATTACATGAGAGGTACCAGGAAGGTAGATTTTTTTTTGAATCCACCAAAAAATATGGCAGGAAGAATGAACACAATTCAAGGAAATATTTCTGAGCATCTTGCATTCACCAGGCCCTGTCCAAGCATGGTGACACAGGCAAATACATAACCCCTTTTGTCTAAGCTCAGCCTTGCAAAAAGGCTAAGATGTGTGGCCATAATTAAAAAAAGAAATAGACTATACCCAGGGTTAAACAAGGAGAACAATGTATGGCAGGTACCTCAAGCAAGAGTGACATGTGACTAGAACCATTAGGAGTTTTGAGAGGTGGCTTGAGATGAAGTTTGTAGAATGGGTAGGCTTTGGACAGCTGGAAATGGGCATGAAGGAAGAAAGGAACCAAGGCAAGAAACCTTCTTGCTTGCAGAGAAGGCCAAATGAAATTTTGGCTGGAGCATTTTGTTGTTGTTGTTGTTGTTTGTTTAGATGGAGCCTCACTCTGTTGCCCAGGTTGGAATGCAGTGGCGCAATCTCGGCTCACTGCAACTTCCGCCTCTTGGGTTCAAGTGATTCTCCTGCCTCAGCCTCCCGAGTAGCTGGGATTACAGGCCCGCGCCACCACACCCAGCTGATTTTTGTATTTTTAGTAGAGGTGGGGTTTCACCATGTTGACCAGGCTGGTCTTGAACTCCTGACCTCAGGTGGTCCACCCGCCTCGACCTCCCAAAATACTGGGATTACAGGCATGAGCCACCATGCCTGGCAGCATTTGTTATTTATAGTGGGAGATAAGCCTAGAAAATAGCATTTTGGGGTCAGCCTGGGACAGGTCCAACATGCCAGGGCAGATAATTTGGTTTGAATTTGGTAGGAAATGAGGAGCTGCCCAAGACTTTTGATCAGAAGCATGACATATTTAGCATTATGTTCTAATGTATAGTAATTCCACGGGTACAAGCAGAATTGAGGTGGGAAAAGATGGAGGAGCAGAGAGATCAATTTGAAGACTTAGGGAATCCCTTCTCCCTGACCATGTAGTGAAAGCACTGTTTCTAAGACCAGCAGCGCCCAAGTGTCTGGCTTACTGCAGAAAGCCAACTTCAGTGGCTTGGGAGGAAGCTCACACCTCACTCAGGGTTCCCACCTAGCTGGGAGCTCACACATGTCATAATGTACACAGCAGAGGCACTGACAGAACCAGAGGACTGGGATCAGTTACATGGGGAGAGGAGCTGAGCTGCAGAGAATCATCAATGAAGACAGGAGGCCCCCACAGAGCCCAAGGCAGCCTCCTTTCACCAGCTACATGGAGCTCAGAAGCAGCAGTTCGAGACTCTGAGAGGGCAGGAGGGTTCAGATTAGTGGAAGTGCGGTGCAGTCCCAGGATGTGAGGGTGGGGCAAGGGGAAGCAGGGGCGAGACTGAAGGACCCAGCAACCCTCTTACTGAGAAGCTGGGCCAGTTCTGCATCATTACAGGGAGTGGCTCTGGCCTTTAGGCCCTAGATCCTGGAGTTGGAGGTTATGCTGCATTTCCTCTCTGCTGTCACTGGCTGCATTAGCTGCCTGTGGCCCCCAACAAGCTCTTTTTTGTGCCCTCCCAATTTCTTTCTACTTGATTCATCACTTATTTGAGGCTCTGAGAATCAGTGTTTGCCTCTCTTTGACAATCTCTGGCCAGAGACGTACATGTCTCTTACACCTTCTTTAAGACTAGAACACCCAGCACATTCCTGCTTGACGGTCTGTGAGCATCACAAGTTTTATGAAAGTAAGGTGGCCCGGTGAAGTTATTATTCTTTATATAGTAAATCCTGTAGGTAACATAAACAAGTGAAGAGAACTGGTTTAAGAGAAAGTTGCAGTGTTTTAATGGATATACTTTGTTTCTTTATTTCCACAAAGAAACATGCTGTTCCCCATTTTCTGAAATGCCTGGCTCTAACCTTCAACTCTTTACTTTTCACAGAGATACTGGTAGTGAGAAATGTTTCTCCCCCTAAAGAAAAACAAGAGTGCAGGGGTATGAGGACAAAGAGGTGCGGTGGAGACTAGCGAGTTACAAAACACATACGGCACTTAAGAAGGACAAGCAATGAATGACAGCCTAGTGTGGCCAGATCACCTGATTTTTCCACAGAAGCTGGAAATCCAGAATTTTATGTAAAACCTCCCGGTTTTAAAACACTGGCAAAGCAAATGTAAAAAAATTATGTGGGGCAAACAAAGCACATCTCTGGGCCAAATCCTGATAATTTACCACCTCTGTCCTACAGTGTCAGGTCTAAGTTCATTAGCTTGGAACTCAAGCCATCCACCACCTGACATTTGTTCATTTCCCCCCACTTCTCAACGGCACGTTCACACTCTTCTCACCACACCAACCCACCTGCGGTGCCACACCCTGATCTCTCCTGTCTTCATACCTCTGCATTGCTGGTCTCTGTCTACAATGCATATTCTCCCTTTCTCTGCCTGGGAATCCCCTATGCAGTTTCTCATTACTCAGATCAATCCACACTTCCTTTTGACAATTACCCTTCTCTTTCTAAGTTTAGGTGCTCTTCATTCTTTCTATACTTCCATAGTACCCTAAACTTATTTCAACCAGATCTCTTACCACACCATCCTGGAATTGCTGGTCGCCTTGTCTGTTGTTCACCAGTTTGAGTACTCCCCGAGGGCAGGGACTTTCATAGTCTCTGACCTGAGAACCTAGGGTATGGGGTAAGAAATATGCCAAGAAAGAGAAAGTATTTAATCAGATGGGAAAAATGAAAATTCAAATAAGATAGCCAGAAGCCTGAACATTTGATGGTCTAAGAGGTGATAGCAGGTCATAAACAGAGGTCAAGCTCAGGATTCAGGAATCAGGATAATTAAAACAGGTTCGAAAGTGAAATGTGGTGAATGGTTTAAGATATGAGCTGTGGATGAGGTGAGGGTGTCTGGGGCCTGATTTTGCAGGGTGCCGAGAGTGTGACAGACACAGAGATGGGTCTCACTGCCTTAATATGTTAGTACTGGGTTCTACTACCAGCTTGATAGTCTGATGAGCTTCTCTGTTTCAAGGACTAATTTTCTCAGCAAACATCTACTGGGCATCTACTCTGTGCCAGACATTGTTAGGCATCATAAATATAGAGAGGAATCAGATATGACCCATGTGCTTGAGCTTAAGGTCTAATGGAGGAAATAGACACATAAATAGATAATGAGAATAAAATGAAATATATACACAACAGAAAGCAGCACATGGGGACTATGATAGCACAGAGGAAGGGCTCCAGATTCATTAAGGCACAGAAATGGTCATTTCCCTGAGGTCAGACAGCTACAGAGGTGCAGACCCAGAATTAGAGCCCAGCACTGTTAGACTTCTAAGTCCAATTTTTTTTCCACTGTAGGAAACTGGGAGAAGACAGAAATCACTTTATGGTTATGGAGAAAATTTATGTGTGTCAGCTTGGTTAAACTGCAACTGTATGGTTCTTGGTTAAAGTCGGTTAAGAGTGACAGTTGCAGCCAGGCGTGGTGGCTCATGCCTGTAATCCCAGCACTTTAGGAGGCCGAGGTGGGCGGGATCACAAGGTCAGGAGTTCAAGACCAGCCTGGCCAACATGGTGAAACCCTGTCTCTAGTAAAAATACAAAAATTAGCCAGATGTGATGACACGTGCCTATAATCCCAGCTACTTGGGAGGCTGAGGCGGAAGAATTGCTTGAACCCGGGAGGCGGAGGTTGCAGTGAGCCAAGATCACGCCATTGCACTCCAGCCTGGGCAACAGAGCAAGACTCCGTCTAAAAAAAAAAAAAAAAAAGAGTGATAGTTGCTTGAGATCTGGAGGCAGAAGTGAATTGGCAGCCATCGCTCTCTGAAGATCATGGGGGTTTGTTACAGCAATAGGCGAGGAGGCACCAGCAGGTTCACTCTCCTCCACTCCGTATCCAGCTCTTCCTGACTGCTGACCCTGTTGACTAACAGTAGCTCCAAACCTAGCACCAGACAGTTGCAGTGGACCCACAGCCTTCTGCAGACGTCTCCATCAGCTCCTCCTCTGCAGCCCCTTTACAACCTCTTGAGTGTGCTTGGCTGCTAGGATTGACTTCTTCAGTGACTCCATCGATCCCTGCCTCCCTCCAAGTTCCTAGTGGCACTTCCCCAGCTGCACCCACAACTCTATTAGTTTGAATTCCTATAATAAATTCCTTATGCATTAATTCATTGTAGTTCTGTTTTCTTAGGTGAACACTGAGTTCACAAGTAATTGAAGCCTGGATGTGGTGGCCCACACCTATAATCCCAACACTTTGGGAGGTCGAGGTGGGCGGATCGCTTGAGTACAGAAGTTCGAGACCAGCCTGGGCAACATGATGAAATCCTGCCTCTACAAAAAATACAAAAATTAGCCAGGCGTGGTGGTGTGCACCTGTAATCCTGTTACTGGGGAGGCTAAGGTGGGAGGATTGCTTGGCCTAGGAGGTGAAGGTTGCAGTGAGCTGAGATGGTACCACTGCACTCTAGACTGGGTGACAGAGCAAGACCCTGTCAAGAAAGAAAGAAAGAAAAGGAAAGAAGGAAGGAAGGAAGGAAGGGAGGGAGGGAGGGAGGGAGAGAGGGGAAGGGAAGGGAAGGGAAGGGAAGAGAAGGGAAGGGAAGGGAAGGAAGGGGAGGAAGGAGGGAAGGAAGGAAGAAAGAAGGAAAGAAAGGAAAGAAAGAAAGAAAGGAGAGAAAAAGGAAAGAAAGAGAGAAAAGGAAAGGAAAGGAAGAAAGAAAAAGAAAGAAAACAAGAAAGAAGGTAATCAAATAGATAGACCAATGGACTAAGGTTAGAAGTCCAGCTTCACCAACATATCCATAACTCCAGTACCCTGCATTTAGTAGTTCAGAAAATGTTTGTTCAGTTGGATTGATGTTTAGGTTGCTTTAGGTTCTTTAATGGTACAGATATCATTGCAAAGAACGGCTTCTAGGAAACTTTTGTTTTGCTTTTGCTTCTGTTTCTTTTCCTATGGTCAGTTCAAGAGTGTATAGTCATTTATGGCCCAGGCTTTGAAGATTTGACCCAGGACAATATCTGTTGTGTTGGCTTTATGTGCTCTTCATCTCTTGGGGTATGATAGATTTTCCTCTGGCTTCGATTTTTCTCACTCCCTCACCTTCTGTCCCTTGCAAAAACAGAGAAAAACCTCACTCTTGTGCATTTACTCCAAAGAAAATATTTCACACTCTAATCAGATCATCAAAAAGCACATATTGGGTTACACTTATGGGAATGCTTCTCTGGCCTGGCTAGGCTGGAAGTGGGAGAAACAAAAACATCTGGAAATTGAGGCTCTGCTTACTTGGGCTGAATGGACAGCAATCAACTCTGAAACACTTAATTGCAGGGAAATTTTCTCTTTGCTACTTAGACCATTCAGCACTTGCTGGGAGAAGACATGTTGCATGCTCACTTTATCTTCTGGAAAGCTGGATTAGATGTTACATTTCAGTTAGAAAACCATTTACGGAATGTCTCTCCTAAACTAGTCCCTCTGCTAGTTGTTGGAGATAGTGCCTTGAGGTGTTTTCAGCTTATGGGGGAGGGTAACACAATGAGTTACAGCACAAGTCAGCATATAGTGCTAGAAAAGAGGCATAAACAAGGCATTATGGAACAGAGAAGAGGGCAATAGCTGATAAGGGGGTGGTGGAGTAGGTGAAGGAACCTAAGAGGGATGTTAAAGGATGTATAGGCAGAGGAAATTAACAGTTATTAAGCACTGAGATTTCACAGAGGAAGATGAATAAGCCTAACAATCATGCATTGATAATCTATCCTGTGCCAGTCACTGAGCTAGGTAGTTTACATATTTTATCACATTAAATCTTCCCTAAAACCGGCCAGGTGCAGTGACTCACATCTGTAATCCCAGCCCTTTGGGAGGCCGAGGTGGGCGGATTGCTTGAGCTCAGGCACTTGAGACCAGCCGGGGCAATACAGCAGAACCCCATCTCTTAAATAAATAAATAAATAAATAAATAAATAAATAAATAAATTTTCCCCATAACCCACCTGGAAGAAACTGAGGCACAAAGAGGTAATTTGTTTAAGAGCTTCAAAGAGGTAGAATTGGGATTCAAATCTAGATTTCTCTGACTTCCAAGAACATTCTCTGCTCCCCCTTGTGCTTGGAGAATTATTTTCAAAAGACAGTGAGATGGATTATGAAGAGCAAAAAGGATTTTGACAGATTTTGAAAGGCACAGAGGTGCAAGAAGGGATGGCATTCTAGGCAGAGGAGTAATCAGAGGGGTACAGCCACAGGGCAGGGTGTGAAGGTGCAAGGCCTGTTTGAGGCACTGTAGGCAATCTAGTGGGACTGCAGGAAGACATTGCCACATGCCCATACCACTGTCTTCTCAAATTCAGCAGGCCAATCATCAGTTCAACACTGCTAGGGGATTCAGAGCTCAAAAAGCCTCAGTCCTTGCTCCCAAGGAGTCTCCAATCTAATTATGATCTGGTGAGATAACTGCCATTACTACTGATTGCCTTGTATGTTTCAGCACAGAATGTATGTGTGTGTGTGCATGCAAATACTCATTCAAGCATTATTTGGACCATTTCCTTCCCATAATTATTTCTTGACACATATACTCCCTGGGCTCTCCATAAGCGTGTGTTCCTTTATTACCTCTGCCTTCAGCAAGGCTTGTATTTGAACTACTGGCCTTGCAGCGGTAAGTTTAAAGCCCATAGCATCTCAACAAGTGTCCTTTCAATTTGACAAAGACCTGACGTGATCTTCCATTAGCTCACTTAGAAAATACTGCTCAACTCTGGGGTTGCAAAGAAAAGATCTTAATTGGAACTGACAAGAAAGTGGACACCTTCTACCATTTCTCTGCAGACTTCACAAGTGCTCAACACTTCTTGAAAGAGAGTATGGCTCCAAGCCTTTCCATTTAGCTGGCTGGAGCAGAGTTTTAAAAAT
Source organism: Homo sapiens (assembly GCF_000001405.40). Classification (NCBI taxonomy): domain Eukaryota; kingdom Metazoa; phylum Chordata; class Mammalia; order Primates; family Hominidae; genus Homo; species Homo sapiens. The sequence continues at coordinate 76,429,119 of NC_000011.10, forward strand.
GCACTTCATCTCTGGCAAATCACAGCAGAACACCATCAACAGCTGGAAACTCTCTGAGGTGAAGACAAGTTGGATATTATGCTTGGATTTATAGCCCCCTACCCCATGATAGCTGATTTCCATTTCTGACAGGGTTATTATTTCCATCTTTATAAAGTATCTTGAATTTCACCTTGGATAATTACTGATTATCATCAGCTCCTCACCTGAGGCATCTTAGCACTTGGGTGAACATTTAAAAAAGGGGCTTTTTTTTTTCCCAAAAATGAACTGGGGAAAACTCAGTGTGTGAGACTATGTCTTTATTTCTATTTTCATTTGCAATCCCCTTTGGTTTTCTAATGATCAAGCCATTCATCAGTGTCAATTCACCATCCAGAGTACAGGCAGTGTTTTTGCCACTTGGGTTCCAGTATGGATTAAATGGTAATAACTTGTGTTACTAAGTCTGGTGGTACTATGGTAAACATAGATCCAAAAAGTTTTAGGGCATAGACAAGATCTCAGTAGCCATCTAAGGTTTTTATTCAAGGATGTACGTCACAATCTTCCAAAATTTAATAGAGCTCTGCAAGTTATTCTGACAAGTACTCCCAGTTGAGGACCACTAAGAGTCTAACATCCCTCATCTTGCTTTTCAAGGTTGCCATTCTATGAGTACTTTTTTTTATGTCTTCATGCCTGCCTTTGCTTTTCCTAGTTTCTCTGCCTTGCTATCTTTGATACTCTCTCCTCACTACTCTGCCTGGTGAAATGCTGTTCACTTTATGAGGTCTAGCCCAAATGCCACCTCTGCTATGAAGCCTTCTGTGATGGAAAGAATCCTTCTTTTTTTTTTCCCCTACTCTCATAGCACAGTACCTTTAGGAACATCCTGTGTTATTACCTTCTTCTATAATGTATACAGCTATCTGCATGTCTATCTTCCCATCCCATCTTCCCCACTCAACTACGAGCTCCAGAAGAATAAAGGTTGTACCTTTTTAGTCTTTTTTAGAGACAGGGTCTTGCTCTGGCACCCAGGCTGGAGTGCAGTGGTACAATCACAGCTCACTGCACCCTTGACCTTCCAGGCTCAAGTGATCCACCTGCCTCAGCCTCTTGAGTAGCTAGGACTGCATGTGTGTACCACCATGCCCAGATAATTTTTGATACATATATATATTTTTTGAGATGGAGTCTCGCTTTGTTGCCCAGGCTGGAGTGCAGTGGCATGATCTCAGCTCATTGCAACCTCCACTTCCCAGGTTCCAGTGATTCTCCTGCCTCAGCCTCCCGAGCAGCTGGGACTAAGGCACATGGCCCCATGCCCAGCTAATTTTTTTTATTATTCGATGGGGTTTCACCATGTTGGCCAGGCTGGTCTCAAACTCCTGACCTCAGGTGATCCACCCGCCTTGGCCTCCCAAAGTGCTGGGATTACAGGCGTGAGCCACTGCGCCCAGCCTCGATTTTTGATTTTTTTGTAGAGACAGGGTCTCACTATGTTGCCCAGGCTGGTCTTGGAACTCTTGAGCTCAAGGAATCCTCCTGTCTCAGTCAGCCAAAGTGTTGGGATTACAGGTGTGAGCCACCTTGCCTGGCCTAAAGTTTGTTCCTTATTCATCTTCATATCTCCAGGGCCTGGCATGGAATGGGGCCTGGTGCTCATTCTTTGAATAAATGAGGAAGCTGAAAAGTGAAGAGACTTTACATTGGTTCACTTAATTTAGCCAGATCTGGACTTCCTCTGCATTTATTCAGTAAATTGCTTATAAAGAAAGATGTGCAAGGATGTGAAGGAGAAGGACCTAAATGGCCATGATATTAGTTTTAAATATTATTTGTAAAACATCACTTTCCTAACAAAAGCAATAATAGCTGGTTTAATCTGAATTAGTAATGAAAGAATGGATATCAACTTGAACCTCAGGATGCGTTTTCAGGAAAGCAATCTCACAAAATTCTAAAACTTAATTGACTGCCTCAATCAGTGGAAGAAAATATTAGCCTGAAAATCAGGAGACCTGCTTCCTGGTTCCTGTATGACTTAGAACAAATTGCTTCACCTTTCTGGGTCTCAGACTTCTCTTATATAAGATGGGGCAGTTAAAGTGGAATATCTCTGAGGTTTTTTCTAGCTCTGAAGTTCTATATCCTTAGCCAGAATCATTAGTTGACTGATGTCACAGTTTCTTTATTTTGGCTCTACTCCATATTTAGGAGAATGAAATATTCTTAATAAGATAGAGTTTTACAAAATATATTTTGACATTATAATGATAATATAAATACCTAAAAGGAAAGTTGGAAATAGAGAAAAGAAAAAAGAATCATCCATAGCTCCACTACCCTAATATGTTAATGTTTGGACATGTTTTCTTCCTTTTTTTTTTTTTTTTTTTTTTTGAGACAGAGTCTCACTCTGTTGCCAAGGCTGGAGTGCAGTGGCATGATCTCGGCTCACTGTAACCTCTGCCTCCCCAGTTCAAGTGATTCTTCTGCCTCAGTCTCCTGAGTAGCTGGGATTACAGGCACATGCCAGCACGCCCACCTAATTTTTGTATTTTTAGTAGAGACAGGGTTTCACCACGTTGGTCAGGCTGGTCTCAAACTCCTGACCTCGTGATCACCCGCCTCGGCCTCCCAAAGTGTTGGGATTACAGGTGTGAGCCACTGCACCCGGCCTCTTCCATTTTGTTTTTATATTCACATGCATATGCTTTTCCACTTATTATAAGCATTTTTCTTGATGTCAATTATTTGTAACGTTCATTTAAAATGACTCCATAGTGAGTAGATGCTTGGGATAGGTAAATACTCTTCTATTGCAAGATAATTAGGTTGTCTTCAAGTTTTTGATAGCATTGAAATTCAAATCCCTGTAAATATAATTCTTTCCATCTTTTGGATTATTCCCACAAATAGGAATCCTATATCAAAGGTACAGCAGAGGAAAAACATCTTTTCCTTCTACCCTTCTAAGTTCTGAAGTCCTGGTAACAAAAGACAGATTAACAAAAGAAAAGCATTCAAATCTATTTAATGTAAATTTTACATGATATAGGAACCATCATAAGGAAATAAAGACCCAAATAAATTGCTAAACCTAAGCACTTACATGCGAGGTTTGATGAAGAGTGGAAAGTTGTGGAAAAATATGATAGGACAAAGTGGGTATAAGCTAAGGTTAATAAGCTGGGGGAAACTTAGCAAGGCCTGTTTGCTCAGATTCTTCTTGGTGCCCCTCTATCTTGGAGAAAAGGATGTTAGGGATAGCACCTCTCACAAGTGCTAAGAGGTTCCTAAGACCTGCTTCGGGGAGAAGGGTGGGAGGAGGTCAGAGAGATCTTCCTGCATCAGTCATTTTCTCAAACTCCTTTAGCTTAAATATTCAATATGCCAAGATGCCATATTTTGGGGTAGTGTATTTTGAGCCCCATAGAAGGGTATGAACGTTTGAGTGACTCTTATTACACATTTCCATGGTGTATTTCAGTGAGCGACCGTGATTTTACTCTGCAGAATTCTTTCACCTTCCTCTGACAGCAGTACCCCAATTTTCCTAAGGGAAACCAAGCCCGCCTTCGCACTCACTCCATGTTTTTCGGGAATAACTGACTTTACCCACATCGCTTCCTCTCTCCCCAGAGTAACATGTGGTTCACACCTGGCAAATCAGGGCATTACATGCTCCTGTCTACAGTTCAGGGATGGGCATGTGACCCAGATAGAGCCCATAGCAACAGAGCAAGGAGATTTTGGTAAGACTGTTCATGAGATGGCAGGTGCTCTTTTCTGCTGAGGCTGTAAGCAGGGTGGATGATGTAAACCTGGGGCTGCTGGGAACCAACAGATGGAACCTGAGTATGAAGCGAACACAGATAGCAGAGCTCAGAGATGAGGAGATACTAAGACTGGCTCTGTTTGAATCCCTAGATCAGTAATGCCTGAAGCCAAAACTACCCCACAACTTTTCAGTTAGTGAACAACAAACATTCTTTTTTTTTTTTTTTTTTTAAGAGACAGGGTCTCACTCTGTCATCCAAACACAACATAGCTCACTGTAAGCTCAAATTCCTGGGCTCAAGCCATCCTCCTGCTGTAGCCTCCTGAGTATCTAGGACTAGAGGTGCGCATCACCATGTCCAACTAATCCATTGTTTAAGCCATTTCATTCATTTGTTCATGTTTGTCACCAAAAGAAAAACAAAGCCTAATTGGTATAGGTGGGCTTTTTGTTTTCTTTTCTCTCTCTTTTTTTTTTTGAGGCTGGAGTGCAGTGGCATAAACAAGGATGTCTCATTTCAGCCTCCACCTCCTGGGCTCAAGTGATCCTTCTGCTTCAGCTTCCTAAGTATCTGGGACCATGGGTGCATGCCATCAAACTTGGATAATTTTATATATATATATATATATATATATAGTAGAGACAGGGTTTTGTCATGTTGCCCAAGCTGGTCTCGGATTCCTGGGCTCAGGTGATCCTCCTGCCTCAGCCTCCCAAACTGCTGGGATTACAGACATGAGCCACCATGCCTGCCCTGTTTTAATTTTCACTTTTTAAAAAATTAATCAACTTGATTTTTTAGAGAAATTTTAAGTTCATAGCAAAATTGGGGATATTGTGTATATCCCATCCCCATACATGCACAACCTCCCTCACTATCAACATCCTGCACCAAAGCGGTGTGCTTGCTACAATCAATAAACTTACACTGACATAGCATCAGTCACTGAAAGCCCATCATTTACACCAGGGTTCACTCTTGGTGTTGTCCATTCTATGGGTTATGACAAATGTATAATGCCACGAATCCACCATTATAGTGCTTTTTACTTTTATTGAGATACAATCTATATAAAGCACATAAATCATTTACGTACAGCCTAATAAACTTTCACATATGCAATATCTATACATATAGCCCCTACTCAGATCAAAATATAGAAGATTGATAGCATCCTAGTAGGCTCCCACGTGTTCTATAGGTCGCTCCCTAAAGGTATTTACTATTCAGACCTCTATCACTATAGATTATTTTCAACTGCTTTTGAACTTTATATAATATAAATGAAATCTCACCCTTTGATATCCAAGAATTGTTTTATTTTTGTTTTTTAAGCCACATGCATGGATATGTTCTACGGTCATCATGGCATATTTATAAGTAGCTAAATCTTCTACATTTTATCTCCAGCATTGGACCATGGTAACTGACATTCAGAATAAACACTTTTTTTTTTCTTTGAGACAGGTTTTCACTTTTTCACCTAGGCTGGAGTGCAGTGGCATGATCATGGCTCACTGTAACCTCAAATTCCTTAGCTGAAGCAATCCTCCTGCCTCAGTCCCAAGTAGCTAGGACTATGGATACATGCCACCACACCTGGCTAATTTTTAAAAAATGTTTTTATAGAGATGGAGTCTCACTATGTTGCCCAGGCTGTGAATAAACACTCTTAAAATGCTGCAAGTTTCAATTTATTAAACATATTCAATACGCTTTTCAAGAATCTACAATTTGCCAAGCACTATATTAAAGGCTGGATATAATAAAAAAGGGGTGTAGTTCCTTCCTTCAAGGAGCTTTGGCATTGGCAACTACCATGGAAACAAGCAATTATATTCTATATTATTAAAGAAAGAATAAATTTCATTCATTATCTGATACTGGGAAAGTGGGGGTATAGATTTGAGGAAGAACGTTCATTTACTGAAATATTTATTGTGCTCATCTAGGTCCTGGGCATGGAGAATACAAAGAATCTTGGCCTATGCCTTCTAGAAGCTTCCTACCTGCTAGAAGGAATTATTATCTCAATACAGTCTGATAATTACCTAAAGTATGGCATGAAACAGGTGCCTTGGGAACCTACAGGAGGAAAACTGATTGTGCCTGGTGTGGGAGGAGGTGAGGCTTCTAAAAAAGAGGGAATTTGGCCAAGTCTCTTGGACAAAGAGCAGAGTGCAGTGGGAGCATCCCAAAGATTGATCTCCATGCTTCCACTTTTACACTCTTATTCTCATTCTCACAGTATCAAATATTATGTCTAACATTTGAAAATGGCCTGGCATTTTCTCCTAAAGTTGAACACATGAATATTTAACTTTAGGACAAAAGTTGACCCAACAATTTCTCTAAGTCTTGGGTTCAAATGACTTAGAGAAATTCATAATTTCAATAGGCGGCATGAACAAGAATATTCAGAGCAAACTGTTCACATGAACAAAAACAATAAAATGTTCATCAATGGGAGAATGGGTGAAAAAATGGATAAATTCACACAATGGAGAAACAACAGTTAAAATAAATGAACCATAGCAACATGCGACAATATGGATGACTCTTAGCAATATAAATAAAAACAGTAAATAAATTCTAAAATATTACATACAGCATCACATACTTTTCATGGTATAGATTTTTTTTTTTTTTTTTTTGAGACGGAGTCTCACTCTGTCGCCCAGGCTGGAGTGCAGTGGCGTGATCTCGGCTCACTGCAAGCTCCGCCTCGCGGGTTCATGCTATTCTCCTGCCTCAGCCTCCTGAGTTGCTGGGATCACAGGTGCCCGCCACCACGCCTGGCTGTTTTTTTGTATTTTTAGTAGAGGCGGGGTTTCGCTACGTTGGCCAGGCTGGTCTCAAACTCCTCACCTCATGATCCTCCCGACTCGGCATCTCAAAGTGTTGTGATTACAGGAGTGAGCCACTGTGCCCGGCAGTTCTATAAATTTTAACAAAGTTTTTGTAACTACCACTACAATCAAAATACAAAGCAGTTCCATCACCCTCCCCCAACTCCAAACCCTTGGCAGCCATTGATCTGTATGCTGTTGTGATATTTGTACCTTTTGGAGAATGTCATACAAATGGAATCATATAGTATGTAACCTTTGGATATTGGCTTCTTTTACTCAGAATAATGCCTTTGAGATTCACCCAACTTCTTGTGTGTATCTTACCTCTTTTTTATTGCTCAGTAGTATTCCATTGTATAAATGTACCACAGTTTACTTATTCACTCACTGAAAGACATTTGGTTATTTCCAGTTTTTGGTGAATAAGAACAAAACTGTTCTAAACACTCATGCATGTTTTCATGTGAAATTTTTCATTTCTCTAGGCAAAATGTGTACGAATGTTATTGCTGAGTCATATAGTAACTGTTTGAAAGTTTACAAGAAAATGCCAAACTGCTTTCTAGAGTGGCCATACTATTTTGCATTCCTATCAGTCATGTATGAGAGTTCCAGTTGCTCTGCATCCTCACCAGGAGCTGGTGTTGTCAATGTATTTTATTTCAGCCATTCTATTAGGTGGGTAGTGGTATTGTATCATGATTTTATTTGATTTAAGAGACGGGGTCTCACCATATTGCCCAGGGTGGAGTGCAGTGGCTATTCACAGACGCAAGCACGGCACACTACAGCCTCGAAACCCTGGGCTCAAGTGAGCCCAGCATCTGGAGATGTCTCCTGTCTCAGCATCTGGAGACAGTCTCTGCACCCAGCTGTGACACTGTCATTTTACTTTGCATTTCTCTTATGGCTAATCATGTTCAGTATGTTTTCTTGTGCTTATTCCCATCTGTATATCCTCTTCGGTGAAGCGTCTTTTGCCTATTTTAAAATGGGGTTGTTTTCTTACTTAGATACAAGTCTTATGTCTGATAAGTGTTCTACAAGTATTTTTCTCCCAGTTTGTTGCCCACTGTTGCATTCTTTTAATGGTGGCTTTCACAGAGCATTGCCTTGGCAGCTTTGTAACAAATCAATTGACCTCAGACTACCACTTATAGAAAGAGTATATTTACTTTTCCCTATTCCTTCAGTTAGGTGCAGCTAAAAACCCTGGACACTATATGTAAAACATTATACATAAAACAAATGTAAGAAGAATCTGAAAGGTGACAAGAAGGCAGACCACCTAAGGATCTGGAACCCAAGGAATACACAGAAATGAGTTCCCTGGGTTTTCTTTTATATATCCCAGATTGGGTACTGGAGAAGCTGGCAACCCAGAAATGCCAATGGGCACAGCATTTTTTTTTTAAAGCCCTAGGAAAAGCCTGCTCTGTCTAGTCAAAGGACTAGGAAAGCAGCAGCTTTGCAAGACAGAACATTTTTAGATGATAATGTCTCTACTCCAGATAAGTACCACGGGAAAAAAACTACAACCCAACCCCCACCCCCACCAGCAAAGGCCAGGTTCTAATGAGACCACTCAACTTCCTTTCTCCATTTCTGGGTTCATGTCAGAGAATACACAGGGGGAAGCTTAGACTTTCATCCTCAATGGACAGTAACAAGGCCCTCTCCTAATACTTGCCCCTCACACTTGTCAGCCCACCACATGTAAAACATGGAATTTCACCTGTACCTGGTGGCAAAGAGGTGCCCTTCCCTTCTCAGGTGGGATGGTGTCAGACAAGGCCAAGTGGAGAGTTGGGACTTTTACCTCCAACCAGTGGTAATGAGGCCACCCCCAAACCCCCACCTAGCTAAACTGAAATGTATGCATTTCCCAAAATTCTTATGTTTATGCCTGTGAGTTGGCCATTGCTATTTCTTTCTCGGATTTTAATAGCCTTTCCTCCTTTTTCTGTTGAACTTCTATCTTTTAAGGCCCTACTTGCATGCTGTCTTCTTGGTGACTTTTCCTTACTAGCTCCTAGGAAGTATTAATGGCTCCTTAACTCTTTTCTTTTCTTTTCTTTTTTTTTTTTTTGAGACGGAGTCTCACTCTGTCGCCCAGGCTGGAGTGCAGTGGCAAGATCTCCATTCACTGCAACCTCTGCCTCCCAGGTTCAGGCCATTCTCCTGCCTCAGCCTCCCGAGTAGCTGGGACTACAGGCACCCGCCACCACACCCGGCTAATTTTTTGTATTTTTAGTAGAGACGGGGTGTCACCGTGTTAGCCAGGATTGTCTCCATCTCCTGACCTCGTGATCCGCCCGCCTCGGCCTCCCAAAGTGCTGGGATTACAGGAACTCTTTTCTTACAACTTGCTAATACCAGCTAGGTGCGGTGGCTCACGCCTGTAAGCTCAGCACTTTGCGGGGCAGAGGCGGCTGGATCACCTGAGGTCAGGAGTTGGAAGACCAGCCTGGCCAACATTGTGAAACCCCATCTCTACTAAAAATACAAAAATTTGCTAGGCGTGGTGGCACACACCTGTAATCCTAGCTACTCGGGAGGCTGAGGAAGGAGAATCGCTTGAACCCAGGAGGCAGAGGTTGTAGTGAGCCGGGATCACGCCAGTTGCACTCCAGCCTGGGTGACAAGAGTGAAACTAAAAAAAATTAAAAAAAAAACAACAAAAAAAAAACACACTTGCTAATACCATGAACACCATATTGTATGGCAATTATCTGTGTATGTGTCTGTCTCCCCCACTAGATTATGAGTATGTGAAGGGCAGTTGATCATGTTTAGTAATTTGTTTCTCCGGAGCCTGACAGAGCTTCACCCACAGTGGGTGATGATAAATGAACTTTATATGTAAATTCTTTAACTGAAATTATTTTTAGAAGAAAGAAAAGATATAGCTAGCCTTTAGAATTATTCTCATGCTTAAAAAGCATACTTTTTGGTTACCCAAAGCCTCTGCTTTTATCATGTTAGTATGAAGCTGGTATGCTGTTCTATATAGTTTGTTTTCAGATTGATCTTTTTCCCCTTTAGTTCCTTCTACGCACACGGATCATTTTGTTTTTTAAATTTAATATTCATCCATCTAAAAAAGGTATCATGACATGGCTGGGCACAGTGGCTCCTGCCTGTAATCCCAGTACTTTGGGAGGCCAAGGCGGGTGGATCACCTGAGGCCAGGAGTTCAGGACCAGCCTGGCCAACATGGTGAAACCCCATCTCTAGTAAAAATACAAAAATTAACCGGATGAGGGGGCACGTGCCTGTAATCCCAGCTACTTGGGAGGCTGAGGCAGGGTTAATTGCTCGAACCTGGGAGGCGGAGGTTGCAGTGAGCCAAGATCATGCCATTGCACTCCAGTCTGGGTGACAAGAGCGAGACTCCATCTCAAAAAAAATAATAAATAAATAAATTTAATATTCATCCATCTAAAAAAGATACAATGACATGGCCTGGTGTGGTGGCTCACGCCTGGACTCCCAGCACTTTGGGAGGCTGAGGCGGGTGGATCACAAGGTCAGGAGTTTGAGACCAGCTTGGCCAAAATGGTGAAACCCCATCTCTACTAAAAATACAACAATTAGTGGGGCATGGTGGCGCACGCCTGTAGTCCCAACTACTTGGGAGGCTGAGGCAGGAGAATCGCTTGAACCTGGAAGGCGGCGGTTGCAGTGAGCCGAGATCGTGCTACTGCACTCCAGCCTGGGCGACAGAGTGAGACTCCATCTCAATAAATAAATAAATAGATAAATAAATAAATAAATAATTGGTCTCAAACACTGGCTATATTTTATGGAAAATAAAGAAAGCCTCTGAAAGCAGAACCTAGAGGCTTGAGGGTAGGGTCGAGAGCTGTAGAGAATCATTCCTAGAGATCATTAATGCCTCTGAGAGCGGAACCTAAAGGCTTGAGGGTAGTCAAGAGCTGTAGAGAATCATTCCTAGAGATCATTAATGCTTCTGAGAGCGTAACCTGGAGGCTTGAGGGTAGAGTCAAGAGCTGTAGAGAATCATTCCTAGAGATCATTCCTGATCAAGGAACTAGCATCAGAGCTGTTATGAATCAGTGGCCCTGGCGTGCCTCCTTTATTCCCCTTTCTGATTAAGGTCTACAGTGGTTTTTCCATGCCTGTCCCACCATTGTATGTTGGATGTGTGGGGAAAAGGTAACTTGTCTCTTTAGTTCCCGAGTCTTTACACTGAAAGCAACTGCACCTAAGAAAACTAACCCATATCTGGACTTGATTTAGGTGACAAGATCTTGGACCTCAAACCTAAGCATGTTGCCAAAATGGGAAGACTTTGGGTGGTAGGAATGAGTCCATTTGCATGTGGGAGGAATATGAACTGTTGTGGACAGAAGATAGACTATGGCAGTTGATATTTCTAAAAATGAGCACAGTAATATTCTGGTGTTCCAGGATGCTACTATGCTTCTATCAAGAGATAAAATCTATTTCCCCTTTCCTTGAACCTGGGTGGGTCTGTGACTGATTCCAGACAACAGCCAATGTCAACTGCTGGTCTTATGAATGAACGAGCCCTCATAAGATTCCAGACCTCAGTCTTCAAATTTCCCTTGCTGATGTCAAGAGGAGTAGAGATTAACTGTCCCCACTAAGTCCCACCCAAATTGGAGATTCATGAGTAAAACAGATAATTTAGGCCACAGCAATGGTTATGGAATCACAGATAACCAGACCTCCTTAACACCTGTGTGTTTGGGGGAAGAGTCTTCTGGTGATATTTGAATTTGGACAAATGAGTTTTCTCTAGGGCTTGGTTTCCTCAACTGTAAAATGGAACAATAATTACCAAGTCATAGGAATGTTGTAAGGTTTAAATAAGATAAGCAAGGTGTTCTTTTCATAATGGGTCTGTAATAAACGCTACGCAGTATTATTTCAACTTATTCCCACCAGTTGTTCTAGCTTTACTGCTTTGTACAAATTCACCTTCAGAGTACGTGAGTTTTATATACATTTATACAAACATATATAAAATCTGATTTTATATCTAAATCTCTCTGTATACATATTGCAACATTATAGCTTCTGTAACACTCTTGGATCACTTGCTCTGGGGCAATCCAGTTACTATATCCCAAAGATGCTCAAGCAGCCTTATAGGGAGGTCTACATAGTGAGAAATTGAGGCCTCTTTCCTTGCTGACTTTCCAACCAATGTGAGTGAGGTACCTTGGAAGCTGATCCTCCAGCCCCAGTCAGCCTTCAGATAGCTGCAACTGCTTGGGAGACCCCAAGCCAGAACCACCCAGCTAAGCCACTCTTGATTCCAATAGAAAATGCAAAAACTGTATAAAAATTTAAAAAATTATTCTTGTTTTAAGTCACTAAAGTTTGGGATAATTTTTCTTATGCACTAAGAGTTAACTAACAGCTATATCAAACATGAGGAAAGATGGGAAACTGATCACAGGTTGAGGACTATTTCGGGGTCGATGGAAGGACAGAGATGGTTGAATAAACTTGAAAGTACTGATTGAGACTGAATTTGAAATAAATAACCATGGGGTCCAGGACAGAAAGGAAAAAAAGTAAATCCAGCAAAGGGGAACAGATTTCTTTTTTAAAAAAATTTTTATTTATTTTTTTGAGATGGAGTTTCGCTCGTTGCCCAGGCTGTGCAATGGCGCGATCTCGGCTCACCACAACCTCCGCCTCCTGGGCTCAAGCTACTCTCCTGCCTCAGCCTCCCGAGTAGCTGGGATTACGGGCATGTGCCACCATGCCTGGCTAATTTTGTACTTTTAGTAGAGACGGGGTTTCTCCATGTTGGTCAAGCTGGTCTCGAACTCTCGATCTCAGATGATCCGCCTGCCTCGGCCTCCCAAAGTGTTGGGATTACAGGCGTGAGCCACCGCACCTGGCCAGGGGAACAGATTTCTGTGTATTTTCCCAGACTAGAGGTAGTTATAATCATGTCTAATAGGATAGTAAGTCTCAGTTTTCCTTCTTTGGTTGAGTGTAGAGTGGCTCTCATTTAATTCACCACACATTTCCTGGAGCCAAAGTGCTTTTATTTAAAATCATGGCTCTGTTACTTACAAGCTTGTTACCTTGGGCCAGCTATTTAACCTCTCTATGCCTTAGTTTCTTCATTCATAAAATGGGGATAAAAGTGTATCTGTAAGGTTATAGTAGAGATTAAACAAGTTAATGTGTATAACGTGATCTGGAATACAGAAAGTCCTATGTAAGTATTAGCTATTATTCTTATTATATGCTAGGCTCTACAGTACACAGACCTGATTGGTTCCTCTCCTCAAAGAGCTCGTTGTCCAGTCAGGAAGATTTTCTTTTCTTTTTTTTTGAGACAGAGTCTTGCTCTGTCGCCCAGGCTGAAGTGCAGTTGCGCAATCTCAGCTCACTGCAACCTCCACCTCCTGGGTTCAAGAGATTCTCCTGCCTCAGCCTCTCGAGTAGAGTACCTAGGACTACAGATGCACAACACCATGACCGGCTAATTTTTCTATCTTTAGTATAGACGGGATTTCACCATGTTGGCCAAGCTGGTCTTGAACTCCTGACCTCAAGTGATCAGCCCACCTCGGCCTCCCAAAGTACTGGGAATACAGGCATGAGCCACCATGCCCGGCCAGGAAGATTTTCAAATAAATGGCCATAATTCAGTGTTCTGAGCTCTGTAACAAGGTGTACACTGAGTGGTAGGGGAGCAGAGGCAGGGATGTCTGTCTTATCCTAGAGGGAAAGACAGGGGCAGGATAAGCTTTTTGAGGAAAAAGTTTGAGTCTAATCCTTAAGGAAGAGCATGTTGGGAACATTTGAGACTATAAAGCAGTCACAGGCAGCATGGGAAAGGTAGTTTCTGACTGCAAAATAAATACGGTTAGGAGAAAAGGGAAGATGTGAACTGTAGTATGTAATGACCAGCACCATCAACATCACCTGGGGGCCTGTTAAGACTATAGGATCCAGGCCTTACCTGATATCTATACTACCAATATTTGCGTTTTAACAAGATCCTCAAGCGGTTCCTATTGACCATTAAAGTTTAGAACCACTGGTCTAGAGCATAGGCTCTGGAGCCAACATAATCAGGTTTAAATCCCAGCTTTAGCTTTTTTTTTTTTTTTTTTTTTTAAGATGGAGTCTTGCTCTGTTGCCCACGCTGGAATGCAGTAGAGCGATCTTGGCTCACTGCAACCTCCACCTCCCTGGTTCAAGCAATTCTCCTGTCTCAGCCTCCCGAGTAGCTGGGATTACAGGCACATGCCACCATGCCCAGCTAATTTTTGTATTTTTAGTAGAGGTGGGCTTTCACCATGTTGGCCAGGCTGGTCTTGAACTCCTGACCTCAAATGATCCACTTGCCTCAGCCTCCCAAAGTGCTGGGTTTACAGGCGTGAGCCACCATTTACTTATGTGTGACTTTAGGCAAGCTATTTTGCTTCTTTCCTAGACTTTAGTTGCCTCCTTTGTAATTAGAGATAATAAAAGTTTCCACCTCATAAAGTTGTTCTAAGGACTGAATTACTATGTAAAATGCTTAGACCAGTATGTGGCACTTAGTAAGCACAAGGATTGACTATAATAATTCATCACTCATATGCTACTTCTTAAGGTCAGAGTCAGTTTTATAAGCCCCTTGTCTTTCGATTTGTACTCCATTGTAGAGGAGTAGACATTCATTGTCATTTTGACATTCACTGTAGAGGAAAGGACATTTGGAGGTCAGAAGACCTGGGATTACAAAGCCTAGCTCTCTTCCAATTCCTAGCTCCGTGAAATTTGGTGAGTCCTTGGTACATCTATGTTTTTCTCATTCATAGTATGAAAGACCTTAATCGTACCTGTCACACTGAAATGTTGCGAGGCTCAAATCAAATAATATATGTTAAAGTACAAAAATCCTCTATGAAGATTTCACTTACTATCTTTCCAAGAGTTCTTAAGCAACTGGATGCATAGGAAGGTCAGGGAGACAGCGGAGGGAGGGCCTGGTGATTAATATGTTCCACTTTACGATTTTCTGAAGGTGTAGGTTGGGTTTCAACAACAGTGACTTTCCTAGACCTCGGAGGGTATTTTTAGCTAATGGGCAAATAGTAGTAGGAAACTTAAATGCTGTTATTTACCTTCTCTTCCTAACCTACAGTTCCACTCAAGAACATGAAGAGTCTCATACGTTTGTATAGTGGTTCACAACTTACAACGTTTACGTGGTGCATCACAAGATCCCTATAGGGTAGTATTAACCCAATTTTTCAAGAAGGAAACTATGTCTGGAAATTGTAGAATGCACATTAAAAACTCTTTCTGACGAGCGTTTCTACCGGATCCGATGTTACCCAAAGTACAAAATTTAAAGAGGGAAGTCAATCACAAGATTTCATTGAATCTTCAGTATCAGGCAACTGGCTTCTATTTTATGGCCGCAAATAACTATATATTGGGCCCCTTTTCTCACCTGTAAAATAGGAACGAAAAGACCTTCTCCACAAATAAGATGAAATAAGAACAAAGGCTGAGGGTGAACCTACCACGTCGTAGGGCCTCAAATAAATTCCTTCTCCTTCTTGCCCTTGACAGAGATAGCACGAGATATCACTACCATTCCCACTTCACACGTGGAGGAAATCCAACGCGAGAACGCTCGGATTTCCCCTTCTTTACTTGCAACAACTCCGTAACCCGCAAATCGGCTACGGACAACTGCGATGTCCACTATGTTAGTTCTCGTAGCGTGGATTCTCTCTCCTCAAGATGCCATCTGGGGGGCTAGAGGCCACTAATAATTGCCCTCACGATCGAAGAAACTCGATCCTAATCCTCGACGGCACTTCAGGAACAAAGCTGCTCTCCCATCGTCCCTAACCTCACTACCGTAAAGGTCGCAGCAGAGCCCCTGCTCCAACCGCTAGCGCCATCTTGGCCGCTACGTGTGACGCCACACGTAGCAGAGAGCGCAGCCGATTGGCTGGGAGACGGCAGCCCAGGAGAGGCGCGCGAAGCCAGAGACAGGAGGGTATGCAGGAGAAACCAAGGGAACTACAATCCCGGCCTTCCTTGCGCGTACGACAGCAAACCTGGAGCGAAAGAGGTTGGAGTTTGGATTCGGACCACAACTCCCAGCACCCTCCGCGATGTCTGTCCTTTTCTTTCATAACGCGGAGGAAAAGAAGGACAAGATGAATGGAGGCCTTTTGGTGTTTGTTCTCCGAAAGGCGGGAAAAGCGAACTACACCTCCCGACTGGCCGCGCGCGGCTGCGCCTGCGCCCTGTTACCTGTCGCCATCTTGCCCCTTCAGAGGCACCGCAAACAAACCCAATTCCTGGTGTCCCCTAGTCTTGGCGGAGGAGCCTTTTAGATGAGCCCCGAAAGGCCGGGCAGGTGGGTGACTCTCAGGCAGGGTCCTGGGAAGAGCTGGCAGGCCAGCCAGGCTAGAGGAGCGCCGGGCCAAGCATTCGGAGCCCGGCTTGGGGCTCCCAGCCCCATCCTCCGTTGTTTCCTAACGGGATCGTGGGGCTCCCCGGGGTGGACTCAGGGGGACTCTGGCTGGCCTGGTGCTGGGACTCTGGGGGTTTAGCTCTGGGAGACTCCCGGTGAGTCCAGGTCGTCTGGCTGGGTATCCGCTGGCTTACTCTCTCTCGGTTGTCCTCTCCGCTGGGGAGGGAGTGAGGCGCGGGTGCCGGCCGGGACCCCTGACAACAGCTACTGGCCCAGAGGGGCTTGGGTCGTGGACTTGACATTGGGACCGGCGCCGAGAGGTCCGGGTGAGGAGCCTGGGCTGGCTGCTCTTGTTGTGGTGCTGCTAGGGAGTGCGTGTTTGGAGAGGGGGCGGGGCGGGCTTGTCTCCTTGACACTTGAGTGGGGAAGGATCCTACAAGATCCTGGTTCCCCGAGCGGGCTCCGGAAACTACTGCCCGGGTTTCCGATGCGTTGCGGCCCCGCTCTGGGGTCCCCTGGCTAGGACGCGCCGGGATGCCGTGACGTGGTGCTCGGTTCGAGCAGTCGCCGGCCGCCTCCAAGATCCTGTCGGGAGGCGGGGACTGGCTTGTGGAGGGAGAGGATTCCTTTGGCTCTGCCCCTTCTTCCTCCTCCCCACCCCTTTTCTTTATGTCATACTGCCGGCTGGGGCGCGCAGTCCAGTTCTTCTTGCCTTGGGTTTGTTCTGAGCTGAGAGGACTATGGGAAGTAGGGGGAGGGGGGCTCACCTCGGGACACAGAGTTGGAGTTAGCAGCCCCAGCGCCTGGAACGGGATATAGCAGTTATTTCGGTTCGGTGTCTGACTTCTAGGCTAGACAGTGAGCTCGTTCATTCATTCATTCATCCATTCGTTTTGCTCAGTCGCGTCAACCATTCACTTACCCATTTAACAAATACTTAGAGCGGCTCTACTCTGTGCTAAGCAGGTATTGCGCGTGCCCCCAGAGCCGTGTCTTTTTGTCTTTTACACTAGGAAATTCCCAGTTCTAAGTAAGTTCCTGGCAGCTCAACTGTTGGTAAATGGCTGTTTAATAACTACAGGATCAAAATTCATATTCCATTAAGACTTGAGAGAGTATATATATATGTGTGTGTGTGTATATATATATGTATATATATATGTGTATATATATATATGTATGTATCGTTCCAATTTTAGTATATGTGTTGCTGAAGCGAGCACGAGGAGTTATTTATTAAGTTTCTTTAACTTGCTAGGAGCTTTACAAATTTTATCTCATGTAATTCATAAATGAGGAAGCTGACAGGAGTCAACTTGCCCCAGGTTGGTAGTACCACCTGTTTATTAAATGAAATGCCAGCCACTATGAAAGAACTTTATATATAGTGTTCTTTAATACGCGTAACAAACTGGGTGGTATTACCTCTGTTTTATAGATGTGTAAAGCTTAGGCTTAACCAGTAAGTTGAAAAGTTGGGACTAGAAACCTAGAGGTGTCTGGCTCTAAAGCCTGTGTTCTTTCCACTGTGATAGTTCAAATGACTTAATTCTTGATTTCTCAAAAGTTGGAAAGTGTGGTGGTGAGAAAGGATTGTAAAATAGTAATATCTTTTTGGTTTACTTCTTAGCCTGTGACTGGATCTCCAGGTGAGTGGCCCCTTGAATGTACTTTGGTACTTTGGTAATTTGACTTTTTTTTTTTGTTCTGGTAGGGAGGACAAGCTCTTTGGGGCTACCAAACAGAAGCAGCAATGCCTGTTGTGTGGCCAACCCTTCTGGATCTCAGCAGGGATGAATGCAAAAGAATTCTTCGAAAATTGGGTATGACGTTCATTGTTTGTTTTTTACCTCTCTCTGATACCTTTTTTCCCTTTCTGCCTAGGTCATAGCTGTTTGCATGGATGTCATATCTCACGCTACATCAGAAATTCTTTGGAGATACAGTTCCCATCTTACTCATTGTTGTTTCCCTCAGTGCCTAACATAGTGCTTTGTAAATAGTAGGTGTGTGAATTGTAATAATACTAGTAGCTAAGATTTATTGAGGGCTACTTGGCTATTCTGAGTCTTTTTTATACAACATCTAATTTAAATATTTTAAGAATTAGCTTTGTCCTTTGAAAGCCTAAAAGGTAGGTGTTTTTTGTTTGTTTGTTTTGTCTCGTCTCCATTTTACAGATGAAGCTTAGAAGCCAAGGTAATGGTGATAGACATGGAGTCAGTATTTGAACCAGGGAGTATGCTTTCAGTCTCACTTTAACATACTCTTAACCTTCATGATTGTATGTGTCAATTACATACTATTTCTGAATTCTAAGTTGATGTAAGCCATGCTCACTTTTTCAAATTATATTTTACTATCAATAATAAAACACATTTTATGCTTGTAATTTATTATTTAGTGTTTCTTTTCCCTTACAGCAGCCTTTCTCAACCAGCATTGAGGGAAAGAATTAAACCCTAATGCTAAGGTATCCATTGTATGTAAAGAACTAACTTCGCCCTGTGCATCTAGAGTGCTATTAGTTATTACTTTCCTTGGGAAAATTGAGAAAAAGAGTTATTACTCAAATCATTTTGTGTTCTGTAGTTCAAATGAGGATCTTTGGTTGAGAAATGCTGCCTTAGACTATGAGGACCTTGTCTTATTTACCACTGTAGTCTCTGGCTAGCACAATAAATGAAATAATTGAAAAAAATAATTTGAAAAAGAAGATTAAATGTTTTGGCAGTGGATATGCATTATTTAGATATCTGTGATTTTAAAGGAAAAGTATAGGTCTTGAATTTAGACAGACCTGGGGTCTTGGTATTATTACAAATGACCCATGTGACCAAGGACAAGTTATTTATTCTTCCTAAATTTGTTGATAGTTTTGTTAAAACAAAAAAAAAGAGGATAACACTCTCTGCCTCATTAGTTTGTTACGTGTGTTAACAGTATACATAAAGGGCCCGTCATAGTAAATCTTTGTTGGGAATTTTTCTTTGTAAATCAGATAGAATCATAGCTGCTCTGGCCCTGCCTGTCCTTTTTATTCCACCCAAGGCCACTATGAGGATTTCAAATCACTTTTTAGCAGCATCTTTTAAAGCAAGTCTAAGAGAGTTGTTTTTGGAGAGGGTGTGGGGGATGTCAATCTTTTTTTTTTTTAACCAAACTTTTAGTCCTAATCTGAAGATAGTTTTCTACACTTGCATACAATTAATATAACTTGTTAGTTGCCGATTATAAAGTTGGACTCATATTTATTTGATAGCTGAAATTGCAGAACATATCACAAAGACAGTAGATTGAATTGGGGTTTCTGGGCTTGGGGGCCTTTGAATTGAGAGATTATGTTTAAATATAAAAATGGTAACCTTTAAGTCTAAATTTATTCCTAATTTAATCAGAGCTGTGTGGGTAATGTTGCTGCAGAGTGCTTCTATATAAAAGAAAACAGTCATCTCGTATGGTAATATCATCTTCATTGACCCCTCATATTGGGAGGTGAGCTTTGATAGTGATTTGCCAAAGACTTCCTCCCCACCCGTTGGCTTATTATCATAACAATGAAACCTTTGAATTGTCTTCACATGCTAACTCTAGGTCCAAAGTTTAGAAAAGGTACATACAGTTTTTAAAAATTAGCTGTATCCTTTAAAAAATAGTTATAAATCATTTTAATATAAGATGTTAAATACTTAGATTTTACATACATATAAAGAAATTGGGATAGAGAATTTCTTTATATATACTGAATGTGTCAGTGCTAGATAAATGCTTCCTTCTCTCTGTCTTGCCTCTCCCCTTCCCTATTTTTGTGATCATTCCTGAGCTGTAGCTCCAACACGGGGCTTTATGGACTATAGTGTATTTGAATGGCTGATTTAATGGACCAAATTGAGGGCTTTATATAAATGGTTTGGCAAATCTTTCGTTTTTGGAATGTTCATATGTGTTTGTTATTTTATTCTACTTTTGTATTAACACTGTGATAGAATTGCTTGAAAAATAATACCAGAAATTCAACTAAATTTGAGGTATGTGAAGATCTAAGGATACCCATCAAAATGGACATCAACAAATGTGAAGGAGGTTGGGAAGCTAATAGGGTTCTTTACAATGAGTGAATTTCTTGTGAAGAGGAGGAAGTGATGTGGATTCTATAGCTGTGGTAACTGTGTTCAGAGTCCCAGTTTTGTGTGTGTGAGGTTGCCATCTCTTGATTTTGTACATGACTTCTTAGACTTGAAATGTCAGAAATATTTGTTGTATTTCTTTAGTTAATTTTATTTTCTCTGAAGTAATGTCTTGATCATCATAAATTCCACAGGTCACAAGTGTCAACTTCTTTTTCATTTTTCTCAAACTATTCCCTCACTTTGACCTCTTCATTTCTTTTTATGGCATTGCCATTCTCCTAAACATTTTGCAGGCTGCAAAATCTGACTGCCTTCTGTCATTACTTCCCACAATCAATCAATTACTGAGTCCTATCAAATAAAAACATTTTAGACTGGAAATAGAGGCTTTTCTCAGTCTGGCCACAAACTACTTTTCCATTTTTACCGTTCTCTGTTCTCTTCCATGTGTGAACTAAAATCTTTAAAATAGTTATTTGGATATATTTCTTAGGTGCCTTGTTGGATTTTAATCACCTTGAGGATAGGGATTTTATTTTGTTCCTAGAAATATTCTCCATGATACCTTGTAGCAGTAATGTTCAATTAGTAGTTTGGTTTGAGTTAGGGACTATCCAAGTACAGACATATTTTTACTGCCCTTAGTATAAAACTCTCAAACATAGTTACTGACTGTTACTGGAAGTTACTGGAATAATATGAAACTATCTGTTCTTTTACTCTATTTCTTTTGTACATTTGCTTTTTTTTTTTTTTTTCCCTGCCTGCCTGGCACACAATTCTCTTTCTGATTAAAGCTTCTGCTTCTACGCTAGATGATGTATTTCTCTTCTGCACTTAACTCCCTGAGGGCAGGATTAGCGCACCATTTGGTATATATAATGGGACTCAATACTGATCTGTTGAATAAAATATTTCATAAATGGGGGAAGGCATAAACATTTAGAGTATACTGCATTCTTGGTTATCCCTAATGCTTTTTCTGGACTCTATTCTGGGTCCGATAAAAGCTGAAACATGTTTCCTGAAACTAACTATTTCCTTCACTACTCTGAGCAGCAGAGCTTTGTCCTTCAAGAGTGACCACCACATTGAAATGTCTACATAGTATCCAACACAGGTTGAACATGCAGGATGTTTAAACTTAGGGTCATTTGGTTGGAACAGACATTCCTTTTTTTTTTTTTTCCTTCTGAGACAGAGTCTTACTCTGTCACCCAGGCTGAAGTACAGTGGCATGAACATGGCTCACCACATCCTCAACCTCCCAGGCTCAAGTGATCCTCCTACCTCAGCCTCCTGAGTAGCTGGGACCACAGGCATGCACTACCACCCCCAGCTGATTTTTAAATTTTTTGTAGGGATGGGGTCTTGCCATGTTGCCCAGGCTGGTGTTGAACTCCTGAGCTCAAGCAATCCTCCTGCCTCGGCCTCCCAAAGAGCTGGGATTACAGGTGTGAGCCATGAAGCCTGGCCAGATTTTTTTTTTTTTTTTTAAGACAGGATCTCGCTCAGTTGCCCAGGCTGGAGTGCGGTGGCATGATCACAGCTCACTGCATCCTTGACTTCCTGGGCTCAAGTGATCCTCCCACGTCAGCCTCCTGAGAGGCTGGAACTACAGGTGTGTACCACCACACCCAGCTAATTTTTTGTATTTTTTTTGTACAGCCAGAGTTTTGCCATGTTGCCCAGACTGGTCTCGAACTCTTGGACTCAAGCAATCTGCCTCCCTCGGCTTCCCAAAGTGCTAGGATTACAGGCATGAGCCACTGCACCCGGCCTGACAGTTTTATTTCTTAATGGTTAATTCTGTGGAGAGAGTGCAATGAAGATGTCTAGTATTAGGATTCAGTATATTATGTCCTAGTTGCTGCAAGATCATTTCATGTTTATGTTTCCCAATTAGTCATTTTGATGATAGTTTTTATAGATGCGGAGGATCTTGCTTCTGGAGGGTACCTACAAAGTCCCTTCTAGGTAAGGAAACAGGTTTAGAGATGAGAAAAGACTTGCTGAATGTCACATAACTAATAAGTGGCAGTGCTGGAGTCAGAATATTTTGTTCCAATATTTTTTCCATTGCATACTATTTACAGTACTTTCGATTACACAGGAGGGAGGTAGAATATAGTTTGAATTCTTAGGCAAGCCTAAGGAATTATTTTAAGAGTTGATTAATGAAGATACCTTTTAGTAATGCTGAAAACGTCTCAGCCTTGTTACATCAGTTGGTGCCTATTCCCAGTTGTTGGTATCATTTGTGTTATATGTTTTTTAGTGACAATGTGTGAAACAAAATATCTACTGTTAGATTTTTCTACCTAAACATTTTATATACATGACTTCTGTGAGGCAATGAAAAACAAAATATAAAATTATAAAAGTCACATTTTAATGTTATTAGATAAAATTTTTGAAAGGAATTTAAAACAATATTTTTATTTAATTATTTTTAGTTTTTTTGCCCTGAAGTTTCACTATACATAGCCATAGTATTAAAATATTAAAGGCCTATCTTGATAAAATAATTTTCTTCTTTTAGAATTGGAGGCATATGCTGGAGTTATCAGTGCACTTCGGGCACAGGGGGATCTCACCAAGGAAAAGAAAGATCTTCTTGGAGAACTATCAAAAGTTCTTAGGTAAATTATTGTAAATGTTTGTGAGACTCTAGAAATTTCATTTTGGGGGATTTTATTACTTATCACTCTCAAATTAAGTAACTGTCAAATTAAGTTGAAGAACAGAGGTGTTCAAATTGTTGGTGCTAAGAGACTCCATCCCAGTTGTGTGCTCTGTTACAGAAAATTGTATAATTTACCATTTATTGTGTAATCCAGAATGAATATAATCCAGAATGAAGAGCGTGCAAACTCTTCAGAAAGACTTGAAGGCAGTTTATCTTACTTTTAGCCCACCTGGATAAGGGAGGTGCTTTTGACATAGGTGAAGGAAAGAAGAGCAGTAACTGGATGTGATGATCTAGAGTGGCATTTGTTGGAGGGAAGAGGTGATGTGAGGAAGATGCCTTAATTTACATAAATGGGTAGTGATTATGTGGTCATGGCCTTAAACATAGTCTTTTTTAAGTGAAAATATGGAAGAGGCTCTTCCTGTTACTTAACATTAATATAGGGATGTTATTAAGCCAAATTCTCAATCTTACTGTCTTCATAGTTAACAATTTGTATTTGTTTGTTGTTTATATTTCTCATAAATTCTGTTTTGTAGCCTCTTAATTCTGTTTTGGTCCATATTAGAGATTTAGCTTAAATAGTATGGAATACAATTTGAAGAGTGGTATTCATTTTATTGAGTATTTATGAATGGAATGGGTATAACCTTTTAAAAAGTTGTTTACTATTATTAACTTTACATGTGTTTAATCAGGATTAATATAAGCACATTTTTACCATTGGTAACATAATGTAATGTAGAAGATATGCAGCTAAAGTATTGAATAATAAAGGAATATTACCCTGGTGTTAAGTTGTATAGTGTATAGCCACAGGAAACAGATTATCTTGCCACTCCATTTGTTTATTATATTCATTGAACATTAAATTATAGACTCCTAAGCCTTAGAAAAGACCTTAGAAAACTTTCTTGTAAGTGACAAAATCCTCTTCTCAGCAGTCACAATTAGGAAGCCATTCAGCATCTGTTTGCATGTTTAGATAGCAGGAAGCTCTGCTAATCTTACCCATGGTCTGACATTTCTGAGATTTGGAAGTAATACCTTGATATCAGGCTGAATTTGTCTTCTTATGATTTCTAATTTGCAACTAAATATTTCTTCAGTTACACAGAATTAGTATGAATCCTTTTCTAAGATGTTAAAGCATTTGAAGATATATATATTAGACTCCTGTCTATATCTTTTCACAAAGCAATCTTGTCCCCCTTCTCCCCCCAAAAATGTTGACTTAAACATTAATGAAAGTATAGAAAGAGCTGCCTGCTTGGCAGAGTTCTATAATGGCTATTTTTCTTCATAGCATCTCAACAGAACGCCACCGTGCTGAAGTTCGGAGAGCAGTAAACGATGAACGGTTAACAACAATTGCACATAAGTAAGCCATTAGTCGTACCATCCCTGATTTTTTATGACATAGTATAACACAGTTTTGAAACAGTCTTCCTATTGTGTAGCAGATTCCTGAGTCTTTTAAGTAACAATATCTCTATACTCAGGGATCCTGATCATAGCAGTAAAAGTGATATTAACTGTTTATTCAGTTGGGTTTTTTTTTGCATTTGGTTAGGCAAGCTTTAAGTACTCAGGTCAAATCCTGTTACAATGTAATCTCTGTCTAACTAAAAATCACCACAATTTAGCAGATGATTCACTTACTTGAGGCCAAGTTCAGTAACAAAGTATTGTGACCCCTAAAATTGAAAGCCCTTTAGAGGTTCTTTGTAATGGTATTTGATATGTTATTACCTTATAAATAGGCGTTGTAACTTTTTTGATATCTGACTCATTATTTCATGTATTTTGAGATTCAGAAAAAAATGTAAAATTTGTGTTCTGTCTTTAAGAAATATGAATATAACATCTCTTAATTTATTTTTAAAAAGCCAAAAAAATAAAACGATTAAAGATTCTTACCAAATTGTTTTCTGATCATTATAACTATTTAAGAGGAGGGGTGGAGGGTGGTAGAGGATTGAGGGCAGGGATTAAGCCTTAATTGAGTATGTATGGAGACAGTGCCTCCTAAAGAATACAAAGGAACAGAAAGTAGCCTTTAAATGTTTGTACAAGATGATAAAACATTTCATAAAATATGTTATAGTATAATTCATTTGTTTTTTATTTTTATGTTTTAATGTTAAATAAAACTAAAGGGAAAAATTCAGTGCATTTCCATAATGTGATAACTTAAACATTGTATTTAAGTCAATTGGCAATATTTGAATTGACCCCAAAGAGCTTCATCTTGTGCTTCACTGTCCCTCATTTTACTTAACATAAAATGGGGTGCTACCTTTTCAACAACGTAGTTTGAAGGTTGAGCTGTTTATTCTGGAATTTTGAGATTCTTCAGTGGTAGGTATGCACTGTAGAAATTTGGGAATTTTCTATTAGAGATGTTTAGTAATCTAGTTGCTAGGCTAACATGGTTGAAACACTCAGATATTAGTCAATGTGTTCCTTCTTTAATTTGCTCTAAGCTTTTGAATTGGGGTGCTCTAGAAGTAATGGTAACTGCGCCTAGATTCTAATTTGAGAACTAGTAATAGGAAATTTATGTGCTAGAGAATAAAGTAGTAAACCTTAGCTTGCATTCAGAGGCACTTAGAAACAAATTAGTATTGTAGAAGCATTGGAAAGGTATTGTGGGGCAACTAGTTGTAAGTTGATGCATCAGTTTCATACTTAAAGGATAACATTTATTTAGTCTCCTTTTCCTTTTTTCCCCTTTAAAGAATGAATTTATCCTTATATTTGGGTGAAAGACCAAGTTACAGGTATGCAAATAGGTTATTATTATTTCAGGCTTTTTCTTGTATTTATTTCCAAATTGAAGCTCTCAATTATTCAGGGGCACATTATTCCATTTATGAATTAACCATGCCCCTTGCTTTCCTTCTCTTCCCCTCCTCCCCCTCCTAATACTGCCCACCCTTTAGCCATTTTGCTGCTTGGGAGTACCTCTAGTCAGAGGGTGGGAAGGGAGAGGAGGTGAAAATTTTAATTAGTCATTTTACTACTTGTTAGTTGTCCTGGAAAAGGTTTGGTGGAAGAATTTACAAGTATTTGCCAAAATATTTTTGGATAATATATGAGTTTCTTTAATCTATTTGACCTCTCCCTTTCCCTCCTCTCTCCATCAGCATGGATAATTGAGAGTTGGCTTTTATCTGCCTGTGTTTCCTCTTTTTTCTCTCCTTTCTGATTTCTTTAATACATAAATTTCATTTTTTTGAAAAGAGTTTACTTCAGTGTATAATTTTGAGCTTCTTAGGTTTTTCTATATTCTTGTTTTAATATATTATTGTTTTAGTTGGATCAGATGTTTTATCTACTTGTTGAGCTCAAGGGGTCAGTGAGTGGGGATTGGTGAGGAAGGAATAGATCTCTCATTCTTTCCATCTCCTCTGCCCTCTTCCCCTCAGAAGTAGCAACAGAGCCTAGTTCCAAAGATTATCTATAGGAGGGCTTCATACTCCAAGCCTAGAAAAACAACTAAAGGAATGCGCCTGAACTGACTGCATTCCCTTTCTCCTCCCCTCCCCTCCCCCCACTCAAAATAGGAGTTAAGGCCTGAAGGAATGTGGTTGAAAGGTGATGAGAAAGCTGAGAAGATTGAGCACAAAGGAGGGGGAAACAAAAGGAGTGGGATATCTGGGATCAAAGAAAAGCCTTTCTTGTGGCTTGAAACATAACACGTGTTTATTGTTTGGCACCAGGCCACTTATTAAGTAGTTTGATACTCTTAATTCAGTTTTTAATTATGTCAGAATGTTACAGTATTAACGCCTTGGATGTCAAGGAGCTTCGGATTTTTTAATTGGACCACTCTTGCCCATGTTGTCTCTAGATTCAGGAGAAAGTGTCTATCTGGAATTTCTGCTCTCTTAATCCTTTCCCCATCACTCAGACATTCACAGGATACTGGGTCAGTTTCTGTGTGAGGATGAGGATTTCTTACTGGTGCCTTATACACCAAAGGATATGTGGGCCAAGGTAGTTTCATTAGTATAATCTTAGATTTCTCAGAAAAGGGACTGGAGCAAGGTTTCCCCTGTCATACTTAGTATAAATAGAGAGACACTTTTATACTCACACTAAAGTATCTCAGTGAAGCCCTCCAGGAAGATGTTTAGTCTATAAAATCTAGTTTAGATAACTTGTGTAACTAATGCATATTTACACTTACATCTTCATTACTAAGCAAATAGGAATTTCTGATCTAATTCTAACATGATACTTAATTTTTCACTCAAAGTTTGAGCATGTTTGCATGAGTAGAAATTTGGAAGATTTATAGATCTTTCTAAAAGTTGCAGTTGTGTCTTTTGCACTGCAAGTTTTGTCTTTTCAGTAGCATATGTTCATGTGCTTCAAATTATTAATCTTCCATAATTTCTGCCACCACTTAAACAATGTACCAGGTAAGTGTAGATGTCACTTAATTTGTGTGGTAAACTCTCACCAAGCAAGCTTATTAGTGATATTATAATAAACTGATAGCAAAATAAAAGTAAGCCAAGAATATGCTGAATAGCTTTTAGAATTTTTTCCTCTAACAATGAGCTTTTCTGTTTCTTTCTTGTTTGTACCATTCTTTGTTTCAAAAGTAGCATCAACTTGGGGATTATATAATAACAAATTTGTGAGTGTTACTGAAGTTTTAGGAATTCCCCTTTCCTTTGTCTTAGGTAGGACTGTGTTAAACCATAAAGGAATTTACACATTTTCCACAGTAACCCAGCTGGATTCATCGGCTCTTAGAAATTCCTTTCTGAGCTGAACTTAAATCCTTAAATTGTAAAAGTGATTTATTCCATTCAGTGAAAGTTGGTAGTAATTCAACAGCACTATCCAGTTGGTATACATCAAAGGCAAAACCCATTTGAAAAATTTTATACTTTCTACTTATCTGTCAAATAATTTCAGTAGTATGATTATGCTGGTCGAAGGAGACATTTATTAGTTGCGTGACCTTAGGCAAGTTATTTGATATCTCTGACTCAGTTTCCTCATCTGTAAAATGGAGGTAATAATACTACCAAATTCATAGGATTGAAGAGTTAATACATGTAATATGTTTAGAACAATCCTTGACATAAGTGCTTAATGATAACTATCATCATTACTATCATTATTAGCATTATCATTTTTCCACTGCCCACTAACAAGGGCTTTATACTCTTATCTAAATCTGAGAATGGGTGGACATACAGAGTCTTAAACTCTAAGTTAGTTTGAAGAACCTATGGTTTCAAATGCAGAAATATTTCAGATTTAGTGTGAAGAGATTGATTATTTCGGAGTGAATTTAAACTTCAGCACTAATCATTAGTCAGGGTCTTTCATAGAGCCAAGTTAAGAGAAGTGATACAACTACGTTTTGATATTTCAACCTCTGGTTGGATTCTTGGAATAAAATTTGCTCCAGGAATTTTGGGTAGAGAAACTGAGAATGGTGTTTGCTTAGAGAGTTGAATTGTCTCAATTCCTTCTTAGAGTGAAGGGTGGTATAAATAAATAAAATTAATGGTGCGTTTCTTCTAGTGTCGTTAGATCTAGTCTGTTTTTAACAGGAAGGATAATAACAATACATTGTCAGTGACACATACGGTTATATATACAGCACTCTTCTGTTCTTTTCTACTTAGGCTCCCTTGTTTACTGCCTCAGTTTCCCTTGTTTGAAAGCCTTAGAACCTCTGGCCATGCAGGCAGTTAGATAATTTTCAAAAGGTTCAGTGAATTCCATCCTTAATTAAGGAAAATCTGACTTTTAAAATTATAAGTGCTTTTTACTTTCTTGTGTTAATTATAAAATTAACTTCTAAAAATTAGTTGAAATACTAGTTTTCATTAGTGATAGCAGATTTAAGTTAATGAAACCAAGGCCGATATTTATTTAGAAGGCATAGGAAGATTTCTTGTAGTTTCAGTTATGTTCATGATAAGATTCAGATTATAGAATAAACTGTGTAAGAACCTAAGTGTGTGACATTCCTTGAATTATAATTATTCATAATTTTGATCTTGCTTGCTTAAAATAAAGCCTCTCCTATTCACTCAGGGCACTTTTTATAATTTAAAAAGTTATATATGTTTGAGCATATATGTTTGATTTGTTTTTAGTGATTGAAAACCCTTGTAGCAGCGCTTTCTTTTTTGTTTAGTATGTCTGGACCTAATAGCTCTTCAGAATGGTCCATTGAAGGTCGTCGATTGGTACCACTGATGCCCCGGCTCGTTCCCCAAACCGCCTTTACTGTAACAGCTAATGCTGTTGCTAATGCAGCTATCCAGCATAATGCATCTCTTCCAGTGCCTGCAGAAACAGGAAGCAAGGAAGGTGAGTAGAAAAATATGCCTGTGTTAGAGATTACTTTTCTTAGAATCTTCAAGAAAATTTCAAGAAAAGTTGTCTTATTTTTCATCTACTTTTATTCTAGTGTTTAAAGGTTATGAAACATAGTAGGAAACTCTAATTCTGAAATTAGACTGCCAGGTTTTTAGCCTTAGACAAAATTTAGTCTCCCTTTTGTCGAAGGTGTGAATTATGTTAATCATCAAAATTGCAAAAACCTCGGAATAGATTTTTGATATCAGTGTGTCTTGTTAAAAATGAATAGAAGGCCTTAATGGATGACATTAGAAAATAAATAAGGTAACAGAAGTCATTTAGCTACTAAAAAATGATTCTGAACTGATAGCTTTAGAAAATAAAGCTGTTTTCATTTTCTGGAATCAGTGATATATGCTACTTCTTTGTTCTGGTTAATGAATGTGCTGAATCCATTCCCTGGCAGAAGGGTTTTATCATTATTTATCTAGTAATTGACACATGCTTTAAAAATCCTCCAATGCTCTAGAGGCCACCAAGAGTAATATTAAATTTGAGAGAGCATATTTGGATTGACTCAAGTAGTTTAGTTTGATGTTGCATGACAATGACCCTAAAAACAATGCATTTGTCAGGTTACTCTGGGGAATTGTCTTTGCTTACCTAGCAATGGCCATGGAACAGAGTAAGACACTTTTTTTATGCATGACAGGCTCTGTTTTAGGGTGAGAAAAGGTATATTTGGAGGAAGACAGTGTATAAACTTGGCCTCCATCGAGTTCTTCCATCTACTGACGCTCAGGTAGAGTGGAAAGAATACAGAGTTTCCACTAGTCAAATCCATGTTTGAATCTTAATTTGTCATTTCCTAGCTGTATGACCTCCAGCAAGTTTGAGCTTCTGTGAGCCTTGGGTTCCTCATCTTTAAAATGAGAATGTGATGTTGTGAGAATTAGTGAAGATGTATGGAAAGGATTTAGTGTGTGGTACTCAATAAATGGTGCCTATAACCTATTCTTACTGTTGTTTAGCTGTATCCCTTCGTTGAATGATAGGTTGAAATATGATGTTGTCATTATTTTAGTTGAGTTGTTGTGCTGCTTGGATGGCAATGACTAGCGAGTTGATTTATAGAAAAGAACGTTTCCTTGATTGTTCCCTAGTGGCCACATTGGAAATTGCTAAGGTTAGGGAAAAATTATCCACCCATATCATTGGTGCTGCTATTAGTATTAAAAGGGAATACAAGTAAGTGCCTGTTGTCCCACTCCTGCCATGAGTGAAAATTATTTTCATTTTTTCTCAGTATAATTTTAAACTTTATTTCTTTGTAACTGTGTTTTTCTCCGTCAGCAATGTCACCTGTAGACAAGCTGTTAAATACTTGGGAAAAATCTATTTAAGTGATAATTTTCAGGAAAGGTTATTAATGCCTTTTAATCTGTGGACCTAATACCTAGTACTGGCCTCTGACTTCTGATCACATGAAAATGTTAAAATTGGCCTGCAATAAAAATAATTTTTTTGTATGCCTGGACAGTTTTGGTGAAAGTTAACAGCAAACTTTTTTATCGTTCCTTCAGTAGTGGTTTGCTATTCCTACACAAGTACCACGTCAACCCCAACCTCTACCCCTGTTCCAAGTGGCAGCATAGCAACGGTTAAGTCTCCAAGACCTGCCAGTCCTGCCTCCAATGTAGTTGTCTTGCCAAGTGGAAGTACTGTTTATGTCAAAAGTAAGTGATATTCTCAGTGTTATCAGGGCCTTCTTGGCTAAATGCTGCAGTCTAGGCTCTGATTAGACCTGCCTTCCTGGATTAAATCATTGGTCCACTAGCTGTTAGTAGGTTAGTTTTTGAAGATTTTAAAGAATTCCTTTCTTTACATATGACTAGGTATATATTGCTTTTTTAATCAGTTCTGGGGTTTCAGAAGTGACTTCATTTTCATTGTCTGTGGGTAATCTGCCTTTGAACTGTGTTATCCTTAAGAATTCACTTTTTTGATTGTCATGAAATAGAAATATTGTGAATAGAAACTGAAGGAATGTGCTTATGTAATTTATTCAATATTTCTCCTATAATTTTAATCTTTGTAGTATTTTCTTAGATTATTTTATATAATGTATTATCCAGCTGTTATATTCAGTGAAACATTCTAGAGAGCCTATCTTTATTTCTAATTGACTGTAATTTTTGAAGTTTCTTTTGTTTGTAGTTTTTAATTCCTTGATTCTACCCTATGAAGCAGTTTGGTGTCCTGTTCATTTTTTTTTCATTTTTTTGTTTTTAATTTCTGTTAAGACAATGTTGCTTTATATATACATTTTGTAATTTATAAAGAAAAGGGGCCGGGCACGGTGGCTCACGCGTGTAATCCTAGCACTTTGGGAGGCCGAGGCGGGCGAATCATCTGAGGTCAGGAGTTCAAGACCAGCCTGGCCAACCTGACGAAACCTCGTCTCTACTAAAAATACAACAACAACAAAAAGTTAGCTGGGCGTGGTGACACATGCCTGTAGTCCCAGCTACTCGGGAGGCCGAGACAGGAAAATTGCTTGAACCCGGGAGGCAGAGGTTGCAGTGAGCCGAGATTGCGCCACTGCACTCCACCCTGGGCGACAGAGCAAGACTCTGTCTCAAAAAAAAGAAAAAAAAAAAAGAAAAGTGGTTAATTTGGCTCACGATTCTGCTGGTTGGAAAGTCCAAGTTTGGGTGAGGATCTTATGCTGCTTCAACTCAAGGCAGAAAGTGGAAAGAGAGCAGGTGTATGCAGAGAGATCCCATGGTGAGAGAGGAAGTGAGAGACAGAAACTGAGGAAGCCAGAATCTTCTTAAATTTTATTTTTTGCTTTGTTTTTCCTGTCAACTGGAGGTGATTAATATTTGATTTTCATTTTTCTCAATATGGTTATAAACTTGATTTCTTTGTAACTTAGAGGTAAAGTTTGCTGTTTTAGACAGGAACAATTCTAGGTCTTTGTCGGCCCTGTTTAAATTAAAAGTTAAAAAATTGAAGGTGTAGGGGTTATATTTTATTACTAATTTCATGAGTCATGCTATATAATTGTTTATGTCTGCTCTGCAGAGATTTTCTATGTTAAGTTGCTGTGTTTCATGTTTCTCACTTGATTTTTAAAAAGTCTACAAAAACAGTTGAGGCTTTAGTTCATAAAGAAAAAACGCAGAATCTAGGACTATTAATTAAATTTATATCTGATTTCTGCAGATTTAGCCAAGGTGGTCTTTTAAAATAACTGTAGAGACCTACTTTTTGATCATTTTTAAAACACTAGGCTGGAGCCGGGCTCAGTGGCTCACGCCTGTAATCCCAGCACTTTGGGAGGCTGAGGTGGGTGGATCAGTTGAGGTCAGGCGTTCGAGACTAACCTGGCCAACATGGTGAAACTCTGTCTCTACTAAAAATACAAAAACTAGTCAGGTGTGGTGGCGGGCGCCTGTAATCCGAGCTATTTGGGAGGCTGAGACAGGAGAATCACTTGAACCTGGGAGGCAGAGGTTGCAGTGAGCTGAGATCGTGCCATGCACTCTAGCCTGGGCAACAGAGTGAGCCTCCATCTTAAAAGAAAAGAAAAGAAAACACCAGGCCAGGCATGGTGGCTCATGCCTGTAATCCCAGCACTTTGGGAGGCCGAGGCGAGCAGATCACCTGAGGTCAGGAGTTTGAGACCAGCCTTGCAAACATGGTGAAACCTCATCTCTACTAAAAATACAAAAAAATTAGCCAGGTGTGGTGGCAGGTGCCTGTAATCCCAGCTACTTGGGAGGCTGAGGCAGGAGAATCACTTGAATCTGGGAGACGGAGGTTGTGGTGAGCTGAGATCGCACCACTGCACTCCAGCCTGGGCAACAGTGTGAGACTCCATCTCATAAATAAATAAATAAATAAATAAGTAAAATACTGAAAGTGCATCTCAAACATGAAGAAACTATTTCATATAATATGTAGTTTTAAGTAACAGGAAGATTATTGCTTTATGCTCAGAAGTCATACCAACAACATTAGTTTGAGATGTAATTGTTTATTTACCTAACTTTGTATGTGCAAGGCACTATACTGGGGAAACAAACCAATAAGACTTAGTCATTACCCTCTGGGAGCCCCTTACTAATGGGAGATATGTAGACAATCACATTGCCATCTGGTAAGTGGTACAGCTTAGGGGAGAGGTGGATTAGCTTTGCTTAGAGGAATAAGGGAAAGCTTCACTAAGGAGATGGCTTGTAGGATGATGATTGCAGAATGATGAAGAGGTCATTGATGTTAGGTGGTATTCCCCAAGGAACAATAGTATATGGATACTCAGAGATGGATAGAATGTGGTTAAGGTGGCTTTGGGGAATGGTTAGCAGTTCAGAATCCCAAGATTATAGGGGTACATGGGGTTGGATGTAACAGGTATTGTGTTCTTGGAAAGATATGGAGTCTTGAATGATATGGTAATGATTTTGTGCCTCATCTTGTAGGGAGATAAAAACTACTAAAGGATTTTAGGCAGTGCATAGGCATGATGAGATGTGAAATTTTGCAACTAGTAGTAGGATTGAGGGTAGATAGAAGTGGACAGACTGGAAGCATGGACATCTTTTAGGTGATTGTTGCTAAGATACAGGCAGGAGATAAGAAGGCCTGACATGGCCATAGGTTTAAAGAAAGGAGGGAAGGCCAGGCACGGTGGCTCACGCCTGTAATCCCAGCACTTTGGGAGGCCAAGGCGGGTGGATCACCTGAGGTCAGGAGGTCAAGACCAGCCTGGGCCAACATGGTGAAACCCTGTCTCTACTGAAAATATAAAAATTAGCTGACTGTGGTGGCGGGCATATGTAATCCCAGCTACTTGGGAGGCTGAGGCTGAGGCAGGAGAATCGCTTGAACCTGGGAGGCAGAGGTTGCAGTGAGCTGAGATCACACCACTGCACTCCAGCCTGGGCGACAGAGTGAGACTTTGTCTTAAAAGAAAGGAGGGAAGGCAGCCGGGCGCGGTGGCTCACGCCTGTAATCCCAGCACTTTGGGAGGCCGAGGCGGGTGGATCATGAGGTCAGGAGATCGAGACCATCCTGGCTAACAAGGTGAAACCCCGTCTCTACTAAAAATACAAAAAATTAGCCGGGCGCGGTGGCGGGTGCCTGTAGTCCCAGCTACTCGGGAGGCTGAGGCAGGAGAATGGCGTGAACCCGGGAAGCGGAGCTTGCGGTGAGCCGAGATTGCGCCACTGCAGTCCGCAGTCCGGCCTGGGTGACAGAGCGAGACTCCGTCTCAAAAAAAAAAAAAAAAAAAGAAAGGAGGGAAGGCATTCAGAGACCACTTCTCTGAGGGAAGATTGATAGAACTTATTGGCTAATGGCTTAAGACAGAGAGAGGACAAGGATGATATAAAGATTTTAAAAATAAAGTGTATAATGCAAGATTAGTTTGGTATACATATAGCAGTATTGTCATTGCCCTTCAGGTGTAAGCTGTTCAGATGAAGATGAAAAACCCAGAAAACGAAGGCGAACAAACTCTTCCAGCTCCTCTCCTGTTGTTCTAAAGGAAGTTCCAAAGGCCGTTGTTCCAGTCTCAAAGACGATCACTGTGCCTGTGAGTGGTAGTCCCAAGATGAGCAACATCATGCAGAGCATTGCCAACTCCTTACCACCCCACATGTCTCCTGTAAAAATAACCTTCACTAAACCATCAACACAGACAACAAACACAACAACACAGAAGGTATGTGGTGGAGGGAGTCTCTGCCTGCCAATTGTTTCTTTCAGACAGTATGATTCAGATTTAATAAACATGCACTGAGTGCTTACTATGTGCTTGGCATTATGCTGGGGATGTTCACATCTTTTACTTTGTTTAATTTTCCAGATAAGGCTTTGGGATAGGTATTATTATTTCAGTTTTGCAGATGAGGCTTTGCGATGTTAAATGACTTGCATAATATGACACAGCCGAATCTCTTCTAAGAATTGTGCTCTATTTTATAGTTGTAATCCTATTTGGAAAAAATTTAAAATAGAAAAAAATTTTAACCTATATTTGTATGACCTTCCCTGTAGCAACTCAGGTTTTAATTTGCCAAAGTAGTAAAGTTGTCAGGTGTTTCATAGAAGAAAGGAAGGATATAATTAAGTGAATAACTTTTGTTATCTTCTTTTTAAATTCTTTGTATGCTGTTATTAATTCATTCCTAAACTCTTCTCTAAATATGTTGAAGTCATTATTATTTTGTCAGTTTCATGTTTTTAGACCCCTCTGTCTTCCCACACTGATCTGGATGGACCATAATGGCTCTCTAGGCTTGTTGTACACCTATATTTCTGGGATCTCTCTTTAACCATCATTCTGATCTTCTTTGTTAGTTTCTTTGCTTATTTTGCCAGAGCATATCCTCCAGTAGCTACCTGGTGTATGGGTGGATGGAAAGTAAATTTTTGGGGACCTTGCATGGTAGACTGCAAATTTCTTTATTCTACCTTCCCACTTTTTTTATGGTTTAACTAGGAAAAGTATTCTAGGTTGGAAGTGATTTTCCCTGTGAATTTTTGAAGATGTTGTTGCTCTGTTGGCTTCCGGCTTCCATTATTGATTTTGGGAAGTCCAGTACCATTCTAATTTCAGATACTGTTTTTCTCTTTACAAACTTTCAGTAACTTTCAGAATTCTGAAATTTCAAGGTAATGTTCCTTGGTGTGGGTCTTTATTTCATCGATTAGGTTGTATACTCAGTGGGCCCTTTTATTCTGAATATTTATGTCCTTCAATTCTGATACATTTCTTGAGTTATTTGATTTGTCTCTGTTTTCTCTTTTTGGATCACCTGTTATTTGCCTATTGAACTGCCTGGATTGATCCATTTATCTTTCTCATTTCCATTTTCCATTTGTTTGCATTGTTTTCCTACTCTAATATAATGGAAAAAGCCTGTATTTTGGAATTGGACTTCTTGGATTCAGATCCCAGCTTTTGCCACTTACTAGCTGCGTGACTGTGGGAAAACTAAACTCTCTACCCGAGTTTTCTCGTCTATAAAACAGAGAAAACAATGTATTTATTTTATAGGATTTTTGGGTGTAAATACATGAAATAATATATGAAAAATTGTTACAGCCTTGCACGTAGTAAATGTTCAGTATTTTTATTTTCTTTATCATTTAATTTTATTTTTCACTACATTTATAGAGTTTTTCATTTTTGCTCTCATACTTTAAATTTCTAGTAACTCTTTTTCTCTCAAAGTTCCTTTAAAAAAAAAAAAAGCATCCTACTCTTTCATAGAAGCATTGTATTCTCTTACCTAATGAGATTCATGACAATTTTTTAAATGTTTTCTTCTTTCATGTTCTCTCTGTAAGTTCCTTTTATCTATTTGTTTTGATCTCTTTTATTTAGTTTTCTTAAGTGTCTGGCTGTCTGCTTACGAATGAAAATAGGCACTAAAAAGGTGACAGAAAGCTCTGTGTGTATGGGTGGGACATGCTGACTGGTGACTTTCATCGTAAATTGACCTAGCTGGACTATTTTGTTCAGGAACATCCACTACCCCTTTACCTCCACCATTTGTCACTGTCTTTAGGGCTTTTGTTTGGACTGGTAGGATTGTTCAGAAATATCCCAGTCTCCTGCCTCGAGTAATATAAGCCTGGTTGGCAGTGTTTTGTTTGGGGGTTAAATAGAGGGAAAGGGCTGGGTGGGCTCACCATTCATGATATATATACTTTACTTATCTCCTCTGTTTTTAGCGTAGTACCTGGCCCCCCAGATGTGCCTGATGTCATTAGATTTCTTTGTCAATCTCCCTCATGACAGTAAATTCTTAGCCTTCCCTTAGGATGGGGGAGAATAGCTAGGGATCTAAATCGTTCTTAAACAGATTTTCAACTAATTTTCCTCTCTTCAGTTGCATGTTTATCCCCACTTCAGAAGTATCTGGTGTTCTCAATTCCTGAGTCTTTCTGGGGCTCACAAATGCAGGCTGCCTTATTTTTTGTTACTCTTTACTGCCTTAGGTTTTTACACTCTTAGATATGCTTAATCCATTCTTATTTGTCTGTTTTTCAGTTTCCAAACTTTATAGCTGTTGTCACCTTTTTGTTTTGACCTTATAGGTTTATGTGCCTTTTCCCTTTTAAAAAAAAATCCCTTCATGCTGTTTTAGAGGGATTTTGGGGAAGGACTGGAGGTAAATTCTGTGTTCGGTGTATGGTCTTTCAACCTTTGAATCTTTACTCCTGTGATAACTTCCCCTTAAAGAACCTCCTCGAGTTTCTTGCAAAGATGTCACTATATAATATATTAAAAATTATCATTATTAGTAACTAGAAGTGATAATGAGCTGATCTGTGGGATGTAATTCTATTTTCAGTCTGAAGATGAGGGATTATGGTATGGTATTAGAATCAAACAAAAACTTTGAGAGTCAAGAGTCCTGGGTTAGAACCCTAGTTCTTCTAGTATGACCTAAATAAATTAGTCTTTCTAAATCTGTTCACTCATTTATGAGATGAGAATGATGTCATCTTAGGACATTATTGCAAGGATTAAATGAGATTGGATATTTAAAGAGCAACATAAGGTATGTATTCAACAATTGTTAGTTCCTTCCCTTGCAGGTATTTTATGGAGTGTAGAGTTTTGTTTATTTACACTGTTGATTAATGAGCTGTTCCAAATAAATGAATTCATCAGTTCATTGAAGCATATCCCTTCATATATAGAAATTAACTATTTTTGATGACTTCTTAAGTTTTATACTGAGGATAATTTTTACATTTTTATTTGATGACTCCAAGATAATCTTTCTGAATGTCACTTTTTATATGCTATTATAGTTATTGCTTTCTAAGCTGGCCCTATATTAGGTGGCATCAGTCTGCTGTGCCCTGAATTTTTAAGTCTACTTACTATAACGCTTTTAACTGCCTTTGTTGCTGGATCTTATTTTCTCAGTAATTCTTCTCTCTTCCCTGCTTCTTGTCTAGTCTTTTAATTTAGTATTTGAGAAATAGTAAAGCAAAGCTGTAGCTAAAAGCGTACCTACCTCCCATCCATATCCTTCTATTCCTGTACTCTGTTTTATTGTTATTCATTATACTTACAACTAGTTGATATTATATTGCAAAGTTGTTTATCTTCTATTTCTCCCAGGGACTATAAGCTGCTAAGGGTAGAGACTTTGTCTTATTCTTCAATGTATTCCCTAGTATTTAGAATAGTACCTGGCATGTAGTAAGTGCTAATTAATATTTGTTGAATGAGTAAATTAATTAATGAATGAATAGAAGTATCTGGTTCCAATACTGGCTTAGCTACCTCCCTTGAGCCTGTTTCTTTGTAAAATAAAGATGATCATAGGCCGGGTGTGGTGGCTCACACCTGTAATCCCAACACTTTGGGAGGCTGAGGCAGGCGGATCACCTGAGGGTAGGAGTTCTGAGACCAGCCTGATCAACATGGAGAAACGCTGTCCCTACTAAAAATACAAAATTAGCCGGGCGTGGTGGCACATGCTACTCGGTAGGCTGAGGCAGGAGAATCGCTTGAACCCGGGAGACAGAGGTTGCAGTGAGCCAAGATTGTGCCATTGCACTCCAGCCTGGGCAGCAGGAGCTAAACTCCATCTCAAAAAAAAAAAACAAAAAAAAAAACTTAACGTAGTACATACAGTGAGTGCTCAGTAAATGTCACCTAACACTATTAACTTTTCAGTCTTCTTCGGTGGACTTAGCTAAAAATACGTGTAGTAGATGAGGACTCAGTGAAGTTTGTGAACTTTTTTTAAGTTCATTGACTTTA
Source organism: Homo sapiens (assembly GCF_000001405.40). Classification (NCBI taxonomy): domain Eukaryota; kingdom Metazoa; phylum Chordata; class Mammalia; order Primates; family Hominidae; genus Homo; species Homo sapiens. Next base: position 76,468,152 of record NC_000011.10, read on the forward strand.
CCATATATTTATTTTTATTTTTTTTCTTCTGAATTTTCAATTGAGAATGGATAGTTGAGGTTTTCAGACTTGGGATGTTTGAAAGAGGGCATATTTATCTCCCAAGTTATATATGAGCCATACCATGAGAGTTCAGGTTCAGAACCTTAGATTTGGCTTACTATGGTTAAAAAAAACAAATGTTTAAAACAAATTAAATTAAAAATAAGACTCATTCATTCCACAAATATTTATTGAGCACCTACTATGTTCCAGATGTAAAACTGTACTCTTTTACTTCTTGTGTACTCAATGCCATTACTTTTATTATTTTGTGGACAAGCTGATATGGGTAGGACTAATAAATGTTCTTGGAGTTTTATGTTTTTCTTTTGCTTGGGTAATTGGATTTTTCTGAAATCTATCCAAGGCTGTTGCCATTATTGCATTCACTTTGGATTTGTCACAAATCCTGTATAAGGCAACTTAGGAATTATTGTAGGTGAAGTGATTTTTATATTAAGTATAATTATTTATGAATTTGTGGACTTTATTCAAATTCAAATAGGTAATATATTTTCAGGGTAGACACATTTCCACCTGTGTTAATGTGGTGCCTTCATTTTAAATATAACATTGATGCAGCACTTATATATCAGAGCAGCAGAATTTAGCTTTATGCCTTCATGTGCTTGATTGATATTTTTCATTTTGTCCTTAGGGTGCAAGTCCCAGCACTCTTAAGGAGTTTTTGTGAGTGCTAGAAGGTCAGTAATTTGAATTATGGCCTGAATAAACACTGTTTGGTTCACTTGGTTTTAAACCCCTATACTTCCTCCTGTTGTAATGAGTAACTTTAAAGTACAAGTAGGTTTCCTCCAAGGTGGATCTCTAATGAAGGATAACTTCTTTTCAGATCAGAAATCATCTTGCAGGCTGAAATCTCAAAATAGATCTTATCATTTGTATCTGTAACCTAAAATATGCTCTTAAAGACTCTAGATTCATTTTGCTGAAGTTTTGTCTTAATGTTAAAGCCTACATGTATACTCTAATTCTGAAATTGCAAATATTTGGTACAAGTGTGAATGCTTCCCTTGCCCTTGCCCATGACAGACATTGCTAATTAACTGTGGCATACTTTCCTGCTAAGCCTTGGTGAATTCTTATCTGGGCCTCAAAGTCCTTATAAGCATTGTGCTCCAGGAAGCTACTACAATTAGTTCAGAACTGGCAAAAGTGAACCCTAATTGCCATTACTACTCTAATGGTTTGGCTGTGGCAGCAGCTGTGAATTCTTTGGATTCTCAGAGGTATCAGAATTTGGGAAAAAAATAAGAGAAGTTTTAAGTGAAACAAAGTATATTGAAATGCATTTTCAGATTGATTTGATGTATAATGCCTTTACTGATATCCTTTTCACATTTATTAAGTAGTAGTAATAAGCTACTAATAAGTACCATTTGTTGACTGCCAAATATTGACAACCTGCTGTGTGCCTAGCACTATGTCAGATGCTTAACATCATTATATCGTTTAATCCTTGTAATGACTTTGCAAGGTAGGTATTATTATCCCCATTTTATAGATGAAAATTGGAGCCCAGAGATTCCAACATGTCCAGGGGCCTGCCATTTTTAAGTGGCAGAGGCAGGATCTAAGTGCAGGTTCATTTAAGCTTGTGGTCTTTTTGCCATATTGGTCTACTTCTCAGCTTGTATCATGGTTGATTGTTGTTTTCTAATAATGCTATATAGGTATTTGCTGATCAAGTCTATCTATAAATATGCTGGTTGACTCTATATAGGTGTTTGCTGATCTTATGTATCTTTCTTGATGCCTCAAATAATTAACTAACAAACCCCTTAAAGTAATGGACAAGTACTTATATCTTGTAATTCTCTGTAACACTGGATAAGAACTCATATCTGGTAATTCTCTGTAACACTCAAAGTATATAATAACAATGTTATGGTCCGAGCTTCTTTGAGATGTAGGTCCTGAGTACAGATATATTCAGTAAATTTTGACTGACTCACTTCTGGCCTTCTTTAGAAGTGATATAAAAATGAAAAAGAATTTTCCCTTAAATTCTTTAGATTTTTCAAAACAGTTTTTCTTTTCTAGCTAGGTACAAATAATTTCATTTAAAGAGGAAGGAGATAATCTGCTCTTTTTTGGGTTTTACTATACCACCCCAGAATAAAAATGTGATACTACAGACTTCTAAATAATTTTTGTGTTCTCATTTGTAAAATGGGGATAATAATAGTACACGTATCATAGAATTGTTAGGAGATTTAAATAAGCCAATACATATTAGCCCTAGGAGCTATTCTTGATTCCGTTCTTTTCCTTAACCCTGCCATTTTCATTCATCAACAAATCCTATTCTCTCTACTTTTCAAAATAATCTGACTTTGATCACTTTTCTTTATTTCTACTACTAACACTCCGGTGCAGGCAGCCTCTATCATTTTCTGCTTGGTCTGATGCAATAGTTTAAGTGGTCTCACTGCTTCCCCTCTTGCCTCTTATCATGTAGCAGCTAGAGTGATCTTTTAAAATATACATCAAATTTTGTTTTTCTTCCTACTTAAAATATTCCTGTGGCTTTCTATTATACTTAGTATAAAAATCTAAATTCCACATTTGATGTAGCCTCTGCTTACTTTTCCAACTCCTCTTTGCCCTATGTGCTTTTTGCTACACTGCTTTCTTTTCTGTTTTTAAATTTATCAAGCTACTTCTGACATTAGTTCCTTTCCTTCATACTATTCTCTCTGTCTGGAATGATTTGTCACTAAATCATCTACAGTTTTCTAGTTATACTGGCAAAACCTTGACATCTCTTTCCTGCCTCTCTTTTTCTCCATTCTTCATATCAATATACAAGCAAATCCTGTTGGCTTTACCTTTGCAGTGTATTCAGAATCTGTTCACTTTTTACTTCTTCCACCACAAATACCTTGTTCACCATCATCCCTGCCTGGTTTGTTACAGGAGCTTCTTAATTTGTCTCCCTGTTTCTACCTTCATTGCCCTACTGTACTTTTTACCTAATAGGTAGAGTAATGATTTTTTAAAAAATGGACTTTATTTTTTAAAACAGTTTTAGATTTACAGAAAAATTGAGAAGATAGTACAGAGTTCTCATATACTCTGCACCCAGTTTTCTCATTCTCTTTGTTTTGTTTTTTACCAACTTCCTGATAAGTCTCCTTTATTCTGAACATTTTACATTGGTGTGATACATTGTTATAGCTAATAAAGACTATTAATGCATTAATGTTAATTAGATCCATGGTTTATTCATATTTCCTTGGTTTTTACCTATTGTCTTTTTCTGTTCCAGGATACCATATTATATTTAGTTGTTATTTCTCTTTAGGCTCCTACTGATTCCTCTTTACTGTGAAAGTTTCTCAGACTTTCCTTTTTTTTGATGACCTTGACAATTTTGAGGAGTACTGGTCAAGTATCTTGTAGATACCCCAACTGTTAGAATTTGTCTGATGTTCTTCTCATGATTAGACTATGATTATGGGTTTTTGGACAGAAGACCTCAGAGAGAAAGTACCTTTTTCATCACATCATATAAAGGGTATATACTGTCAACATGCTCTTACATGGTTTAGTCCTTCATTACTTCTCTGCAGTTGTCTACTACTACTTTGTACCCTATACATTTCTATCCCGTTCACTAGATCTTTGAAGTTTCTTGAACATACCAAGCTTGCTTCTGCTTTAGGGCCTTTGTATTTACTGCTCCCTGTGCTGATGGATGGTCTTCTGGGTAGCACCATGGTTCATATCCCTACTTCCTTCTGGTTTCTGTTCATATGTCACCTTACTGAGAGGTCTTTATTGAATACATTACTTAAAAAATCATACAGTGCTCCCATCATTCTTTATTCTCCTACCATACTTTTTTGTCTCTTCCATTTGTCTCTGCGTGACATATACTTACATTTCTGTTTATTTCTCTCCCACTACTAAAATGTAAGCTACTTGAAGGTATCAGCTTTGTTTCTTTTGTTCATTCTTCTATTCTCCAGCGTCTAGAACCATGCCTGGCACATAGTAGGTGCTCAATAAATATTTATAAACGAATGAATGTTTAAATTACTTTCTAGAAAGAGTGTGCCAATTTATACTCCCTAAGTAGTATGCTGAAATGTCTACTTTCCTGTATCTTATACAGCGTTGATGTTATCTTTTAAAATATTTGATTTGTAAAATTGTTGCTTATAAATGCATTTTGATGATTACTAGTAAAGGAAAATTTTAATATATTTTTAGTTGTATATTCTCTGTTGAATTGCTTCTTCGTTTTTCATAAGCTATTTTTAAATTATATATAACTAACTGTGAGTCTAGATACATTAGTAGTTTAGTAGGTACATAAAAATAACTTATTTTTTATTCCTTAGGTTATTATAGTCACCACATCACCAAGCTCAACCTTCGTGCCCAACATTCTCTCCAAATCCCATAACTATGCAGCAGTCACTAAGCTTGTACCAACGTCAGTCATTGCTTCTACAACCCAGAAGCCACCAGTTGTTATAACTGCTTCACAGTCCTCTCTGGTCAGTAATAGCAGCAGTGGCAGCAGCAGTTCTACACCATCACCTATTCCTAATACAGTTGCAGTAACAGCTGTGGTGTCCTCTACACCATCTGTGGTCATGTCAACAGTAGCACAAGGTGAGTGCTGTTTCACAATTTAATTCTGTCACAGTTGCTATATGGAATTTTGAAGAAAACTTGGTGGGTATGTTTCTCTGCTTTGGATATGAAGGTCCCTACTATTAGACCCAAGATCACCACCCCGTGTACCCCAGTTTGAGAATGTCAAGATGGTCGGTGATTCCATTTTCTTATATTAATATGCTTGCCCCAAGTTGTTTTGCACAATACCTAATTACCTGGGCTGCTAACATTCACAAAATGTAGGTTAAATCTCGTCACTATAAATTTCAAAGGGCTGTACAAATATCTTTAATATAATGAAATTTTTAAATGAGAAATTTGAAATTATATTACCATAGGTTCTTCAGAGGAAACATCAAGTACACATCCTCTTCAAAGTAAATGATAAGAGGTAGGAGGAAGAAGATGGTTTCAAGGATATGCCATTTGCTTTTTCTTCAGTCTCCTACATTTTTCTTTTCTTTTTTTTTTTCTCGTTGAGACAGGGTCTCGCTCTGTCACCCAGGCTGGAGTGCAGTGGAGCAATCTTGGCTCACTGCAACCTCCACCTCCCGGGCTTAAGTGATCCTCCCACCTCAGCCTTCTGAGTAGCTGGGACCACAGGCACACACCACCATACCCGGCTATTTTTTTTGTATTTTTGGTAGAGATGGGGTCTCACCATGTTGCCCAGGCTGGTCTGGAACTCCGGAGTTCAGACAATCCACCCGCCTCAGCTTCCCGAAGTGCTGGTATGACAGGCACGAGCCACTGTGCTCTGCTAGTCTCCTAAATTTTTCTGTATGGATAGATGATGGAAATATTAACTGAAGAGCAACTGAGACCTGAACTCAAGGGCAATTGCTGCTTAATAGCAGAGTAGGCCGGGCACAGTGGCTCACGCCTGTAATCCCAGCACTTTGGGAAGCGGAGGCAGGTGGATCACTTGAGGTCAGGAGTTCAAGACCAGCCTGGCCTGTAACATGGTGAAACCCTGTCTCTACTAAAAAAATACAAAAATTAGCCGGGCATGGTAATGCACACCTGTAATCCCGGCTACTCGGGAGGCTGAGGCAGGAGAATCGTTTGGATCACTTGAGGTCAGGAGTTCAAGACCAGCCTGGTGAACATGGCTGTACTAAAAAAATACAAAAATTAGCCGGGCATGGTAGTGCACACCTGTAATCCCAGCTACTCAGGAGGCTGAGGCAGGAGAATTGTTTGAACCCGGGAGGTGGAGATTGTAGTGAGCTGAGATCCAGTCCTGGTGACAGACCAAGACCCTGTCTCAAAAAAAAAAAAAAAAGCAAAGGAAAGGAAATATGGAAATCTGAGTTCCATTTTAGCTTAGTTTCTTAATACCTTTGTGTTCCTCCCATATGAAAGACAAGACAAATAGCATATCATCAGAAATGTCCTTTTTTTAGTGTTCGTAGGTCTTAAGAGAGTGATTAGAGGGAAGCATATATTATATAGAATTCATACCCATATTTATAGTCTGTCAAAGGGAGCTTGGAAACAATATAGAAGGGTACTTGGTATTAGTTTTCATTGAGTTTTATGTGAATAATATATAACTTAAGACAGATTGGGGCTTGGAAATATTCTAGTTTATGAACTAGGAGTGAATGCAAGCACTCAAGTAGGAAAACAGTGTCTTGATTGCTTTAATGATGTATTATGTATTTTATGTAACTGTTAGCAAGGAAGGGATTACATAGATATGGATGCAGTCAGTATTTCTTCACTCTGCAGCTGTTATAGTAGGATATGGGAGCATCTGTCATTATTTTCTAGTTCTGATACCCATTTAATGTCTCAATCAATGACAAGAAGTAGCAGTCTTCAAATTTCCTTTTATGTTACCTTAAGTAATTAAAAAAAATTCCAACATTTCTATTTATACAGCAGTGAATGAGAATATAGTCCTGTTAAATACAGAAATATATATTTTTTGAGATAGAGTCTCCCTCTGTCGCCCAGGCTAGAGTGCAGTGGCATGATCTTGGCTTCCTGCAACCTCCGCCTCCCGGGTTCAAGCAATTCTCCTGCCCCAGCCACCCCAGTAGCTGGGACCTCAGGTGTGTGCCACCACGCCTGGCTAATTTTTGTATTTCTAATAGAGGTGGTGTTTTGCCGTGTTGCCCAGGCTGATCTCGAACTCCTGGCCTCAAGAGATCCTCCCGCTTCAGCCTACCAAGGTGCTGGGATTACAGGTGTGCACCACCATGCCCGGCCTAAATATAAAAATAATTTTTATACAGAAAATTTGTTTAAAATGTTGGTTACAAACATGTTCCGAATTCACCATTTTATAATTTGAAGGTTGAGAGAAGGAAAGGCCACCTGACTCCTCACTCGACTGATCCGTGTATCAACACTAATATAAATTATCATCTGTTGATAGTTGTTTTTCTCTGCCAATACTCATCAAACAGTTTGCTGGTTTTACTGTATTAGAAAGATTACTGTTTTTCTAAGGTAGATGGTACTATTTGAGATGAGAGATATTTCTCTTGGTTACTAATAAAATATCTTGAAGCAAAATGAATATTCCAAGCTTCTAATTTTCATTCTTAATTTTCTCCAGGTAGCCACTGAATCTCTTAGGAACTTAGGACTTTCTTCATTTTCTCCTTTGCTTCTTAGCATTCTACATCTCTTTGAGCCTTAAGTAATTATAGGGGAGCTGGATGTGACATCTCAGAGATTTCTCTTAAAGTCACTGGAAGTTAATAGAGAATGAAGGATGTAAAAGTAAACTCTGAGTATAGATACTCAAGGAAACGATGTGATTATTTTGTTTCTGTTCGAGATATTTAATTTAGATGTTATTAGTACTAAGAAATCAAGGAATTTTATTTTTTTTAAACAAGGTAAATATTGATGGAAATGGTAACACAGACTGCGTTTGTGATTGTGCCTGCAGGACTTCTGTAGCAGCTCCTGTGTGGGTACATCAGGCAAGAGGGCATTCAGTGTCTCCTACTATGGACTAGAGACATATTGTTTTAGGGCTGATGTATCTCTGGTTGTGCCTGTAGGGATAGCTGGTTGTAGAGGGGAAAGGGTCTTAGCAGTAACTTGGTAAATGACTCCATGTTTGTAAGTGTAGTGATGGTCCACACTGCATTAATTGATGTAGTTATGTCTCTTTTAACTTAGCAGTCTTCTCTCTCTTTTGTCCTTGCAACTTACTTGTTGAAGAAATAACTAATTTTTCTGAGAGTTTCCCATAGTCTGGATTTTACTGATTTCATCTGTGTATTGTAGTTTAACAAGGTCTCCTGTTCAATGCATTTCCATAAAACTGGTAGCCAAATCTAGGAGCTTGATTAGATTCAAGTCTGATTGTTTTTGGAAATAGGAAGAATGAACATTTTATAAGTGGTGGTGTATGCTTCTTGTTGCATCGTTTTAAGAGACACATAATGTCTGTTTTTTCCCTTTAGTGATGTTAACATTGACTAGAGGATACAAGTGTTACCAAATGGTTTTAATAGCTATTGATAATCTTTGCCTAGATCTATTATTTTATTGGTTGTTGCAAAATGCATTTTATCTTTATTTTCATTTATTAGCTAGAATTCTTAAAGAAGTACTTTCCTTTATTATTATTGCTTACCCTGAGGTACAATTCATATGGGAAAAGCAGGATACATGCATGATTATTTCTCTTTATTTGTATGTTTTCAGATGAATTGGTTCATTGGCCAATAAGATTTTCACTCCCCATATTACTAAGATTTTTGATGTCTATCAATATATTGCAGATCTTCCTTCTGGTGCTCACATTGTTCCATCCTTGCCAGTGGGAGCCTCTTAGTTGGTTTCTAAATTCTTTTGACACAACTACATTAGTCTTTAATAGTGTCCTTGTTTTGTGGTATGTTGAGATGTTCCAGGTTCATCTTGTACATTTTCTCCCCTAGACTTGAAATTAGACATTTCTTCAGGGAGTCCTGGTTTCTTAGTGAAAAATGGTGTTTAGATACCACAATCTGGGCATTGTGGGGGTGGTCATTACTACTGTATTGGTCATTGTTTCTGCATTTTATTGGTGGATAGAGCTACAGTTCTTTTCTGTTTAAGAGGAAATATATCGTCGTTTCATACTGATATTACCAATTCCAATTTATAATTATGGGTTTTAACTTTTTCTATTTGTATGTTTGTATTTTTTTCTGTCCTGATGATTCAGGAAGGATCTTTAGGAATCAGAAAATCCTGATTCCTAATGATTAATAAAATTATACCTTTAATGTATTGTATAATACATAATAGTTTCAGAATAACAGAACCAATATGATTATTGAACATAAATTTTTATTGTAGTTATTTAGTTTTTAAGGGTATTCTAAGGATATACAATCAAATTACTGTATTTAAAAGTCACGTGAAATTCTTTTCTCTGTAGTCAAGCATTATAGGTTAATTTATTTCTGTTTTTTTTTTTGTTTTTGTTTTTTGTTTTTTTTGGATTGTCATTTTGAAAATTTTTGCTAAATTTTATTTATAATTATATAACATATTTATGTAGTTCCAAAATCAAATCCACAAAATCAGGTATGTTCTGAGAAGTCTGTTTATCTATGACTCCAACAGTCTGTTCTGTCCTCCCTGATAGGTAATCTTTTTAATTTTTATTTCTCCTTTCATTTTTTAGCATATAAGCAAATATGTATTTATTATATTTTACTTTTTTCTTAGATAAATGTAATATGTTATACAAACTGTTGTGCACTTTAATGTTTGGAAGGAGTAATTTTTAATTTGGTGGTTATAAGTCTGGTGCTGGTAATACAGAAAGAGGTAATAGCTGAAATGTGGTTTGTGTGTATAGAAGGAAATAGTTTATCTTAGATGACTGCTTCTTCATAGTTGATTCATCTTCCTTTTTCCTCCAGATTTTGTACTTAACAGACTAGAAGCTGTAATTAGCTTTTATTGTTATCTCTCAAATCCATTCTCAAATGGGCTATTATTTCTTAGATTGATTCCACTTTTTATTCTGCCTGTTTCTTAGATTAATTGTTGCTACTGTTTTTTTTCTTTTACTTTGGTGAGAAAAATTTGCTCTCATCTTGTTCTTTTTATGTTATTTTATGGATTTCATGAATTATTTACCCAATGTTGTGACACTCTTCTGCTGACCTTTTATTTTCCCTCCTTGACCCATCTTCAACCTAACAAGTTACTTCCAATTACGTTGTTTCCACAAATACTCCTGCTGTCTGCACTTTATATACTTTCTTTAGGCTGGCCCTGAATGCAGTTTCTGTTTTCCATTCCCATTTCACAAAATACCTTCCCTGTGAAATCCCCCCTTATCAGTTCAACATGGTTCCCATTTAGTATCTAAAAGCATTTAAAAGTTATTTAAAACCTAACAATATTAGTAGGTCAGATAGTTTAGGAGAACAATAGAGAACAAAGCGCTACCAGTAATCCCACCACTATACCACAATAGCACTTTCTATTTTCTATATTATTACCTTTTTACCCATGTGAATAATTTTTTTTTTTTTTTTTTTTTGAGACTGAGTCTCGCTCTGTTGCCCACGCTGGAGTGCAGTGGTGCGATCTTGGCTCACTGCAATCTCTGCCTCCCAGGTTCAAGCGATTCTCCTGCCTCAGCCTCCTGAGTAGCTGGGATACAGGCGCGTGCCACCATGCTCAGCAAATTTTTGTATTTTTAGTAGAGAAGGGGTTTCACCATCTTGGTCAGGCTGGCCTTGAACTCCTGACCTCATGATCCACCTGCTTCAGCCTCCCAAAGTGCTAGGCTTACAGGTGTGAGCCACCGCGCCCGGCCGTGAATAATATTTTTTACATATTTGGAATAAAAAGTTCATATTCTATTTGGTAGCATGCTTTCTTCATATATCGTTGCTTCGTTAACATTTTTCTATAAATATCCTAATTATTTTCAGAGCTGTTTAATATTTTTATTATTGTTGCATAATTTATTAAATTTATTATAATATATAATGTATAATAATTTATTAAATTATTCCCTTATTGTTGGGTATCCAGTGTGTTTCCAGGGTTTGATATTCTAGATTTAACTATAGTGAACATCTTTGTGAATTTAATTGAGCCTTCCATTTTCTTAGAACCAGCACTCAGGAGCAGGATTACCAAATAGAAGAATTGGAATTTTTTTGTAGAGTTTACTAAATACCGTATTTTGTCCCCATGAACTATATACCCTTTCAGAATATTTCATTAGTATCTGGCCACTATTAAGTCCTTATTCTTCTTGTTTTAAAAAAAAAATGGGGCAGAGGGAATAATTTTGGCGATTAAAGAAAAATTGAGTAGCATACTGCTTAACCAGTACAGTTTGATCATCCCTAATCCGAAAATCTGAAATCTGAAATGCTCTAAAATCTGAAGCTTTCTGAGTGCCAGCTGATGCCACAAGTGGACAATTCCACACCTGACTTCATGTGGTAAATTGTAATTAAAACACAGGTGCACACCACACAGTTTATTCAGCGTTCCCAAGGGAAAAAAGACTCCTTCTGCCTTCTGTAGCAGTGATATATCTTTTCCTTGTACACCCAGATTCCCCTCACACAAGCACTTCCACAGAGGGTAATAAAATGGCATGTATGCAGGCTGGATGCGCCAATAACAGGTTCCCCGCAATGCCCCACATGGGGCCAAGACCTATGTGCATCACTTACTGTGTTTTTTTGCTTATTTTCTGTTCTGTGGTGTAAAGATGTTGAAAATGTCCAAAAGGCCTGCAGATACCCCTGAGGGGTAATAGTGACAAGGACACAAAGAAGCACTTATGTTTATCTATAGCACAGAAAGACAAGCTGTTGGAGAAACTGGACAGTGGTGTTAAGTGTGCAGTGTGTTGCAGAAGAGTATGGTGTTGGAATGACTACCGTATATGACCTGAAGAAACAAAAGGATAAGCTATTGAAATTCTGTGCTGAAATCGTGAACAGAAGTTAATGAAAAATAGAAATACACTGCACAAAGCTAAAAATGAAGATTTCGATCACGTATTGAAAAAGTGGATCCATCAGCATTGGAGTGAACTCATGTCACTTAATGGTAATACTGGTCATGAAACAAGCAAAGATCTATCATGATGAACTAAAAATTGAAGGAAGCTGTGAATATTCAACAGGCCATTTGCAGAAATTTAAGAGGAGACACGACATTACAGTTTTAAAAATTTGTGGTGATAAAGCATTTGTTGATGATGAAGCAGCAAGAAGTTCATTGACAAGTTTGTCAAAGTCACCGCTGGTAACTATCTTATGCCAGAACAAGTCAGTAATGCTGATGAAACATCACTGTTTTGGTGTTAATGCCCCAGAAAGACACTGGCTATAGCAGATGAGACAGCTAATACAGGAATTAAGGATGCCAAGGACAGAATAACTGGGATGGGATGTGGTAATGTAGGAGGCACTCATAAGTGCTGTGATGGGCAAAAGCTTGCATTCTTGCTGTTTTTAAGGAGTGAATTTCTTACCAGTCTGTTATTATGGTAACAAAAAAGCATGTATTACTAGGGATATCTTTTCTGATTGGTTTCCAAACATCTTGTACCAGCAGCTTGTGCTCACTGCAGGGCAGCTGGACTGTGCAACGATGGCAAGATTTTATTTCTTGATGACTGTTCTCATCTTCCAGTTGAAATTCTCCTCAAAAATAATGTTTATGCCATGTACTTTCCCCCAGTGTGACTTTATTAATTCAGCCATGCGGCCAAGGTATCCTTAGACCAGTGAAGAGTTAATATAAAAATGCTTTCTTGGGGGAGTTGCTGGCAAGGTAGCCGAATAGGAACAGCTCTGGTCTGCAGCTCCCAGCGAGATCAACACAGAAGGCAGGTGATTTCTGCATTTCCAACTGAGGTACCTGGCTTATCTCACTGGGACTGGTTAGACAGTGGGTGTAGCCCATGGAGGGTGAGCCAAAGCAGGGTGGGGTGTTGCCTCACCCAGGAAGCACAAGGGGTTGGGAAACTCCCTCCCCTAGCCAAGGGAAGCCATGAGGGACCCTGCTGTGAGGGACAGTGCATTCAGGCCCAGATACTATGCTTTTCCCATGGTCTTTGCAACCCACAGACCAGGAGATTCCTTCGGGTGCCTATGCCACCAGGGCCCTAGGTTTGAAGCACAAAACTGGGTGGCCGTTTGGGCAGACACCGAGCTAGCTGCAGGAGGTCTTTTTGTTTTGTTTTGTTTTGATTTGTTTTGTTTTTGAGACAGAGTCTTTCTTTGTTGCCCAGGCTGGAGTGCCATGGCGCTATCTCGGCTCACTGCAAGCTCTGCCTCCCGGGTTCACACCATTCTCCTGCCTCAGCCTCTCGAATAGCTGGGACTACAGGCGCCCGCCACCACGCCCAGCTAATTTTTTGTATTTTTAGTAGAGACGGGGTTTCATCATGTTAGCCAGGATGGTCTCGATCTCCTGACCTTATGATCCGCCCACCTTGGCCTTCCAAAGTGCTGGTATTACAGGCATGAGCCACCACGCCCGGCCAGGAGTTTTTGTTTTTCATACCCTAGTGGCACCTGGAACACCAGCGAGACAGAACCATTCACTCCCCTGGAAAGGGAGCTGAAGCCAGGGAGCCAGGTGGTCTAGCTCAGCAAATCCCAACCCCATGGACGCCAGCAAGCTAAGATCAACTGGCTTGAAATTCTCGCTGCCAGCACAGCAGTCTGAAGTTAACCTGGGATGCTCAAGCTTGGTGGGGGGAGGGGTATCCACCATTACTTAGGCTTGAGTAGGTGGTTTTTCCCCTCAGAGTATAAAGAAAGCCACCAGGAAGTTCGAACTGGGCGGAGCCCACTGCAGCTCATCAAAGCTGCTGTAGCCAGACTGCCTCTCTAGATTCCTCCTCTCTGGGCAGGGCATCTCTGAAAGAAAGGCAGCAGCCCCAGTCAGGGGCTTATAGGTAAAACACCCATCTCCCTGGGACAGAGCACCTGGGGGAAGGGGCGGCTGTGGGCACAGCTTCAGCAGAGTTAAACGTTCCTGCCTGCCAGCTCTGAAGAGAGCAGCAGATCTCCCAGCACAACATTTGAGCTCTGCTAAGGGACAGACTGCCTCCTCAAGTGGGTTCCTGACCTCCATGCCTCCTGACTGGGAGACACCTCCCAGTAGGGGTTGATAGACACCTCATACAGGAGAGCTCTGGCTGGCATCTGGCAGGTGCCCCTCTGGGACAAAGCCTCCAGGGGAAGGAACAGGCAGCAATCTTTGCTGTTCTGCAGCCTCCACTGGTGATACCCAGGCAAACAGGGTCTGGAGTGGACCTCCAGCAAACTCCAGCAGACCTGCAGCAGAAGGGCCTGAGTGTTAGAAGGAAAACTAACAAGCAGAAAGGAATAGCATCAACATCAGCAAAAAGGATGTCCACACAGAAACCCCATCTAAAAGTCACCAACATCAAAGACCAAAGGTAGATAAATCCATGAAGATGAGGAAAAACCAGCGCAGAAAGGCTGAAAATTCCAAAAACCAGAATGCCTCTTCTCCTCCAAAGGATCATAACTCCTTGCCAGCAAGGGAACAAAACTGGACAGAGAATGAGTTTGATGAATTGACAGAAGTAGGCTTCAGAAGGTGGATATTAACAAACCTCCCCGAGCTAAGGGAACATGTTCTAACCAATGCAAGGAAGCTAAGACCCTTGAAAAGAGGTTAGGGGAATTGCTAATTAGAATAATTAGTTTAGAGAAAAACATAAATGACTTGATGGAGCTGAAAAACACAGCACAAGAACTTTGTGAAGCATACACAAGTATCAATAGCTGAATCAACTAAGCAGGAGAAAGGATATCAGAGATTGAAGATCAACGTAATGAAATGAAGTGTGAAGACAAGATTAGAGAAAAAAAGGATGAAAAGGAATGAACAAAGCCTCCAAGAAATATGGGACTATGTGAAAAGACCAAACCTGCGTTTGATTGGTTTACCTGAAAGTGACAGGGAGAATGGAATCAAGTTGGGAAACACTCTTCAGCATATTATCCAGGAGAACTTCCCCAACCTAGCAAGACAGGCCAACATTCAAATTCAGGAAATACAAAGAACACCACAAAGATACTCCTCGAGAAGAGCAACCCCAAGACACATAATCGTCAGATTCACCAAGGTTGGAATGAAGGAAAAAATGTTAAGGGCAGCCAGAGAGAAAGGTAGGGTTACCCACAAAGGGAAGCCCATCAGACTAACAGCGGATCTCTCTGCAGAAACCCTACAAGCCAGAAGAGAGTGGTGGCCAAAATTGAACATTCTTAAAGAAAAGAATTTTCAACCCAGAATTTCATATCCAGCTAAACTAAGCTTCATAAGTGAAGGAGAAATAAAATCCTTCACAGACAAGCAAATGCTGAGAGATTTTTGTCACCACCAGGCCTGCCTTACAAGAACTCCTGAAGGAAGCACTAAACATGGAAAGGAAAAACCAGTACCAGCCACTGCAAAAACATACCAAATTGTAAAGACCATTGACACTATGAAGAAACTGTATCAACTAATGGACAAAATAACCAGCTGGCATCATAATGACAGGATCAGATTCACACATAACAATATTAACCTTAAATGTAAACAGGCTAAATGCCCCAATTAAAAAACACAGACTAGTAAATTGGATAGAGAGTCAAGACCCATCGGTGTGCTGTATTCAGGAGACCCATCTCATGTGAAAGACACACATAGGCTCAAAATAAAGGGATGGAGGAATATTTACCAAGCAAATGGAAAGCAAAAAAAAGCAAGGATTGCAATCCTAGTATCTGATAAAACAGACTTTAAACCAACAAAGATCAAAGAAGACAAGGGCATTACATAATGGTAAAGAGATCAATGCAACAAGAAGAGCTAACTATCCTAAATATATATGCACCCAATACAGGAGCACCCAGATTAATAAAGCAAGTTCTTAGAGACCTACAAAGAGACTTAGACTCCCACACAATAATAGTGGGAGACTTTAACACCCCACTGTCAATATTAGAAAGATCAACGAGACAGAAAATTAACAAGGATATTCAGGACTTGAACTCAGCCTTGGACCAAGTGGACCTAATAGACATCTACAGAACTCTCCACCCCAAATCAACAGAATATACATTCTTCTCAGCACCACATCACACTTATTCTAAAACTGACCACATAATTGGAAGTAAAACACTTCTCAGCAAATGCAAAAGAACAGAAATCATAACAAACAGTCTCTCAGACCACGGGGCAATCAAATTATAACTCAGGATTAAGAAACTCACTCAAACCTGCACAACTACATGGAAACTGAACAACCTGCTCCTGAATGACTACTGGGTAAATAACGAAATTAAGGCAGAAATAAATAACTTCTTTGAAACCAATGAGAACAAAGACACAATGTACCAGAATCTCTGGGACACAGGTTAAAGCAGTGTTTAGAGGGAAATTTATAGCACTAAATGTCCACAGGAGAAAGCAGGAAAGATCTAAAATTGACACCCTAACATCACAATTAAAAGAACTAGAGAAGCAAGAGCAAACACATTCAAAAGCTAGCAGAAGTCAAGAAATAACTAAGATCAGAGCAGAACTGAAGGAGATAGAGATACGAAAAACCCTTCAAAAAATCAGTGAATCCAGGAGCTGGTTTTTTGAAAGGATTAACAAGATAGAAAGACTGCTAGCCAGTCTAATAAAGAAGAAAAGAGAGAAGAATCAAATAGACACAATAAAAAATGATAAAGAGAATATTACCACTGATCCCACAGAAATACGAACTACTATCAGAGAATACTATAAACACCTCTACGCAAATAAACTAGAAAATCTAGAAGGCCAGGCGCAGTGGCTCATGCCTGTAACCTGCACTTTGGGAGGCCAAGGCAGGCAGATCCCCTGAGGTCGGGAGTTCGAGACCAGCCTGACCAACATGGAGAAACCCCATCTCTACTAAAAATACAAAAAATTAGCCAGGCATGGTGGCACATGCCTGTAATCCCTGCTACTCGGGAGGCTGAGGCAGGAGAATTGCTTGAACCTGGGAGGTGGAGGTAGTGGAGATTGCGCCATTGCACACCCAGCCTGGGTAACAAGAGCAAAACTCCATCTCAAAAAAAAAAAAAAACCTAGAAGAAATGGATAAATTCCTGGACACATACACCCTCCCAGGACTAAACCAGGAAGAAGTCAAATCCCTGAATAGATCAATAACAAGTTGTGAAATTGAGGCAGTAATTAATAGTCTACCAACAAAAAAAGCCCGGGACCAGATGGATTCACAGCTGAATTCTACCAGAGGTACAAAGAGGAGCTGCTACCATTCCTTATGAAACTATTCCAAGCAATAGAAAAAGAGAGACTCCTTCCTAACTCATTTTATGAGGCCAGCATCATTCTGATACCAAAACCCAGCAGAGACACAACAACAAGAAAATTTCAGGCCAATATCCCTGATGAACATCAATGAAAAAATCCTCAATAAAATCCTGGGAAACTGAATCCAGCAGCACATCAAAAAGCTTATCCACCACGATCAAACTGGCTTCATCCCTGGGATGCAAGGCTGGTTCAACGTATGCAAATCAATAAACATAATCCATCACATAAACAGAGCCAATGACAAAAACCACATGCTTATCTCAATAGATACAGAAAAGGCCTTTGACAAAATTCAACACCCCTTCATGCTTGAAACTCTCAATAAACTAGGTATTGATGGAACGTACCTCAAAATAATAAGAGCTATTTATCACAAACCCACAGCCAATATCATACTGAATGGGCAAAAGCTGGAAGCATTCCCTTTGAAAACTGGTACAAGACAAGAATGCCCTCTCTCACCACTCCTATTCAACATAGTATTGGAAGTTCTGGCCAGGGCAATCAGGCAAGAGAAAGAAATAAAGGGTATTCAATAAAGGGTATTCAAATAGGAAGAGAGGAAGTCCATGTGGAGAAATTGGAACACTTTTACACTGTTGGTGGGAGTATAAATTAGTTCAATGATTGTGGAAGATGGTGTGGCGATTCTTCAAGTATCTAGAACCAGAAATACCATTTGACCCAGCAATCCCATTACTGGGCATATACCCAAAGGATTATACATCATGCTACTATAAAGACACATGCACATGTATGTTTATTGCAGCCCTGTTCACAATAGCAAAGACTTGGAACCAACCCAAATGCCCATCAGTGGTAGACTGGGTAAAGAAAGTGTGGCACGTATACACCATGGAATACTACGCAGCCATAAAAGAGGATGATTTCATGTCCTTTGCGGGGACATGCATGAAGCTGGAAACCATCATTCTTGGCAAACTAACACAGGAACAGAAAACCAAACACCAAATATTCTCACTCATAAGTGGGAGTTGAACAATGAGAACACATGGACACAGGGAGGGGAACATCACACGCTGGGGCCTGTTGGCGGGTGGGGGGCAAGGGGAGGGATAGCATTAGGAGAAATAACTAAGGTAGATGACAGGTTGTTGGGTGCAGCAAAGCACCATGGCACGTGTATACTTATGTGACAAACCTGCATGTTCTGCACATCTATCCCAGAACTTAAAATATAATAAAAAAATGCTTTCTTGAACAGCATACTAACAGCAGTGAACAGAGGCATGAGTGTGGATGATTTTCAAAAAGAGTTTAACATGACGGATGCCGTATATGCTGTTGCCAATGCTTGGAACATAGTATCTAAAGACACAGTTGTGCATGTCTGGCACAACCTCTGGCCTGGGACTATGTTTAGTGATGATGATCAAAGTAGTGACTTTGAAGGATCTTGTATGTCAAATGAGAAAAAAATGATCTCTGACCTCTCCTCCTTACATTTGCAAAAAAATATACCTTCAGAGTCTGTCTGGAAGGTGGGTGAAGTGGATATTTAAGAAGTTTTTAACGTCCATAATGAGGCTCCAGTTACTCCAGTTGACTGATAGTGAAATAGCCAAAATGGTTCTGAATCAAGGTGGTCATAATAGTGATGATGAAGATGACATTAACACTGCAGAAAAAAGTCCTATACATGACATGGTGAAAATGTGTGATGATCTTACTGAAGGACTAGAGCAGTGTTCATTTATAACAGAATAACAAATCATGTCAGTTTATACAATCAGAGAGAAAATTCTAAAGCAAAAACTGTTGTTAATAAGACAGATGAGGCTGGGTGCAGTGGCTCACGCCTGTAATCCCAGCACTTTGGGAGGCTGAGGCAGGCGGATCACTAGACCAGGAGATCGAGACCATCCTGGCTAACACGGTGAAAACCTGTCTCTACTAAACAAAATACAAAAAATTAGCTGGGCCTGGTGGTGGGCGCCTGTAGTCCCAGCTACTCAGGAGGCTGAGGCAGGAGAATGGCATGAACCCGGGAGGCGGAGCTTGCAGTGAGCTGAGATGGTGCCACTGCACTGCAGCCTGGGCGACAGAGTCTCCTGGTCTCTCATCTGCTTCTGATGCTTCTTATTACCTAAAAACAAACACAGAAACAAAAAACAGGATACAGTAGCCTTTTAATCAAAACACAATATCATAGGTATAGACTGAAAGCCTGTCTTCATTTGTTCTTGCTCTTGTTTAACAGCTGATACAAGTATTCTGGTGATACTACTGTGCTGCTAGGTTACCCAGAACATATTATTTTTTAACGGTATCAGTAGTAGGTAATATTTTTTACTGTTAGATACTTATGTGTAAGTAAGTGTAAGAAAATAATTGCTTATCAGTAGCATACAAGTTCAGAGTTAGGAATGGTGGTGATACCTAACAACCGCAGATCGTCCACATGGGTGCCCAAGATAGTGACACCTTTGCTTTCTGATGGTTCAGTGTATACAAACTTTGCACAAAATTATTTAAAATATTTTATAAAGTTTATCTTCAGGCTGTGTATAAGGTTTATGTGAAACAAATGAATTTCATGTTTCGACTTGGGTCACATCCCCGAGGTACCTCGTTATGCCTATGGAGATATTCCCAAATCTGGAAAAGATTCAAAATATGAAACACTTATGATCCCAAAGATTTTGGATAAGTGATACTCAAACTTTATATCATTTTACACCTGATTTTTTTCTTTAATATCTATGAGTATGACACAAAACACAGGTAATGTTTTTAACATTTATGCATTATCTTTCCCCTTCACTTACATGACTTTTTAAAAAATGTTCTTTGAACTTCATATTTCTCTAAGGCTCGTGTTAAAAACTCTGAGTATTTCATATTTATTCAAAATTACCAATGTAGCCTGAACTACAGTTCTTCCAAACATGGATTAATGTCTTTGTTTCAGTGATATTCACAGTAGCCCATTTTTTTGTGTGTATTTAAATGTTTCATAAATTTAGGCTGAGTGCATTGGCTCATGCCTGTAATCCCAACACTTTGGGAGGCCAAAGAGGGAGGGTTGTTTGAAGCTAGGAGTTCAACATCAGCCTGGGCAACGTAGCATGACCTCATCTCTACAAAAAATGCAAAAATTAGCCAGGCGTGGTGGTGTACACCTGTAATCGTAGCTACTCGGGAAGCCTGAGTCAGGAGGATTGCTTGAGCCCAGGATTTGGAGGCTGCATTGAGCTATGATTGTGCCACTGCACTCTAGCCTGGGCATTAAAAGAAGACTGTCTCAAAAACAAAAACAAAGTTTAATAAAGTTATTGTTACAGAGCCCATGGATTATTTATGCTATTTTTTTTTTGTTTTTTTTTTTATTTTTTAGCTGGATCTGGAGATTCTTATATGGATTGTTAATATCCAAACTTACTTGCAAAATACGATGTGATTGAATGAATATCTTTACATAAATCTGCATTGATCAAGTGATTGGTTTTTCACAATAAAATTTATTATCTCACAAAACCAGAAGTCCAGAAGGGAGGCTCAAGTTAGGCATTAGCTCATTTGAGCCATCAAGGAATTTCTTTTCACCTTTCTCTTTGCTTTTCTTGGTAATTCTTGGGTAACTCTTGGGGCTTTTTTCTTGGGTAATTCTCATCCTGGGCAAGTTGAGTACATTTCAGGTTCTACATCTAGCTGTGACAATGTCAGAGAAAAAAGAGAGAATCCCCTTCTGTGGGTCTGTCTTAGGAAAGAAAAAATCTTTCCTAGAAGTCTTCCATGAGATTCTCCTTATATTATGCTGGCCACAACTGTGTCATATGTCCTACCTAAACTAGTTCTTTGCAAAAGTAATGGGGCCACCATGACTGGCTTAGATCAATTAGGAATTGCCTGTATGGCTGGCTTAGGGCCAGCCCTCTGAAAGTACATGCCAATGCCTTGTGGATTCTTCAGGAAAGACAACAGATTCTATTAGAAAAGAGGAGGGCAGAGGAGAAAGGAAATTAGGACAGGCAACCAAGAGTGTATGCTGCATTCGATTATTTAATAAATGGTTTTAGAATAATTGACTTTTCATTTGGTTCTGTGCATGTCCATGTTACTTGGTTGATGGACTTGATCAGATTCTTCTTGTTTTCTTTTTTTTTTTTTTTTTGGTCTACTTGTTATGTCAGTTACTGAAAGGGAAGTGTAAAAGTCTGTAGCTATATTTGTGGCTTTGTACATTTCTCCCTTTAATTCTGTCAGTTTTTATACACACACACTTAGGATTATTGTGTCTTCTTGATGGATTAACCCCCTTTTCATTATGAACCATTCCTTTTTATCTCTGGTAACCCTTGATGTTATCACCAGTGTTTCCATGTCTGTCTTTTCTGATGTTAATATAGCCACTCCAACTTTCTTATGATTACTGTTTGCTTGATGTATCTTTTTTTTTTTTTTGAGATGGAGTCTTGCTCTATCGCCCAGGCTGGAGTACAGTGGCGTGATTTTGGCTCACTGCAACCTCCACCTCCTAGGTTCCAGCGATTCTCCTGCCTCAGCCTCCTGAGTAGCTCAGATTATGGGCGTGCACCACCACGCCTGACTAATTTTTGTATTTTTAGTAGAGTCAGCGTCTCACCATGTTGGCCAGGCTGGTCTCAAACTTCTGACCTCTGGTGATCCATCCACCTCGGCCTCCCAAAGTGCTGGGATTAAAGGCACAAGCCACCGTGCCCGGCCTACTTGATGTATCTTTTTTTCATTATTGTATTCTTAACCCATCTGTGCCTTTGTATTTAAAATATATCTCTTATGAACATTGTATAGTTAGGTCTTTTCTCTCAGTCTGATAATCTCTGACCTTTAATTGGAAGGTGTAGTCCATTTACATTTAATATTAATTATCGGTAGGATTGAGTTTAAGTCTGTCATCTTGACAATTGTTTTTATTTGTCTCATATGTTCCTTGTTCCTTTTGGTCTCTTTTCCAGTCTTCTTTTATTTATTTATTTTTATTGATTTTTTTTTTAAGGATTCCATTTTATTTCCTCGACTCGGTAGCTACACTTAAAAAAAAATAGTTGCTCTAGAGTAGGGTTCTCAACCTCCACATTGTTGACATTCTTGACCAGATAATTTTTTGTTCTTGAAGTTGACCTGTGCATTATAAACCTGACTATCCACTAGGTGCCAGTAGCATATGCCCCCCGACCCCTGTTATGAAAATAAAAAATGTCTCCAGTGATTGTCAGATATCCTGTGGGATGACGAGAGGCGGAAAAATTACTATTGGTTGAGAATCTAGCTTTAGAGCTTACAGTATGCATTTTCAATTTATAACAGTCTACCTTGAAATAATATACTATTTCATGTATTGTGTTAGAATCTTAAAAGAGTACTTCTATTTCCTCTCTCCCTTCCTTGTGCTATGGTTGTCATACACTTTAATTCTATATGTATTTATAAACTTCACATTGCCTTGTTAATCTTTTTGCTTCAAACTGGTGATTTTCTTTTAAAGAAATTACAAAAGAGGGGAAAACATGTCTTTTAGGTGTACCAGGTTCATCTTATACTTTTCCTATTCCAGCCTTGGAATCAGTCATTTTTTCAAGAAGTCTTGGTTTCTTATAGTAGAAAGTAATAATTAGAAGCTAAGATCTGGGTTCTGGATATGTTCATTGCTAGGGGGTGTGTGTGTGTGTGTGTGTGTGTGTAAACACATGTACATCTGTATTTTCATATATTAAAAGCTGAGTTCATAGTGATACATCCAATTTCAATCAAACATTGCATGTTAACTTGTTTCCTCTCTCTCTGATAGTGAAAAACCTAACTTCTATTATCTCGAATATACTTATATATCAGTTTCCTGATATGTAACCAAATAATAGTTGCTCCTCCCCTATGCTGTTGTTGCCTCCTCCCCTGTGCAGGTGCTGTCCTCATTCCTTTCAGGCTCTGACATCTGCATACTCTTACCTCAGCTCAGCTGATTTCTTCTTCTTTTTTCTTTTTTTTTTTTTTTTTTAAGAGATAGGGGTCTTACTCTGGCACCTAAGCTGGAGTATAGTGGCATGATCATGGCTCACTGTAGTCTCTAACTCCTATGCTCAAGGGATCCTCCTACCTCAGCCTCCTGAGTAGCTGGGACTACAGGTGTGTGCTGCCATGCCCGGCTTTTTTTGTTTTTTGTTTGTAGAGACAGGGTCTTGCTATGTTGACCAGGGTGCTCTTGAACTCCTGACCTCAAGTGGTCCTCCTGCCTAGCCTCCCAAAGTGCTGAGATTATAGGCATGAGCCACTGTGTCCAGCCCCGCCTGAGTTCTGACACCTTCCCTCAGCTACCCCTTTGCATGGATGCCTATCTCAACCTGGTCAGCTCTGACAGCCATGCCAGGGCCAGGTGGCCCTCCTAGGCAGAAGCCCTCACCCAGTTTGGACTCTGTACTCACCCTAGCCACCGTTTCCTACGGATACCCTGCTGAAGCTTTGAGATCCTGCGCTAGGTAGCTCACACCGTGGAAGCCCACTTTATCCCACTTAGGTTCTAACTTTACATGCTGGGTTATCCCGTGAACTCTTCTCAGTGTAGATGCTCTCCTCCTCCTACTCTGGCTCCCATGGTAAGCCAGTCTCCAGAGTGAACTCTGTCACCTCATGCTAGACTACTCTTCTGCTTAGCTGCCTAGCTGTCCATCCTGCTTTATACCACCAGATGGCTTTTGTATGGAATTGTTTGGGTAGCTAAGGGGGATGGAAGAGGAAGAAGACCTTGTAGTTGTTAACACGAAACATTTATTAGTTTGTAATGATAGACTCGTGTGATCATTTGATTGTCTTCTCTGACCTTTCTCAGGGTAGGGACTGTTCCATGGATACCAAATAGTTTCCCCAGGATCTAGCATAAAGTATGTACTCAAGTTTTTATTGAATAAATAAATATTCAGAAAGATTAAGTACTTTAATCAGGTCATACAGCTATTATGTTTTTATGTGTTGAAGACATGGATTTAAATACACTTCTGGCTGGGCGCAGTGGCTCATGCCTATAATCCCAGCACTTTGGGAGGCCAAGACCAGTGGATCACTTGAGGTCAGGAGTTTGAGAGCAGCCTGGCCAACATGGTGAAACCTCTACTCGACTAAAAATACAAAAATTAGCCATGCATGGTGGTGCGTGCCTCTAATCCCAGCTGATCGGGAGTCTGAGGCAGGAGAATCGCTTGAACCGGGAGGCAGAGGTTGCAGTGAGTTGAGATCACGCCACTGCACTCCAGCCTGGGCCACAGAGCGAGACTCCATCTCATAAATAAATAAATAAATACAATTCTCTGATTACAAAAATAAATACAAGCATCCTGAATGCTTTCACATCAGATACTTTTCCTGTACAAAAGTATGTGGAAATCACAGTGATGGCAGCGGTGGCCCATCTGGTAGCTGCTGCAGAGATGCTGCAGTGGGGGAGGCATCGCCAGGGCTGCCCATTCCACAGAGCCCGCAGGGAGCCAGGAACAGATAGGAACCCTACTCTCTTCTGAGTTGGCAGGGCAGGAGCCCCGCCCTCCTGGGTGCAGCTCCAGTGGGTGCAGTGGACTCCAGGTGAAGTCCTCAGACTTAGAACCTAAGTGTGGGATAAAGTGGGCTTCCATGAGTGTGAGCTACCTAGCACACACTCAGGTGGAGTGAGAAGTTAACAGGGCTTTTTCTGGCCCGCCTGTGGCCACCCATGAACCAATCAGCATGCACTTCCTCCCTGCTGAGCCCATGAAAACCCTGGACTTAGCCAGACTCCAACAGACTGGGGAAAACCTGCCTGTGGAAAGGAGCTACCCGCTGTGGGTCTCCTCCCCACGCAGACCTGGGCATCCGTGTGCTCTCAGGGGCCAGGGAAGCCCCCCCTTCCCTTGCAGTCTCCGAAGTGCCTGCTCCTGCTGCCTGGCCTCTCCCCGCTCCTGCTGTCTGCTCCGGTTTCAGAGCAAAGTTGAGGCCTAGCCTGGGTGCTGTTGCCACCCAGCTGGGTGCACACCACTTGGGGTGGCACTGACGTGCCAGCCCCCTGCCGCCTGAACCGCCCCCACCCCCAGACTTTGGGTGCCAATGAGCACGGGAAGGAGGCCAAAGGGGGTCGAGGGTGGGTTGATAAGGGCCTGCAGGCGCCCCTTCCCCGAACAGCCTGGGCTCTGTGATTGATGGCAGCAGGAGGCAGACAGGCTCGTGAGTGCAAAGGGGTGGGTCCCGGTGAGGTCCCACCCTCAAACCAGGGATGGCCTGAAGCATGGGGTCTGGGCTGTCAGTTCCAGGTGGAGTCGAGACTGGAGTGAGAAGTTACAGGGCTTTTTCCGGTCCATTGGCCGCCCATGGACCAATTAGCATGCACTTTCTCCCTTCTGAACCCATGAAAACCCCTGACACAGCCAGACTCCAACAGACGTGGGGAAGATCTGCCTGTGGAAAGGAGCTACCCACTGTGGGTCTTCTCTCAGCTGAAAGCTGAACACTCGTTCAGGAGACCTTCTTGTAGAAAGGAGCTACTCGCTTCGGATCTCTTGAGAGCTGTTCTGTTGCTCAGTGAAGCTCCTCTCCGCCTTGCTTACCATCCAGTTGTCCGAGTACTTCATTCTTCCTGGATGCGAGACAAGAACTGGAGACCCGCCAAATGCCGGGACTGAAAGAGCTGTAACACAAACAGGGCTGAAACATGTTCCCCTGCTCCCCATGTTACCAGTGACAGGAGAGAAGAGCTGCAGCCCTTGGGGGAGCCCAGACCTAGGGGCTCCCCAAGCCTGGGCTCTGACACCCTCTTTGGGACTCTGTGGTTCTGGTGTCTCCAAGCTTTCGGGCGCCACTGTGTTCTCGTTCAGATGCGGATGCCCGCAGCAGAAGCTGTGTGCGGTACATCTGGTCCAGCCGCAGCCTCGCATGGAGCTTGGCATCTCTGCCAGTGCCTGGAGCTGCCCGCCCCACTGCAGCAGCTGGCATCTGTGCCTGGCTCACTGTTGACAGGTGTGGGATCCGGGCCGGTAGCACGAGCCAAGCACCGCCTGCAGGGACAAGTGGACAGAATGAGCCCAGTGGGCAAGCAATACTCAGGTAGAAGGTGCCGCCGGCCACAGACGTTTCTGGCTGGTGAAGTGACACCCCAGAGATCCCGTGACAATAGTTTAGTTAGGGAGTTACCCATGTACATGATTATCTTCATTTAATATAAGACCATACATTATGAGTGCCATATAAAGTTTAATGCTTTAGGTAGTATAAAAATATCTTTCACTTGGATAACTTTATACTCATTGAGTCATAAAATGTTGGCACTGAAAGAGGCTCCAGAGATAGTCTAGTTCAGCACAACCAAGCAATACAGAACATACATGTTACTAGTATTCAGGAAGGAGTGGGGAACTATGTAAGTAATGGAAGTAAGCCTTCCAGGTGATTCTGACTACCTTGCCTGCCTGCCTGCCTTCCTCTCCTTTCCTTTCCCTTCCTTCCTTCCTTCCTTCCTTCCTTCCTTCCTTCCTTCCTTCCTTCCTTCCTTCCTTCCTTCCTTCCTTCCTTCCTTCCTTCCTTTCCTTCCTTCCTTTCCTTCCTTTCCTTTTCTTCTGTCGCCCAGGCTGGAGTGCAGTAATGCCATCTCGGTTCACTGCAACCTCTGCTTCCCAGGTTCAAGAGATTCTCCTGCCTCACCTTCCCGAGTAGCTGGGATTACAGGTGCCTGCCACCGTGCCCGGCTAATTTTTGTATTTTTAGTAGAGATGGGGTTTCACTATGTTGGCCAGGCTGGTCTTAAACTCCTGACTTCAGGTGATACGCCTGCCTCAGCCTCCCAAAGTGTTGGGATTACAGGCGTGAGCCACTGTGCCCGGCCTTCTTGTCTCAAAGTGTCCCTCAGTCTGTGATTGATCTTGATCTGCACAACAGCTCTTAGAGACACAGGGCAAGGAAAAATTCAACAAGTGAGGATGCTGAGGTCTAGAGAGTCATAGCGACTTCTCAAGTTTTATCCTCCATCTTTATCATTCTCTAGAGACATTTTACATAAGAACGTGATATTATTTAAAACCTTTTCTGTAATACAGTGTATTTGTCATGGTGAGGATGTGGTAGAGAAAGGTGTGAAAAAACATCCTAAGTACTTGAGAATTAGGCTATTAGTTTCTTTTTATTGTATCAGCAGTGCTTAAAAAGTTAATATGATGAGTTATATTCCAGGTTCTCTCAGTTAGGAATATTAACTTATTGATAGATAATAGTCCTTTTAGATAGTTGATGAATTCAGAAAAATTACAGATGAAAAACCTGCGAGAGGGAAGAATATCTGAAACTCATACATCTTTAGTGAAAGTTACTAGTACTCCTTACCTATGTGTGCTTGCTAATATTAGAATCCCACTGAAAAGAACCTCATATAATCAGAATCTTTTTGCTGTGGATATGTTGAGTATGCCCATTTACAACTTTTCATATGATTATTTAATGATTCAGAGTTCTTAGGAAATGACTTTTTCTGTTTTTATTAAAATTTTTTTTCCTCTTCACCATTCTCAGAGAAAAGGGAATTATCTTGTTCAAAAGATGAATGTGAGTTATTTCAAGGATACTATGTTTAAACTGGCTGATTAGAACCTGAAAAATAATATTTGAAAAATATATAACATATAAATAAGATTCAAAAATTAATAAAATCGCTTTGTTCTTATATTATTCACATTGAGAACCTACATTTTCTAATAGAAAATCTGTTAAGAGACAGGTCTGGGAACATCCTGTCTGATAATTTGTTTCTTTCATTCTCACTCTTCACCAAGGGAAAATCAGTTCATTTTTAAAATCTGAGAACAATGGTTACCTCCCTTGAAGAGTTTGAAGACTAGATATCAGATATGTAAGGTGCCACACATTTTATCTGACACTTACTAGGTGCTCAATAAATTGTACTTTTTGTTGATTTCCCTATTCTTTAAACTATTATCTACTATAATAACCAGAAGTAACTTTAATTTTGCTTTCCTATCAAATTCTCTTTTCCCTTACTCCTTTTCTACAGGTGTATCTACATCAGCAATCAAAATGGCATCAACCAGACTTCCTTCCCCCAAAAGCTTAGTGAGTGCCCCAACTCAGATTCTTGCACAGTTCCCTAAACAACATCAACAGTCTCCTAAGCAGCAGTTATATCAAGTGCAACAGCAGACACAGCAACAAGTGGCCCAGCCTTCTCCAGTATCTCATCAGCAACAGCCTCAGCAGTCTCCTTTGCCACCTGGTATTAAACCTACCATCCAAATCAAACAGGAGTCAGGTAACTGGAAAATGTTTATAAGATATGGTAATTCTTCTTTATTCACCAGTTTTTTTAGTCTTCCAGTCCATGAACACGGTATGTCTCTTCATTTATTTAGGTCTTTGACTTTTTCATCAGTGTTTTACAGCTTTCAGCATATAGATTCTGTATATGTTTTGTTAGATTTGTACCTAAGCATTTCATTTTCTTGTCGTGATTATAATTGGTATTATGATTTTAATTTCAATGTCTACATGTTTTTTGTTAGTATATAAAAATAGTATTGATCTTGTATCCTTTGACCTTGCTGAACTCACTTGTTCTCAGAGTATTTACATAGATTCCTTGGGATTTTCTGTGTATGCAACTATGTCATCTATAAATAGGGACAGTTTTGTTTCTTCCTTTCCAATCAATTGCTGTTTATTTCTTTTTGGTGTTTTATTTTATTGTCTAGAACTTCCAATACTATGCTGAATGAATAAGAGTGAGGAAAGTGGACATCCTTGCTTTGTTCCTAATCTTAAGGAGAAAACATTCAGTTTTTCACCATTAAGTACAATACCAGCTGTAGGCTTTTTATAGATGCTCTTTATCAGGTAGACGGAGTGCACTTCTGCTACTAGTTTTTGGGGAGTTTTTATCATGAATGAGTGTTGGATTTTGTCAAGTGCTTTTTCTGTTCAATTAAGTTTTTTCTTGTTTAGTCTATTGATATGCTGGATTATATTGATTGATTTTCTGTTAAACCAGCCTTGCATATTTGAAATAAATCCCACTTGGTCATGATATATAATTTTTAAAAATACATTGCTGGATTCAATTTGTCTCTCTATTCATGAGACATTTTGGTCTGTAATATTCTTATTTTATACTGCCTTTGTCCAATTTTGGTCAGGATAATACCGGCCTCATAAGGTGAGTTTGGAAGTATTTATTTCCTTTCTATTTTTTGGAAAAGACTATGTAAGATTGATGTTAATTCTTTAAATGTTCAGTAGAATTCTCCAATGAAGCCATCTGGGCCCGGAGAGTTCTGTTTTTAGAAGCTTTTAATTGATGAATTCCATTTCTTTATTAGTTATGGGACTTTTCAGATTATCTGTTTCATCTTGGTTTTGGTAGTTTATGGTTTTGAGGAATTGATCCATTTCTTCTAAGTTGTCAAATTTTTGAGTGTAAATTTGCTTGTAGTAGTTCTTTACTATTCTTTTAATGGCTATAGGATCGATATTAATGTCCTGTTTCATTTCTGATATTGGTGGTTTGTATCTTTCTTTGTCAGACTTGCTATTTATTGCATTTAAAAATTTATTGAATTTTTTAAGAACTAGATTTTTGTTTCATTGATTTTTCCTTTGCTTTTCTGTTTTTAATTTTATTATCTTTATTATTTCTGTCCTACTTTCTTTAGGTTTATTTTGCTCTTCTAATTTCTTAAGGTGGGAACTTAGATTATTGATTCAAGACATACTCTCTTTTCTAATTACTTAGCATTTAGTTCCATCTATGTAAAGACATTTGTCACAAATTTCTCTCGGCACTGTGTTAGCTGCCTTCCACATATTTTAATATGTTCTGTTTTCATTTTTATTCAATTTTTTGTGTAAGACTTCTTCTTTGACCCATGGATTATTTAGAATTGTGTTGCTTAATTTCTAATGGAGATTTTTCTGGGTTTGTTTGTTTGTTTTGCTATTGATTTCTAGTTTGATTTCATTATGGTCTGAGAACACACTGTATCATTTCAATTCTTTTACGTTTATTGAGGTTTGTTTCTTCACCCACAATATGTTCAACTTTGGTGGGTGGTCCATGGTGCTCGTAAAATATCTATGCTGCCGATGTTGGGTGGAGTATTCTATATATGTATATCAACTAGATTCTGTTGGTTGATTATGTTGTTCAGTTCTCCTATATCTATGCTGAATTTTCTGCATAGTAGTTCTATTAGTTGATGGGAGTGAAGTAATAAAGTCCCCAACTAATTGTTGGATTCTAGTACTGCAAAAACAGCTATCTCAGTTTTTGCTACATGTATTATATTTTGATATATCTATTGTTTGATGCATACATATTTAGAAACATTGTGTCTTCCTGGTATATTGATCCTGTCTCATTATGTAGCGTTCCTTTTTTTCTGCAATTAATTCTCTATTTTTTTTAAATATAAAGGCTGATTTTAAAAAATTTCCATTCTTAAAATTTAATTCCAATTTAACTTGTAAAGTCTGCCATATAAATTAATGATGGTAACTAGCCTGCATTAGTATATTTAGTGCATGTAATAGAGAACTATACTGACTGGAGGGGAGTGAGTTCTATTGCCTTGTAAAGTATACTTTATCTGTAATTAATATAGCCACTCCTATTTTCTTTTTATTCATGTTCACATAGTGTATTTTTTTCTCATCCTGTTACTTTCAACCTACTTTTATTGTTGTATTTGAAGTGAGTTTCTTGTAGACAGCATACAGTGTAGTTATATATTTTTATATCAACTTTGCCAATAACTTGTTTTTGTTTTTGAGACGGAGTCTCGCTTTGTCACCCAGGCTGGAGTGCAGTGGCACAATCTCAGCTCACTGCAACCTCCGCCTCCTGGGTTTAAGCGAGTCTCCTGCCTCAGTCTCCCAGGTAGCTGGGATTACAGGTGCACACTACCACGCCCAGGTAACTTTTGTATTTTTAGTAGAGACAGGGTTTTACCATGCTGGCCAGGCTGGTCTCGAATGCTGATCTCAAGTGATCCGCCCACCTCAGCCTTCCAAAGTGCTAGGATTACAGGTGTGAGCCACTGCATCTGGCCAACCAATCTTATAACTTTTTTTTTTTTTTTTTTTTTTTTTTTTTTGAGATGGAGTCTTGCTGTGTCGCCCAGGCTGGAGTGCAGGGGCGCTATCTCGGCTCACTGCAAGCTCCACCTTCTGGGTTCACACCATTCTCCTGCCTCAGCCTCCCAAGTAGATGGGACTACAGGCGCCTGCCACCACACCCGGCTAATTTTTTGTATTTTTAGTAGAGACGGGGTTTCACCGTGTTATCCAGGATGGTCTCAATCTCCTGACCTCGTGATCCGCCCTCCTCCACCTCCCAAAGTGCTGGTATTGCAGGCATGAGCCACTGCGCCCGGCCCCAATCTTTAACTTTTAAATGATATATTTAGATCATTTACATTTAAGGTAATTGTTGATATGGTAGTGGTTACATGTGCCGTTTTATTTTGTTTGTTTCTTTTGTTTCTTGTTTCTTTTTTCTTGCCTATTTGTAGTTTACTTGAAGAATTTTTAGGGTTTCATGTTGACTTATTATTTTAAAGTATATTGTTTTGTTCTGTTTTCTTAGCGTTTGCTTATGGTATTACAGTATACATGTGTTGGCCATGTGAGGCCAGGAGTTTGAGACCAGCCTGGGCAATATAACAAGACCTCTGCCCTTTTGTAGAGACCATTTTTTGGTCTCTACAAAAAATTTAAAAATTAGCTAGAAATGGTGGCATGTGCCTGTACTCCTAGGTACTTGGGAGGGAGCAGGAGGATTGCTTGAGCCCAGAAGTTTGAGGTTGCAGTGAGCTATGATTAAACCACTGCACTCCAGCGTGGGCTACAGAGTGAGAGCCTATCTCAAAAAAAAAAAAAAAACCAAACCCAAAACAATAAAAAAAATACTTATGTCGCCTATCACATTTGACCTTTTCACTGCAAATTACTCTATATTTGAAATAATTTTATCTTTCTAGTAAAAAAGGGAGATTTCACCATATCTAATGTTACTTAATATAATACTTAATGTTACTTAATGTTAATATAATACTTAATGTTACTGGCTCAGAGACTTTGCCAAAGGATAGAAATAATTCATAAAACAGATAGCTCCTAATCTCTTCCCAAAGGAACTAACTCCATTTATACCAGAGCATGGAGAAGTTCAAGACTAAGGGCATTCTCAAGAACAGTGAAGGAAGTGGTGAAAGGCAACCAGAAGGAGATTCATGGATGTAATGAACATATAGTCTAGACTGCAGACAGTTTATAGAGAAGAAGCAGATAATATAAAAGCTGGGAAGAGCCTTCATGAGGTTAGAAGAAATATCAAAAATGAACCCCAGAAACTGTTCCTTCAAAGGAGCCAAAATTCGGATTACAGAGTAATGTATGCTCCAAAGCTTTCCTGAAAACAACAGAGTAATCAACCAGCAGTTAATAGAGTTTAACAGCTGGGTGTCGTCAAGGAAAGAATAGAAAAAAGCCAAACTAATACCACTGTCATCCCAAAGTGACTGTAAGTATACCCAGAGCAGTGTCTCCATGAGGAATAATATCAGATGCTTAGATGAAGGAGCATGGGCTGGAGAGGGAATAAAAAGACTTCACTAAAATAACTGATCCCATCACTAAACAAATAACTATGCAAATAACAATAACAAATCCCTGGTGAGGGGAAACCAGTACCCAGGTACTGCATGGTCATCCCTCAGTATCCGTGGAAGATTGCTTCCAGGACCCTGTTGATACTCAAATCTGTGGATGTTCCAGTCCTTTATAAAAAATGGTGTAGTATTTATGAAACCTATGCACACCCTCCTGTATACTTTAAATCATCTCTAGATTACCTATAATACCTAATACAATGTAAATGCTATGTAGCTGTTATACTATATTGTTTCTGTACTTGTATTATTTTTTACTGTTGTATTATTATTTTTGTTGTCTTTTTCCTAAATATTTTTGATCCATGGTTGCTTGAATCTGAAGATGTAGAAGTTACAGAGGGCTGTATGTATATTATCTAAAATGTCTAATTTCTAACAAAGACATAAGGAGGCAGGTAAAGAAACAGGAAAATATTACCCATACATTAGAAAAACAAACAAACAACAGAAACTATAAGAGCAACCAGATGTCAGACTTAACTGAAAAGTACTTTGAAGTAGCCATTACAAATATGTTCACAGAACTAAAGAAAAACATGATTATAGAAGTAAAAGAGGCTATGAGGACAATATTACATCAAATAAAGATCAATAAAGAGATAGAAATTAGTTTTTAAAGAGAGCCAAACAGAAAATCTGGAGGTTAAAAGTAAAGTCACTGAACTAAAAAATGCACGAGAGGGGTTCACGTGTAGATCTGAACTGGCAGAAGAAAGAATTTGCAAATCTGAAAAACGATCAATAGAGGTTATGTGAGCTGAAGAACAAAGAGAAGAAACAATGAAGAAAAGTTAACAGAGCTTCAGAGAAATGTGAGACATTAAATACACCAACATACATATAATGGAAGTACGAGAGTTGGGAAGAGAGAAAAGAAAAGAAATATTCAAAGAAATAATGGCTGAAAACTTTTCCAAATTTATTGAAAAGCAGTAACATATGTTTAAGAAGCTTAACAAATTACAAATAAGATAAACAAAGATCATAAACAGACACATCTCAGTAAAATTGCTGAAATTCAAAGACAAAAAGAAAATCTTGAACACAGCAAGAGAAAAACAACATATCACTTACAAGGAAATTGCAATAAAGTTACGTAAGAGCTGACTTCCCAGTGGAAACAATGAAGCCAGCAGGCAGTTGGATAACACATTTGAAATGAAAAAAAAAAAAAAAAAACCCACCAACTAAGAATCCTATATCCAGCAAAGCTAGCTTTCAAAAATGAAGAAAGACTTTACCAAATAAACAAAATCTGCAAGAGTGTGTTGCTAGCAGACCCACCTTACAAGAGACACTAAAAGAAGTTCTATGAATAGAAAGAATAAGGAAAAAGACAGTGATGTCTGCTGTTGACACTTATATTCCATATTATACCAGAGGCTCAAGTAAGAGAAAATGGGCAAAAAAAAAAAAAAAAAAAAAAAAGCATCCAGATTGAAACAGAAGAAACTCTACCCCGTTTACAGATGACATGATCCTTTATATTATTTTTTTTTAAAAAAAGCATCCAGATTGAAACAGAAGAAACTCTACCCCATTTGCAGATGACATGATCCTTTATATTATTAAAAAAAAAAAAGCATCCAGATTGAAACAGAAGAAACTCTACCCCTATTTGCAGATCACATGATCCTTTATATTATTAAAAAAAAACAAAAAACAAAAAAAACCACTAAGGAATCTACTAAAAGATATTAGAACTAATAAATGAGACGTGTTTGGAAAGGTTGCGGGATACAAAGTCAACACACAAAAATCTATAAATTAGCAATATACAATCTAAAAAGTGAAACTAACAATTCCATTTATAATAGCACCAAAAGAACAAAATAGGAATAAATTTAACAAAAGAAATACAAAATGTATACTCTGAAAACTACAAAACATTGAAAGAAATTAAAGATCTAAATAAATAGGAAAGCATACCATGCTCACAGATCAGAAGATTTAACATTGTTAAGATGACAGTGCTCCTTAAATTAATCTATAGATTCAATGCAACCTATATCAGAATCTCAGCAGACTTCTTCGTAGAAATTGACAAGCTAACTCCAAAATTCATATGGAATTTGATAGCCATATGGTTAGCCAAAACAATCTTTAAAAAAAAGAAGTAAAAATCACAGGCAGGAGCCCCAGCATGGTGGCTCCTCCCGGTAATTCCAGCACTTTGTGGGGCTGAGGCAGGTGGACCACCTGAGGTCAGGATTTCGACATCAGACTGGCCAACATGGTGAAACCCTGTCTCTACTAAAAATACAAAAATTAACTGGCCATGATGGTACATGGCTGTAATCCCAGCTACTCGGGAGGCTGAGGCAGGAGAATCACTTGTACCTGAGAGGCGGAGGTTGCAGTGAGCTGAGATTGCACCACTGCACTCTAGCCTGGGTGACAGAGCAAGGCGTGGTCTCAAAAAAAAAAAAAAAAAAAAAAAGAAGAAGAAGGAGAGGACTCAAATGCTTCCTGATTTCAAAATTTACTACAAACCAATGGTAATCAAAACAGTATGGTACCGGCATAAGACATATAGATCAATGGAACAGAATTGAAAGTCCAGAAATAAAACCGTACAACTATGGTCAACTGCTTTTTGAGAAAGATGCCAAGATCATTCAATGGGGGAAAAATAGTCTTTTTAACAAATTCTGTTGGGACAAATGAATAGATATGTGCAAAGGAATGAAGTGAGACCCTTACATCACACCGTATACAAAATTAACTCAAATGAATCAAACATTTACACTTAGAGGTAAAACTATCAAACTCTTAGAAAAAAACTTAGGGTAAATCTCTAACATACTGGATTTGGCAAAGGATTCTTGGATATAACAATGAAAGCATGAGCAACAAAAAGAAAATAGAAAAGTTAGATATCAAAAACTGCTGTATTCAATTTAATTTATTTATTTATTTGAGACGGAGTCTTGCTCTGTCACCCAGGCTAGCGTGTAGTGGCACGGTCTTGGCTCACTGCAACTTACGCCTCCTGGGTTCAAGCAATTCTCCTGCTTCAGCCTCCCGAGTAGCTGGGATTACAGGCGCGCACCATCACGCCCGGCTAATTTTTTTTTTTTTTTGTAGAGATGGGTTTTCACCATGTTGGCCAAGCTGGTCTCAAACTCCTGACTTCAAGTGATCCACCTACCTTGGCCTCCCAAAGTGCTGGGATTACAGGCGGGAGCCACTGTGCCCAGCTAACTGCTGTGTTTTAAAAGATACCATCAAGAAAGTAAAAAGACAATTCAGAGAATGGGAAATAATACTTGCAAATTACATATCCGAAGCAACTGTACCATTTTACATTCCCACCAGCAAATATAAACTGTACCATTTTACATTCCCACCACCAGAAATAAAACCATACATGTACATGTAAAATGGTACAGATATATGAGTTTTTATATATATATAATATATATATATAAACTCTTATAACTCAATGGTAAATAGACATATAACCCAATTTTAAAATGGGTAAAAGATCCGAATAGCCATTTCTTCAGGGAAAATATATAAAAGATACAAAAAGCACATGAAAACATGCTAAACATCATTAGTTATCAGGTAAGTACACATCAGAATCACAGTGAAATATACTTTACACAAAGCAGACTGCCTAGAATCAATGTAACAGAATAACAAGTGTTGACATGGATGTAGAGAAACAGGAATCCTCATACACTGCTGGTGGGAATGTAAAATGGTACTGTTGCTTTGGAAAACACGTCAGTTTATCAAACAATTAAATTAAACAAAGAATTAACATATGATCCTGAGATTCCACTCCTAGGTATATATACAAGAGAACTGAATACCAAAAAACTTGCATACAAATATTTTCAGCAGCATTATTCGTAATAGCCAATAGGTGAAACAATCCAAATTCATATCAATGGACAAACAGATAAACAAAATGTGAATTTTAATTAGCCATAAAAGGAATGAAGTACTAACACATGCTACAAGATGGATGAACCTCAAAAAGATTACATTAAGTTCAAGAAGCCAGTTACAGAAGACCACGTATTATATGATTTATTTCATATCAAAGTCCAAATTACAGAAATCTACAGACAGAAAATAACTAGTGGTTACTTGGGGCTGGGGGTAGGAAACTGAATGAATGGGTGCAAGGAGTAGTAGATCATATTATGGGGTTTCCTTTTGAAGTGAAGTGTTCTAAAATCAATTGTTATGATGGCTGAACATATCTGTGAATATATTAAATAACATTACATTGTACATTTTAAATGTGTTCATTGAATGCTTAGTCAATTATATTTTGATAAAGCTCTTTAAGAAAAGAAAATTCGGCCGGGAGCGGTGGCTCATGCCTGTAATCCCAGCACTTTGGGAGGCCAAGGCGGGCGGTCTTGGCTCACTGCAACTTACGCCTCCTGGGTTCAAGCAATTCTCCTGCTTCAGCCTCCCAAGTAGCTGGGATTACAGGCGCGCACCATCACGCCCGGCTAATTTTTTTTTTTTTTTTTTTGTAGAGATGGGTTTTCACCATGTTGGCCAAGCTGGTCTCAAACTCCTGACTTCAAGTGATCCACCTACCTTGTTGTAAAACTATAAAAATATACAATAGCGTGATAAATACCATATTCCAGATAGTGGCTCTGGGGATGTGGAGAGAAGAATAGTGGTATTACTTCATAGAAAATAATCTAAAAGAAATATGGCGGCTGGGCACAGTGGCTCACGCCTGTAATCCCAGCACCTTGGGAGGCTGAGGCGGGTGGATCACGAGGTCAAGAGATCGAGACCATCCTGGCTAACACGGTGAAACCCCATCTCTACTAAAAATACAAAAAATTAGCTGGGCGTGGTGGCAGGCGCCTGTAGTCCCAGCTACTTGGGAGGCTGAGGCAGGAGAATCGCGTGAACCCGGGGGGTGGAGCTTGCAGTGAACCAAGATCACGCCCCTGCACTCCAGCCTGGGCAACAGAGCGAGACTCTGTCTCAAAAAAAAAAGAAAAAAAAATTTCAGGCCGAGCACAGTGGCTCACACCTATAATCCTGACACTTTGGTAGGCCAAGGCGAGAGAATCACTTGAGGCCAGGTGTTCGACACCAGTCTGGGCAACATGGCAAGACCCCAACTCTACAAAAAAAATTTTTTTAATTAGCCAGGTATGGTGGCATATGCTTGTAGTCTCAGCTGAGGCTAAGGCGGCAGAATTGCCTGGTGTACTTAAGCCTGGGCAATAGAGCGAGACCTTGTCTCTAAATAAATAAATAAAATTTAAATATAAAAAATATTCCAGGGCATTAAAAAAAAACTTTCAAAATTCTTTCTTGGAAATACACATAATGCTCAAAGAAAAACCTGGCAAACCCTGCACACAAAAAAGAAAATTACAGACTGAAATCACATTTGGTTATCAATATATTGTATTGTCTAACCTCATACCAGTTTAAATTCCAAAAGACTTAAATACAAAAATTATAAACTGTGATGGAAAATCTGGAAGCATTAAAGACCACACTGATAAATTCAACTACATATAAACAAATAGTGTTTTGCACAGAAAACCCCATGAAGTCAAAAGACAAATAAACTGGAAAAAAATCTGCAAATCATGAAATGCACAGAATACCAATTATCCTGACAGTGTAAGAATTCCCAGAAATTGATCCAACAGGAAAGTGGAAAATGGATACAGATAGCACACAAAAAGTGAATTACAAAGGGCACTAAAACATATAAATAGTTTCTCAAACTCACTCTTAATAAGGGAAATGAAAAATGAAAAAAATACTGAGATAACATCCACCCGCCCCTATCACATTGGCAAAAATCCAACTGCTTGAAAATATACTGGTGGGAAGGGGGCACTGTGAGGAAGCTGGGACTCGTACATTACTGGTAGGAAAATAAATCGAAAATCCCGATAAGATGAAAACTTGGCAGTATCTGTCAAAACTGACATAGCAGTCATACTTCTGGAAATTTATCCTACAGATACACATACAAAATGACACTATATAGGCTTATTCACTGCATTTTGTTTGAATTTTAAAAAAAGAAAGACTGGAAACAACCTTACAGGGGATTCATTACATAAATTACGATTCTGGCGTACTTTATAGAGTTTACAGGTTCAGTTCCAGACCACTGAAATAAAGTGAATATCACAACAGAGGAAGTCACACCAAAGTTTTGGTTTCCCAGTGCATATAAAAGTTATGTTTATATTATACTGCTGTCTATTATGTGTGTAATTGTATTATGTCTAAAAAATGTACATACCTTAATTTAAAATACTTCATTGCTAAAAAATGCTAATGACCATCTGAGCCTTCAGAGAGGTGTAATCTTTTTGCTGGTGGAGGGTCTTGTCTCAATGTTGATGGCTGTTGACTGGTCAGGTTGGTGGATACTGAAGGTTGGGGTGGTTACAGCATTTTCTTAAAGTAAGACAACAGTGAAGTTGGCTGCATGGATTGATTTTTCCTTCTGTAAAAGATTTCTTTGTAGCATGGAATGCTGTTTTACAACATTTTACCCACAGTAGAACTTCTTTGAAAATGGAAGTCAATCTTTTAAACGTGCCATTGCTTTATCAACTAAGTTTATATAATACTCCAAATTGCTTGTTGTTATTTCAACAACATCCACAGGACAGGGCACTATTATTTCATTAGAAGATTCCATCTCAAGAAACCACATTCGTTGTTCATCCATGAGAAGCAACTCCTCATCTAGTCAAGTTTTATCACAAGATAGTTATTTCTCTCACTGAAGACCTAAACCACTCAAAGTCATCCATAGAGGTTGGAATCCACCTCTTCCAAGCTCCTATTAATGTTGATATTTTGACCTCCTCCCATGATTCAAAAATGTTCTGAATGCATCTAGAACAGTGAATCCTTTCCAGAAGATTGACTTTGCCCAAATCCATTAGAGAAATCATTATGGCAGCTGTAGCCTTACAAAATGCATTTTTTTTTCTTTTTCTTTTTCTTTTTCTTTTTTTTTTTTTTCTTTTTTTTGAGACATAGTCTGTCAGCCAGGCTGGAATGCAGTGACACAATCATAGTTCACTGCAGCCTCAACCTCCTGGCTCAAGCAGTCCTCCCACCTCAGCCTCCCAAGTAGCTGAGACTACAGGCATGAGCCATAGCATGCCTGGCTAATTTTTTTAAAAAAATTTTTGTAGAGACAGGGTCTCACCATGTTGCCCAGACTGGTCTCAAACTCCTGGGCTCAAACAATCCACCTGCCACAGCCTCCCAAAGTGCTGGGACTGCAGGCATGAGCCACCACACCCAGCCTAAAATTTATTTCTTAATAAGACCTGAAAGTTGAAATTATTCCTTGTTTCATGGCCTGCACAACGGATGTTATGTTAGCAGGCATGAAAACAATATTAATCTTGTATATCTCCATCAGAGCTCTTGGGTGACTAGGTGCATTGTCAGTGGGTAGTAATATTTTGAAAGGAATCTTTTTTTTTTTTTATGAGCAGTAGGTCTCAATAGTGGGCTTAAAACCTTCAGTAAACCATGCTGTGAACAGATGTGGTGTCATCCAGGCTTTGTTGTTTCATTTATAGAGCACAGGCAGAGTAGATTTAGCATCCTTTTTAAGGACCCTAGCATTTTGCGAATGGTAAATGAACATCAGCTTCAACTTAAACTCAGCAACTGCATTAGTCCCTAACAAGAGAGTCAGTCTGTTCTTTGAAGCTTTGAAGCCAGGCATTGACTTCTTTATCTATGAAAGTCCTAGATGGCATCTTCTTCCAATAAAAGTCTATTTTGTCTACATTGAAAATCTGGTGTTTAGTGTAGCCACCTTCATCAATGATCTTAGGTAGATCTACTGGATAACTTGCTACAGCTTCTCCGTCAGCACTTGCTGTTTTGTTTTGCACTTTGACATTCTGTAGATGGTTTCTTTCCTTAAACCGCATGAACCAACCTCTGCTAGCTTCCAACTTTTCTTCTGCAGATTCCTCACTCTCCTGGCCTTCATAGAAATGAAGTTTATTAACTGGCCTAATTTCAGTATCATTGTGTCTTTGGAAACAAGCAGGCCCAAGGAGAGGGAGAGAGATGGGAGAATGTCCAGTTCGTGAAGCAGTCAGAGCACACACAACATTTATTGATTAAGTACATCATCTTACACGAGCATGGTTTGTGGTGGCCCAAAACAATTATAATAGTAACATCAAAGATCACTGATCACCGATTAAAGTAACAGATATAATAATAAAAAAAAACTTTGAATTATTGTGAGAATCATCAAAATGTGACACAGACATAATGTGAGCGCACACTGTTGGAAAAATGGTGCCTATAGACTTACTCGACGTGGGGTTGCCAGAACCTTCAATTTGTAAAAAACACTTTGGGAGGCCAAGGAGTGCAGATCACCGGAGGTCAGGAGTTCGAGACCAGCCTGGCCAACATGATGAAACCCTGTCTCTACTAAAAATACAAAAATAAACCAGGTGTGTTGGTGGGTGCCTATAATCCCGCTACTCGGGAGGCTGAGGCAGGGAGAATTGCTTGAACCCAGGAAGTGGAGGTTGCAGTGAACCAAGATTGCACCACTGCACTCCAGCCTGGGTAACAGAGCGAGACTCCGTCTCAAAAAAACAAAAAACAAAAACAAACAGACAAACAAAAAAACACACTAGTACTGAGAAGCACAATAAAGCAAAGTGTAATAAAACAAGGTATACCTGTATCACTGTAGAATGAAGAAGCAATTTAATTTTATGTACTGACTATATTAAAAAGATCTCTAAGATACATTGTTAAAGGTGGGGGGGAAAGCAAGGTGCATGTGTTATGTTTTACAAGTGTGTAAAGAGGGGAGGTATAAGAATCCATATTTAAATTTTCTTGTATTTGTGGAGACTCTGACAATATATAAGAAACTAAGCTTTTGTTAATGGCAAGGGAGAACTAGACAGAGGACAAGGAAAGAGGACAAGTTATTCACTCTAACTTTTTATACTGGTCAGTTTTTAATGAATGCTTTCTCTATTCAAAAAAATAAAATATAGACCAGGTGCAGTGGCTCATGCCTATAATCTCAGTGCTTTGGGATTCTGAGATGGGAGAATTGCTTTAGCTCAGGAGTTCAAGGTTACAGTCATCATGCCACCGCACTTCAGCCTGGGTGACAGAACAAGACGCTGTCTCTAATAAAAAAATTAATAAACTGGCTGTGTTTGGTGGCTCATGCCTGTAATCCCAGATCTTTGGGAGGCCAAGGCAGGGGGACTGCTTGAAGCCAGAGTTCAAGATCACCCTGGACTATAAAGCAAGACCCTATCTCTACAAAAATAGTAAAATTAGCTGAGTGTGGTGGCATATGCTTGTATTCCCAGCT